>NC_000023.11:12137488-12440518 GCF_000001405.40 Homo sapiens
TGCGGTGGCCCTGCCGCCAGGTGAACGCTGCCGGTGGGAGAGCACACACTTAGTGCGGCCAGCTGACCTTCACAGTCTGGGGGGAAATTTTAAAGGATTGTGGAGAAGAGGCCTTGAGACTTCAAGAGGAAGAAGAAAAAGGGGCCCAATGAAGCCTGAGCCTCCCAGGAGGTAGAACTGAGTTAATGAACAGGGCTGATTATCCAAGGTAATTATGTAAAAGAGAAGGCTAGGAGGAGTTCTAGATGGCTGCAACTTGGAGTTTACTCTGCCTAAGGTGAGTGTTTATGTTTCTGTGTTTTTGCTTCTCCGGCAAGGTTTTGTTTTGTTTTGTTTTTTTCTTCCCTGTTCCCTTCACCCAAGGCTCAGTGTGCAAAAGCAGCTCGCTCTGCGTGGCAGACCCCATTCTAATCCTTCTCTTTCCTTAGATTCTGAGCCCGGTTAGAATTAGCCTCCGCATCACGGGCTCCTGGGACCCTCCGCTCTATGCTCCTCGAGGAGGGAGCAGCTGTGTTCATCCCCCTACCCGCAAATGCCTCCGGTTCTTATTTGGCAGACACTCCCGCGGTGCTGCTGTCCAAAGACACACCTTCCCAGCCAGCCCAGTGGTCACGTCTCGCCCCAGCGATTCGGGAGAAGCAGTGGGAACTCTGAGCTCCCCGAATCGAGCCCGCTGCGCCTGGCATCTCCCTTCCCTTCCCCTTGACAAACGACCCAACCTCAATCATCCCTGCTCCTTCCGAACGCTAGTTTTGTTTACGGAGCAAACCGAGGCTTTGAGCAACCTGCGGTTGCACGGCTCTCCTTCGGCTTGGGGAGGGAGGGGTAGCGTTCACAGTTCTCCAGTGTGCCATAGACTGTTAGACCAGATCCTTCAGATCTAGAGGCACACGCAGTGGGTGACAGGAGAGTGCCCCCTCCCCCCGGGCGGGTGGGGGTGGGGAGAGGAGCAGGGACTCGGCTTGGAGAAGGAGGCAGGGAGGCAGCTGCAGTGCTGCGAGGGGTGCGTGCGCGTGTGCCCAGCTCGCCTGCCGTCTCCCGGCTCCGTCTGCGCTCCTCGGTGCGTGGGGCACGAGGGTCCGAGGGCCGGGAAGCCAGAGCAGCGCCTCTCGCCCAGGCCTCGCTTTCTCTGGACGCCCGGCAGTCCCCGGGGCTAGAGCGCACGGGGCGGGGCGCGAGACCCGGGCCGCGCTCCCCGCCCCCGCCTCTTGCGCCCTGCCTGGCTCCCTCTCCATTGAGTTTTCCTGCCTCGGGTGCCTATCAATGGTCCTGCTCGGGGATGCACACGCAGCTCGCGGCCGGAGGGGGGTAGCAGCCGCCGCCTCCAGGTGCAGGTTCTCTCCGGCCGCCGCCGCCACCCGCTGTCGCCGCGACTCGAGCCCCGGGCGCACTGAGGTCTTGGCCATGGGGCTGCGGAGGCTGCTGTTGCTGGCGTGAGAAGGGGCGACGGAGTTGTCGCGCTCGGGGGTCCCCAGCTGCCTGCATGGATGTCTTCAGCTTTGTGAAGATTGCAAAGCTTTCGAGGTAGGGGCTGCGCGGGTTCCGTTTGCACCCAGGGCCGCTGCCGCGGGCAACTTGGTGCCTTATTTTTCGGGAGGCTGGGTAGAGGCAAAAGCTGGAAAGCGCGACGGGGCTTAAGACAAACGAAGTGGCCGGGGGCTTCCACGTTCAACTTATTTCTCACTGGCTGCTGAGGCTTGTGTAGCGGCGGGTGTAGACCACACACAGAGAGGTACATACATGCCCTCACCAACACACCGACATTCACGACAGTTTGTTTTCCCTAAGGAAAAGCCCCAGCGGTGTTTGGGGTCCCATGTATAATTCAGGGCTAAGAGAAGATGGTTGTAATTGCTACTGCTAGGGAAACCCAGAAGTGCTTGGAGCTTGGGTGCCTGCCTTCCAAGCTGCAAAGACCAAAAGTGCCGCCTTCCCCCAACTCCTAAATTACACCTCCACACCTCCACAAAGTCAGCTCCTAGATTGACCAGGTGCTCCCAACGGTAACCTAGATGGCGAAGTCATGTAGATAGAAGAGAAAGACTTTCAGCCTTTTTTTTTTTGGGGGGGGGGTAACTATATTCTTAAGCCTCGAAAGATTTAGAAATTTTCTTCTAAGTGGCCATGTTGTTAAAACAGTAGCTAAAACTAAATCATCGATTCAGACATTTTTGGGTAGTACTGATAAAAGAGGAACATTTCCACGCTTGGGCCGCCTAGGTGTTGCCTGGCCAGAGCACTCCTCCAGGTCTTCTGCCCTGCTTATGCTTCCAAAGTCTTCGTTTGAGCCACAGAGTAAGGTTTGTGCTGCTTGCTATGTGGCATTAATTGGGAAGAGCCCAATAGGAGTGGTCTTAGAAAACCATGCCCAACCTTCTCTGCCCCTGGAGCTCTTTATAGCAGCTACCACCAGGACGTAGGAGGTAGACAGTTGGGTTTTTCCAGGATGTAGCTTAAAAACTTACTTGCAATATGGACAGAATAATCCCAGGTTTTCCTTCAGTCCTGAGTGTCAGAGTGAGATGTGTTGATTGCATCAGGCAGGGATGAGCAGCTTCCAATAGTCAGAGGTAGAAACGTATGTTGACTTTGCTTTATTAAATTACATTAGACCACTTCAGAAAGGTTCTGTTTGGATGTTGCCATTCTCTCCGACATCTACAGGTCTTTGTTCTGCCTGCCCATCTCCACCTTCCCTTTCTACTAACATGGGTCAGTCTTCATGCCACTAGCAGATTTCCCCAGGCAGAAAGGCCCAGTGCAGCTTACTCTAAGTAGACTGGAGATACGCAGTTGATGGGTAAATACCTGTGTCTTAGAGCAGCTCAGGAAGAGGTGTTGTCCTGCAGATCAGAAGACTGATGTGTTAAGCAGTGGATGATTGTGGTGTGGCCAATTGTTTGCTTTCAAGCTGATCTCATAGAGGGCCATTGCTTCACACCACTATTCTATTAACTTCCTGCATGCTTCTGCCTAGGGCTAGTTTCTAAACAGCTGTCAAATATTGAACCATGGTTGGGAAGCAGCTGTGTGCAAGTTTAGAGGCTAAGTGGTACCCTCCGTGTGATGGACAGAGATACTGCTAAAGGGAAAGGGAAGTTCAACCAATAGTATAGTTCAAAGTAACCAGGATACTTTTTGGTGGCCTCAGATGCTAAAAACAGTTTAACAAAACATCTAGAGCCTCGATTTAGTCCTTAAACTTAGGAACTTTGGAGAGGACAGTGTCATGTGTCAGTGAAAAGATGTTTCATATTCTTTTTACTAAATTCTAGGATGCCTACATGATATTCACAAATCTGAGTTTTTGCAAAACTCAAGCAAGGCTGTGGGGAGAGTGGTATCTTATTTTAAAGAGAGTTTAAAATTTAGTAAATGAGTGTGAGTTTCACTTTCTATCCTTAATGTGATCCAGTAGAGTGTTTATTCTAAAGACAGAAGGTGCAAATGTTCTGAGCTGATGTGCCGATTAAGAAATCTTCCATCCATAGAATTCTTCTTTTTCTTTAGTGTGAGCCCGAGGATGGTCCCCGTGCTGAGATAGAAGTACCTTTAGAGGGTCATCAGCATGTAAAAACACATGTTTGCAGTTGCTTGTTTCTGCCTTGGGAGGAAGAAAGTCTTGTATGTGTTTTAAACACTGTTACAGAAAGCAAGTTCTTTTCTCAAAGGTGAAGTATGAAAGTGCTTATACTGCAGGATTTTCCTGATTTCAGAATGGATAATCTTCCTAAAGGATTTAGCTTTGATCAGCATGGTTACTTCAGTGCTTAAAATTCTCTTGGTTTAGAGGCAAACACATGTAGTTACCCTGGGTACCTGGCCTTACCTTTGGTTCCTACAAACTTGAGCTTCTAAATGTTAATTCAGAAGGCATATCTTGGAAGTGATATTTGCTTAGTGTCCTATCTGTGAGTAAAGACAGTGTAATTACAGAGAATTCCAAGAGAATATTATTCGACACTGGAATAAATAAACTGCATATTTTGACTTTTTAGAGTGTCTACATTTAACTATTCGTTTCCAGAATCTATACCCTTTTAATCGTGGGAAAAATCAGAATTGACAGTGCCCCTCAATAACCCAGTACCATTAAAAAAAAATTGCTGCCAAGTGTTGGAATTGCTGGTAAGTAGTTGGCACCCTTTACATCATCAGTTAGAGTTATGACCCTTGATTGCATCCTTCGTGGGTGGCACAGTGTGTCATGGTTCTATCTGAAGATGGTTTTTCCCGTTCTTCTAATTTTCTGGTTCTTAAACTGCTTGATAGTTTACATGCAGTTTTACTTCACTGTTTCCTTGGTAACAGTTCTATATTATTTTCCATCCTTGTAGATGAGAGCATTACAGATGATTGCCTTATAAACCAGTAATAGTATAAAAACAGGCATATATTTTTATTGTTACTGCTCTTTGTATTGACTATTTTATTTGTAAAGCAGATGCATTCTTTCAAATGTTTATAGAAGAATGCAGTCCAGTAGAAAAACATATGATTATGCCCCTTTTGCCAGAGGGAGATGATTTGAGATCCAAAACTCATAGGGATGTTATTAAATTGAGTGATATGTTCATAGATTAAGTCCCTGATTTGGCTTCTTTTCTTTAAGCAAAACGGTAGACTTGATGATAATGATTGAGTCCCCACTGTTGATATGATGATTTCTTATAGTAGTAGGTAAATTTGGGGAATGCTTTACTTTGCATTTTCTTATAGTTGCATGGGTTATTTTGTGGTATATAGCAGTGACTAATATCTAATATTAGAATGCTAATTTTCTTACAAGTATCTTATATTTGAGGAAAAATACAAAATACATATGTATAGTTTCCTTAGATTTTTATGTCAAGTCCATTTAGATACTACTAAACTTCTGTCTTTTACCTTTATCTTATTCAGAATTAAATATTTCCCAGGGAAAAGGGGAAGTTAAAGAAGTAATGCAAAAGGTCAGGGTTTTTCCCATATCCCCTATTTTTACTGAGTAATTGTATTAATATTGCTGATAATAGTGAGCTCTGGAGGCTAGCAATGAAAAAACCCCAAAGACTCTGGATTTGAATTTTATTAAAAATGCTACTTGCTCATCTTCTGAATCCTTTCTAAGTTCTGCTGATTTTTGTGACTGTCAGGAGGTGAAATGATGAACAGTTTCATAACAGAACTAGATTCCTGTTTTAGGAATATTTAACTCTAGTTTCCCAAGAGTTGCTAGTTTGAAGCTGTGAAAGTCTAGTCGCTCGCAGTTCTGGGAAGAAGGCGTCTAGGTCAGGCTTTGTACCATTTCAAGCATCTCTCTCTCTCTCTCTTATTGTCTGGGGCAAGTGAGTTTCACCTTCTTGCTATCAGAATTTGGTACAGACTGACAGCTGCAGTGAAACTTACTTGTACTTTAAATGCATGACCTGGAAAGTCTCACTTTCTGCTTATGGTCCTTCCAGCTGTTCATTCTCCCCCTTTACATACACATACACTGTTCAACTTTAGTACTTTGTTATTTCATTTGAGGTTAACCGTGGAAGTTTAGCTGTAAGAGAATGTACATTATTGGTGAACTAGAAATGTATCTTTAAGGAATGAACTTGAAACCACTGGTTTCACACTTGGCTCAATAAGAAAACTCAAGACCGTTTAAAATCTTTGTTTAAGCATACCGTCCTGAAATCTACCACTGTTACCATCAAATGATCTTTAATCTTGAAAGCTAATCATAGCAGGAAAAGAAAATTATGAATAGGCTAAAACAGGGGTTGGCATACTGTGGCCTATGAGCCAAATCTGGCTTGCTGACTGTTATGGCATAGCCTGTGAGCAAAGAATGGTTTCTTTATTTTTAAATGGTTCAAAAATATCAAAAAAAGAATAATATGAAATTAAAATTTCAGTGTCCATAAATAAAGTTTTATTGGAACACATGTCCATTCATTTATGTATTATCTATGGCTGCATTTGCCTGACAACAGCAAAGTTGAATAGATGCCACAGAGACCTTATGGCCTACAAAGCCTAAAATATTTACTCTCTGGCTCTTTACAGAAAAAGTTAACTGACCCCTGGGTTAAACAATGCCTTTTTCCTGTTTTCTCTTCTTTATCATTAGCAGCACACATGTGGGCACACACATGTCAAATCGAGCATATTATAATAAATACTTGAATTCACTGACCCCTGGGTTAAACAATGCCTTTTCCTGTTTTCGCTTCTTTATCATTATCAGCACACATGCGGGCACACACGTCAAATTGAGCATATTATAATAAATACTTGAATTCACTAATGCACATTACCAGTTAATATAGACCTTATCTTTATTGAAACTTCTGATCTCAAATTACTTCTTGAACTGTTGGAAACTGACCATTAGAAGTGGACATAATTGTCCTACTAATTTGTTGCACTTGGAAAAATTATGCATGCTTATTCTTTGGTCACTAAGTTGACCTGATATTTTTGGGGAGCTGGAGAGTTGCTTGTTAAGGTGATGTTTGCCTTCCATAAATATCCAGTTCAAAATGTATGGAAAAAGAATGGGTGATACTACTTGTATAGCCTCAACCAATGTGTGCTGGTGAACTGATAATCAAGTCAACAGGAGAATGCCTAGTATTTCCTTACAGTACACTTGAGCCATCTGGTCCTAATGGCTAATGACCTTCACTAATCTGTTTCCAAATGGAAATAAAACCAGATAAGTGGATTTAGTTGTAGTCAGAGGAATGGAGGTAGGCTGTATCAATTTGGAGTTGAGTTTAATCTAACTTTCCTATGATTTGACTGAGAGCATTATAATGAGAAATCATAGACTACCTTTAGTTCTTTACAGCAAAAACATATATCAAAAGTATGCTGCCTTGCTTCTGAGTAATTTAGGTCATTATGTACTTAAGCTCTGAAAATTATCTTGAAGAAATCTAAGCCTTAGTTTTAGATAACAAAGTTAACATTCCCATTTTTTTTTTTTTCCTGGCAAAGAGATGAGAAGGGTTTTCTGCCAGAACTGTTCTTTCAGAAATATATTTTCAAGTATGGTTTACAGAATTTGGCATAAGATAAATAGTCTATACTAAATAATTAGTGAGTGAAGTCATATACAATTCATTCTAACATTTGTTGCAAACAAATTGTCATATTTGTTTAGCTGAACAATTACCATGTCAGTACTTCTTTATTGAATATAACGGAATACAATGTACATGTTAAAAGTAAATAGCCTGCTCTTGGACTTGGTCTCAGAGAATAAACTTTTATTTCTGTTTTTACATTTGAAGTATATATATATTATATATATAAAATATAATATATATATTTGGTGATTGATGGTTAAAAAGTCATCAACTTGTATTTCCAAGGAGTCTCTGTTTTACTGCTTTAAGCTCAATAAGCAAAGTTATGATGATATTGAAATGGGTTTTTATAGATGTCAGTAAGTTTTTATTTTAGAAAGTCTTTTTTGAAAGCTAGGAAAACACAATCATTTCTATGAAAGAAATGTTTCCAAAGTTTGAAAATGAAAAGTAATTTCCCTGCAATTACAATTTACTATAGGGTTTTAATTTTTATTTTGGTTATTTTTTATAGGCTTCACAAGTTTTATGAGATTTGCTTAATTGAAAATAAGAACATGATTACCTGACAAAGATGAGGTTCAAAGAAAGCAGTAGGCAAAAGTTCATAAAATTAATGGTAAAATTTTCCTAATGAATGTAGGAATGAGTGTATTTTTCTATTGAACTGGCACAGTTATTTATCTGGTCAGAGACTGGTGTGGGGGAGAACACGCGGCCATCTGGCTGATTCAAGGCTGTTGTATTGATTCAACATTGGATAACATACTGACCATGGTGATTTTACAATGGTTCCTGTAACTGGAGTCCTGGATATTTGTCTCTTTTGAAGTTCACGATCCAAGTCACCGGTCTTTACCCTAGTACAGGAGCAGTTAGCAGTCTCAGCTATACAGTGGTGGAGTCTGGAATTAGTTTTGGTGTAAATCCCAAACATGCCCAACTGAATTGTGGCTCAGGGCGATGTCCTGCTTCATGGCCTAGGGCCAGGGCTGGCAAACTTAACCCATCTGATGTGTTTACTTATTTTAGAAAGCTTTATGACCATTTTTATAAATAAAGTTTTATTTAAACACAGCCATGCCCTTTTGTTTGTATACTGTGGCTGCTCTTGGGAGAGTTGGATAGCTGTGACAGAAACCACATGGCTTGCAAAGCCTAAAATATTTACTCTCTGCCCTTTACATGGGTATTTTACTGTTCTTCTTTGATCTCTCTGCCCAGTACTCAAATTTCCCTTTGGGGCAGTCTGGGTGTCAGCCTTCTTTACTAGCAGGGGGAAGGATGGATATGGTTGGAGATTCACCCTGAACACAGTCACCCTTGCCAGCCCCGCTCTGGGGGACTTAAACTGTCAGCACTTACAATACCACTTGTAGGTTAACTTAGAAGCTTTGTAAAGTGCAAATTGGATCCTCCCTGTCCCCTCCGTCTACATACTTTTGAGGGGAAAATCCATATTCTTTATCCTTACCCTTTTGGGTTTGGCCTGATTCACTTGGTTCCTTTGAGAACTGTATTTCTCGGGCTGGGCGCGGTGGCTCACGCCTGTAATCCCAACACTTTGGGAGGCCGAGGTGGGCGGATCACAAGGTCAGGAGATCGAGACCATCCTGGCTAACACGGTCAAACCCCGTCTCTACTAAAAATACAAAAAAATTAGCCGGGCGTGGTGGCGGGCGCTTGTAGTCTCAGCTACTCGGGAGGCTGAGGCAGGAGAATAGCTTGAATCTGGGAGGCGAAGCTTGCAGTGAGCTGAGATTGCGCCACTGTGCTTCCAACCTGGGCAACAGAACGAGACTCTGTCTCAAAAAAAAAAAGAAAAGAAAAAGAGAACCATATTTCTCTGAACTTGTTATTCCTCCTTTCCAGCCTTAACTTCCTACTCAACACCAAACACACACGTGTATACACACACATACAGAGACACACACACACACACATCTACCCCTAACCATGTTGAATTTTTTAGAAGTCCTAAAAAGTGCCACACCCTGAGCCTTTGCATAAACTCTTCATTTTGTCTGGAACAATCTTTATCTTGCCTCCTTTACACCTGAAAAATTCCTATCTGTCTTTTATATTTCAGCTTTTAATCTAAGGTTGTTCCATGTCACCTTCTCCAACCTCCCAATCCTGGGTTAAATAGCTCGACTGACATCTTTTATTAGCGAAGATAATTTCACTGCTTTAACAGATCAATCCCTCAATTTTTGTGGCCCATCTCTTGTTTGCTTGATACACAAAACAGGCATTCCTGATGGTGTGGGGGAGCTCTGATATGCTCAGCCATTCTGAGAACCTGTAAGATAGGACTATCTCATCTTCAGTATGCTATCGAAGGTTTCCTGCACATCAGTGTTCAGCTGACAGATGAGGGGAGAGAATGGTAGAAGATTGGGTGACAGGTTTTTAAGGGCTATGCCCAGAATCAAAGTATACCATTCTACCCTCATTCCATTAGGCAGAACTCTGACCCTATGTAACTGTGAGGCAAGCTGGGAAGTTTAGTGCCACTGTGTACCCTATCTGTGCTGGACATGTCATGCCCTGCTCTTTTCACAACATTTCTTCATTGTGTGGTAGATTGTAATTTTGTTCCCAATTCTTAAATCTTCCCTGAATCCAAGCCTTTTCCATGTGACATTATAGTTCTACTTCCTAGAGGTAGAGGGTACCTCTTTGCCCCATTGCTGTTGGGCTTGGCCAAGTAACTTGCTTTGGCCAGTGGAATATGGACAGAAGTCACAGGGTATCTGTTTTGGTACAAGTTTTTGGTAGGAGAATGCCTTTAAGGTATTGTACGTTTCTAAAAAAGAATGTAAAAAAGCAAAAAGCTCTTAACATTGCTATATGAAGAACTGCCTAGTTTAACCTGTTGGTCCTAGAAGCTAGATTCACATGGACCAGCACCATCAGGCAAACCTGTGAGCATGAAAACAGATGCTTATTCTTGTATGACACTGTGTTATGCAGCATTGTTGTGGCAATGGCTGACTGGTATAGATGGTATTATAATTGAGTCCAGTTTTGATCTGTGTCTCATTTATGAACTCTTCAAGGGCAAATCCCCTGGTATTAAACCTCCTTGGTTTATAGTAGATTTAAGGATACCTTGTTTCATTGCACTCTGGTTTATTGGTGCTTTATAGATACTGCACTTTCTACAAATTGAAGGTTTGTGCCAACTCCACATCAAGCAATCTGTCAGCACCATTTTTTCAACAGCATGTGCTCATTTCGTGTTTCTGTGTCATATTTTTCATTATTATTATTATATCTGTTATGGTGATGTGTGATCAGTAATCTTTGATGTTACTATTGGAATTGTTTGATGTTACTATTGCAATTGTTTTGGGCTGTCATGAACCACACATATAAGATGGCAAACTTAATTGATAAATGTTGTGTGTGTTCTGACTGCTGTACCAACTAGCCATTCCCTCATGTCTCTCCCTTTCCTCAGGCTCCCCTGTTCCTTGAGACATAACAATATTGAAATCAGGCCAATTAATAACCCTACAGTAGCCTGCAAGTGTTCAAGTTAAAGGAAGAGTTGTACATCTCTCACTTTAAATTGAAAGCCAGAAATAATTAAGTTTGGTACGGAAGGCATGTTGAAAGCTGAGATAGGCCAAAAACTAGACCTCTTGTGCCAAACAGTTCGCCAAACTGTGACTACAAAGGAAAAGCTCTTGAAGGAAATTAAAAGTGCTACTCCAGGAAACACACAAACGATAAGAAAGTGAAACAGCCTTATTACTGATATGGAGAAAGTTTGAGTGGTCTGGATAGAAGATCAAACCAGCCACAACATTCCGTTAAGCCAAAGCCTAATCCAGAGCAAGACTCTTAACTCTCTTAAATTCTGCGAAGGCTGAGAAAAGTGAGGAAGCTGCAGATAAAACGTTTGAAGCTAGCAGGGATTAGTTTGTGAGGCTTAAGGAAAGATGCTGTCTCCATAACATGAAAGTACAAGGTAAAGCGGCAAGTGCTAATGGAAAAGCTGCAGCAAATTATCCAGAAGACCTAGCTAAGATCACTGATGAAGATGACTACACTAAACCGCAGATTTTCAGTGTAGACTAACCTTCAATTGGAAGAAGATGCCATCTAGGACTTTCATAGCTAGAGAAGAAAAGTCAATGCCTGGCTTCAAAGCTTGAAAGGACAGGCTGACTCTCTTTTTTGGAGTTAATGCAGCTGGCGACTTTAAGTTAAGGCTAATGCTCATTTGCCATTCCACAACTTCTAGAGCCCTTAAGAATTATGCTAACTCTACTCTGCTTGTGCTCTAGGAATGGAACCACAAAGCCTGGATGACAGTACATCTGTTTACAGCATGGTTTACTGAATATTTTAAGCACACTGTTGAGACTTATATTCAGGAAAAATAGATTCCTTTCAAAATATTACTGCCCATTGACAATGTACCTGGTCACCCAAGTGCTCTGAGGGAGATGTACAAGGAGACTAATATTGTTTTCATGCCCGTTAACACAAAATTTGTTCTGCAGCCCAGTGATCAATGAGTAATTTTGACTTCCAAGTCTCATTATTTAAGGAATTTGGCTGATCTGAAGGTAGTGAGTTATCTCAATTGATTGTTCACAGTCAGTTAGAGATTGAATTTCTTGTTCTACTCTTTTCCACATTCTCAGTACTACACTTGACTAGTTTTAAAAAAAGAGATATATTTTGTATGGTTATAGCTGCTATAGAGAGTGATTCCTCTGATGAATTTGGGCAAAGTAAATGGCAAACCTTCTGGAAAGGATTCACCATTCTAGATGCCATTAAGAACATTGATGACTTATGGGAGGATGTCAAAATGTCATTAACAGGAGTTTAGAAGAAGTTGATTCCAACCCTCATAGATGGCTTTGAGAGGTTCAAGACTTCAGTGCAGGAAGTAACTGCAGATGTTGTGGAAATAGCAAGAGAGCTAGACTTAGTGGAGCCTTAAGATGGGACTGAATTGCCGCAATCTCATCATCAAACTTGAATGGATTAAGGGTTGCTTCTTATGGATGAGCAAATAAAGTGGTTTCTTGAGATAGATTCTACTCCTGGTGAAGGTGCTGTGAGCATTGTTGAAATAAAAACAATGAATTTAGAATATGACACAAACTTAGTTGATAAAGAAGCAGCAGGGTGTGAGAGGATTGACTCCAATTTTGAAAGAAGTTCTGTGAGTAAAATACTATCAAACAGCATCACATGCTACAGAGAAATCTTTCATGAAAGAGTCAGTCAACACAGCAAACTTCATTGTTGTCTTATTTTGAAACATTGCCACAGCCACCCCAGCCTTCAGCAACCACCACCTTGATGAGTCAGCATCCATCAACATGGAGGCAAGACCCTCCACCAGCAGAAATATGACGACTCACTAAAGGCTTAGATGATCATTAGCATATTTTTAACAATAAAGTATTTATAAACTAAGGTATGCCATTGTTCTTTTAGACATAATGCTATTTCACACTTAATAAACTACAATATAGTATAAATGTAACTTTTATATGCACTGGGAAACCAAAAAAATTATGTGACTCATTTTATTGCAATATTAGCTTTATTGCAGTAGTCTGGAACCAAACCTGCAATATCTCTGAGGTATGTCTGTACTGAGTAAATATTTGGCGAATTGTGAATGAATCAGAGTGAAACCATACTGTATTCCACATGATGTCCAATACTGATTATCACAGGTATGCCTGCTTCTGTACGTCATTCATCAGATTGCACTGCTCCTTCCGATTTTTAGGATCTGCTGTCACTGCTGATTTATTGTAGCCATTTTACCCTTGGCAGTGAACTGTTCCCTACCTCTACAGCTTGGGACCCAGCCCTATATCTGGGCCCATATCCTCTCATTCTCGTATTTCTTTTCTTTCCTTTCCTTCTAGTCCTGAAAGTCCTAGTCTTCTCTAATTATATACATTTTGTCTTTAGTGCCAGGAGAGAATTGTAGATAATATTGTAAAATAGATATAAAGTTTAAAGAAAATAGAAGGCTAAGTGATATCATTGCTGATAGAATTTCAAGTATTTATGTATCTTTTCTTTATATGCTCTATATTTTAAAAACTTTTTACGATAAAAGCATCCTACTTTTACAATCAGAAAAATCTTTAAGTATTGTAAAATATTACTGTTCAGGAAAAATAGATTCCTTTCAAAATATTACTGCCCATTGACAATGTACCTGGTCACCCAAGTGCTCTGAGGGAGATGTACAAAGAGACTAATATTGTTTTCATGCCAGTTAAGTATTGTAAAATACTTAAATATTTGATCATGGGAGTTTTTTTATACTTAATGTGATATTAAAGAACCTATGATCAGGTATTTTGCATACAGTATATTGGGAAAATGAAGTTTTAAAAAACCCAAAAGTGAAATACTATACTAAGTGAAAGGCATTGTCTTGCTAAAATATATATATTTGACCCAGAGTTAGTTTTTTATCGCTCTTTTGAAATGTCACACTGAATGAACAAATTTTAAGAAAAGGGCCTATGAGAATTTTGCTTAAAAATTAAAATATAGCACTACCTGTGAAAAAGCAGAAGGAAATGCTCTATGGAGTGATATAGAAAGATCTCTGAATACGTTTATTGTTAAGTGAAAATAGTAAGGTTAAAAAAAACTTTAAAAAGATGAGGGAGATGGAACATATATTTTTTCTTGTATTTGCATCACAATGGCTGGAAGGATACACAAAAAATAACATTACTTAACTCTGTAAAGTGGTAGTTCAGAGGGTTATACGTGAGGGGGTGGGGTGCACAAGGACATGAGTGGTTCTCCATGTCCCATCTACACTTTACATTTTTATTTTATTTTTATTTGAAATGGTGGGTATATATTACCAAGTAAAAAATAAACTTGAATTTCAAAAATGCTAAAAGAATAACCATATAAATTCAAGAGTCCAAACAACAATATCCACAAATTCTTCAAATATTTTTTCTGATTGTAAAAGTGGATACCTTTATTGTAAAAAGTTCTGAATATATAGAATGTATTTAAAAAGATATATAAATGTTTGAAATTCTATCAGCAATGAGATCGTTAGCCTTCTATTTTCTTTAAATTTTATAACTGTTTTACAGTTAACATAAATACACTATTCTATCCTTAAGTTTTTACAAAATATTTTGTTCCCATATCATTAAACCTTCTTTATAAATATAAAATTAACAGCTACATGTACCACGATTTACTTAATGATTTCCTATTTATTAACATTGAGGTTGTTTCCAGTGTTTTGCTTTGGATAACAATGTGATGAATATGTTTACAGCTAAGTCTTTGGATTTCATGGGCAGATTTTTTTCTTATGGCATCAAAAATAGTATACTGAGTATTTCAAAACCCATAAAAGACAGGAGGTAATCTGAGATGCCATTAAAATGATATTCAAATTTTATGCTAAAATTGTGGGCATTCTAGTTCCTCAAAGGTATTGAACTTGACAAGCAGCATTTGTCACAGGAGTTAACCCAGTGACAAGACTTGAAGTACTTAGTGATGGGGAAAGCTTGAGTAATGGTAGTTGGAACTTCAGGTGGATTTGAGCAAGTTGGGCCTCTGTCTTCTTATTTGTAAAATAGGAAAATTATGCAATATTCCCTCTGAAGTTAATTATATTTCAACAATTCCATTGTTTTACCATATAATGGGCAAATTCAAAGAAATTCATCTATGAGAACCTAGATTAAAATAGTTTGCAACACTATGCAGCTGTAAGAATAAAGAACAAGGAAACACTTTATGCAGTGATATATAATGGTCTCCAGGACATATTTATTAAGTGAAAATAGTAAGACTCACAAAAGTAAATATGCTTATATTTACATAAAAATACTGAAAGGATCTATAAGAAACTAATAAAAATGGTATCAGAATGGGGGGGTAATGAAGAAGAAAATCTATTTAGACAACAGAAAGAAGTTTGGGTAAATATGATTTCCTAAAATGTGATAAAATGTTGAAAAATCAACCCCGGAGAAAATATAAATTGCTAACTCAGACAGTTTTAACTTGAATTTCTTAGTTTTCTCTATTTTGAATGAATGAAACATAAGAGATAGTTTAATATATTAAAGATATGTATTATACAAGTATAATAGAAATTTCAGATCTATAAAATTTTAATGATAACTTTTACTAGCAAATTAAGATAAAGCTGGAAGATCGTATCATTATAAAAATGATCTGTTACTTTTTGCATAGAATTTAGTATTCTGAAGCAATTTTTTTTTTCATTTTTAATATCAAGATAAGGTTTTCTCTGATGGGGATATAAACAGAAAAATATTTTTATGTTCACCACCTTTCAACCAGGAAAGCTTATACATTTTTTTTTTTTTTTTTTTTTGAGACGGAGTCTCGCTCTGTTGCCCAGGCCGGACTGCGGACTGCAGTGGCGCAATCTCGGCTCACTGCAAGCTCCGCTTCCCGGGTTCACGCCATTCTCCTGCCTCAGCCTCCCGAGTAGATGGGACTACAGGCACCCGCCACCGCGCCCGGCTAATTTTTTTTTGTATTTTTAGTAGAGACGGGGTTTCACCTTGTTAGCCAGGATGGTCTCGATCTCCTGACCTCATGATCCACCCGCCTCGGCCTCCCAAAGTGCTGGGATTACAGGCGTGAGCCACCGCGAGCTTATACATTTTATAACTTAAATTTTATTAATTGTTGACAGCAATCTTCAAGATCTTACCCTCTGATGATCTTCTGTTCACTAAAGGGGACAACTTGATGTTTTTTAGAGAACCACATTCCAGCGATGTATTGATGGATGTTTCCTTTAGGATTGTAATTTGATTATGATGCCATTAGTTCATAATTTGGCTTTCCGGTTGAGGTCATGTTGACAGGCTGAAGAATAGAGTGTTTAAGTAAGCTGATGAAACACGCATAGGAGGCAATAAAGCATCTAATCCTTCTCTACTGGTTAGTGCCTTACTTTATCTCCCTTTCATTCCGATGTGGTCATGTAAACTCCATAAACTTTCATTTATTTAGAATATAGTCATGTGTTAAAAAAGGCTAGCTATTATAGGTATATGTGCTAACATTTTTTAAAGATCATCTGAATGCAAGAACATATATGCATAACACTATACTGGACATAATTCATAGTTTTATTGCTGGCCTACAAGTCATTTCAGATTTTTTTCTGTGTCCTAGAGTTGGCAAACCATAGCCTGTGGGCCAAATTCAGTCGGTTTCCTGTGTTTGTGTTAAGCTAAGAATGGTTTTTACATTTTTAAATGGTTCCCAAAAATCAGGAAGAGAATAATATTTCATGACACATGAAAATTATATGAAATTCAAATGTCACTGTCCAGAAATAAAGTTGTCTTTGGAACATAGCCATCCCCATTCATTTATGTATTGTCTACAGTTAAAACAGTAGAACTGAGTGGTTGCTACAGAGACCATATGGCCTACAAAGCCTGAAATATCTGCCCTTTGCAGAAAGTTTTCTGGCCCTGGTCCTATGTCATCAAATATCATCAAGTGATTCTTGTTGGAGACAGAGGGAATTACAAATGAATATGTAGATACAGATTTAGATATATACATATTTTTACCTTTAGATAATACAACTTTGCACTTACAGATGTTTCTCTGTATAAATGTTCCCACTGTAAAGACTTCTTTCTCTTCTCAAATAGTCATTAAACAATTTGAATAGGAATTGTGTTTTAAATATTTATATTCTCCTGCCATGCTCACTTTCTTTCCCACAAAGGAGATGTAATAGCCCACACTTGCTATGCAGGAAATGATTAAAAGCAAACTGATAATAAATTGCGTTCCCTTTTGTCCACTGGTTGCTCTGCTGAGACAAGTGGATCCTTTGAAGGGAAGTGTGGAAACCACACTGGAAAAGTTGGCTTACTTCAGAGGAGAGACGAAATAGAAGGGGATGTAGCCTCCTAGCCCTGCCCTTCCAGGTTATCCAGCTGCTACCTGCTTCCGTGGGAGTGGATGTCAACACACTACTACAACATGGGTCATTTATTTAGAGACACCTATACTTAGTAGGACATGTATACCCTAAATAGCTACTATGTTTTACGTGAAAAATGTCATCCTCAGTATACTTTCTTACTTTGAGTTTATCAGGACATTTTAGCTGCAAGTAAATCAATGCTTGATTAAAGGGGCTTAAACAAAATATTCCTAGATATATGTGATTCCTGGATTCGGCTTCATGGACTCAGTGAAGTCAACAACAATCCAGGTGTTTTCTCTCTTCCTGCTCCATCAGCCTCAGGCTTTGTCACCTCATGGGTGTAATGTGGTTGCCACAGCTTCAGGCATCATGTCATCATATGACTGGGTTCAGAGGCATGAAGCAGGGGTGGCCAGAGCACTGTGAGCATTCTCTTTGTGAGGCTCTTTCTTTTAATCCTGGAGGGACATCTTTTCTAGAAGCTAGAATTTTCCCTTAGAGAATCTCATTGCTCAAAGTGGGTCACATGGTCACACCTAGCAAAGGGCAATGAAATGGTCTTCTCTGGCTCACCTTCACAGAGGCCCAAACACTCAGAATCAGGGTTCAGCAGCATGGAGGAAGAAGGGAAGAGGAGTTGAGAAAGTAATCAACCTGCTGTTCTTCTTTAATAATTTCATTTTTATTCAGAGATACACTTGGAGAACAACAACAAGGCTATTGATTGCAGAAGAAAAACATCCATCTGAATATCATACCCGTATTCTGGTAGAAATATATTATCCTTATTGCTTTATGACCAAATTGAAAGTATATTCACTAAAATGCTGTCAGCAGCAAGTAATAGAAAACACAACAAAAAATACATTAAAGAGGAGGACAATGTTTTTATCTCACATAAGAAATCCAGAGGGCCACTTTAGGGTTGGTAAACTCGATTCAAGGTGTCTGGGTTTTGACATCTTTTTGATGTGCCATGTCAGCACGTTGGCTGAACCTCTTATCATTGTAGAATGGCTGCAATAGTTCCAGGTAGCATATCCTCACAAAAAAAAAAAAAAAAAAAAAAAAAAAAAGGACCAAAGGTAAGGAGACGAAAGCAAGGTATGTTTTGTCCATGCCTCTTTTTTTGAGAGGGTGGAGAATTTTCTCAGAAACTTCATAGCAGAGTTCCCCAATCTTTCATTGTCCAGAATTGCACCATGTTCCATGTATTTCCTAAACCTACCCAGTGAGAGGAATTGACATGGCTAGTTTAGACTTGCAGACATCAGCAAACTGTGATCTGCAAGCAAATCCAGCCCACCACCTGTTTTTTTAAAATAAAGTTTTATTAGAACACAGCCATCCCTATTCATCTACATATAAATTTATGGATTTATGGCTGCTTTTGCAATAAAATTACTGAGTTGAGTAGTTGCAAGTGAGACTATATGGCACATAAAGCTTAAACTATTTACTATCTGGCCCTTTACAGAAAAAGTTTGCCAACCTCTGTTTAAGAGTCCCAGTGATTCTCAGCTGGAGGACAGACGTTGTGAAATGCCCTTGGGGTGTTTTAATTGTTTATAATGATGGGGTGGAGGTCCTATTGGCATATAGTGGGAAGGGGCCAGAGATTCTAAACATCCTAACGTGAGTAAAACAGTTTTACATTATGAAAAGTTGTCCCTCTCAAAATAGTAGTGGTCCCTCATTGACAAACACTGGATGCTATCAATTAGGGTCTATTTCTAGTGTGAGAGAGGGCTGCAGCTCTCCCTACCTCTGTTCCACTGCCAGCCCAGCAAATGGCCATCTGATACCTCTGCAAAATTGAGACTCTGGGAGGAAAGAAGGAGGGGAAATGACTGTTGGTTAGGCAACCAAGAGCGCTGGCTCTGGAGAGCAGAGAGGATTTGCTGAATTGATATCTCAAAAGGGGTGGTTATATGGGTACCTAATAATTACGGACTGATTCATCGGCTGGTGACAGTGGTTGCCGTAATGGGGAACAGCTCAAAATGCTGAAGTTTTACACAAGTGGGAAATGTGCTTCTCTGTGTTCCATATACTGCAGAATTTGAGTTCACAAGAACTGAAAAGGTCTTTTCATGCTTTTCTGTAATGTACAAATTATCTTCAACAAGCATGTACTAATCGTGTGATTGAAAGTAAGTTTATAAAGATAATACACAATTAAGTAATTGAAAATAATTTTCTTGGTGTTTATGAGGAAACCAATTAAATTCTTAGACAACTTTGTTGTTCGGGTATCATGTTGAAATCATGCATTTACAATCATGCATTTCTTCTTCCTAAGCATTTTCTGACTGATTGATTAAGGTATAATATAGTTCATAATAAAAATGTCTCAGCTACTGTTTTTTCCATATCTACAGCCATAACCACAATAAATGAAGGCATGAGAATAGGTATGAGATATATACTGAATATTCACACAAATGGGCAGGTATAGATGCTCACATGTTAAATGAATCAAATGTTTGATGATTGTAGTACTCTGATTTATTTGACCAAAACCCACAGTAAGAAATTTGTCTTGCATTGTTACCCAGTCCACATATATAACATGTGTGTGTGCATGCACCCACATGCACAATTAAAACAGAAGTTCCACAAAATATTGAGTTTGATAAAACCTGATTGTTTCATTTTATCCTTTTTTATATTCTGCTTATTATAGCCTATTGAAGTGGTTTCAGGACCCACATCCCCCAGTAATTTGCTGCCCATGTTTGAAAAACACGAGGGTTGTGGATGTGTGATTTGTTCCCCTTCTGGGAACTCTTCCCTCTTCTTCCTGGAACATCACTTCTTTTTTTTCCTTTGGGGACTTCTCCTTCTCCAGGTCAACCATACCTCATATACCCCAGTGGCTACTGATCATCAGACTTCAGGACCCAGGCTGAGCCAGTGAGAGCTTGGCCCCAGCATTTTATGAACTTGAGTTGACAAAGAAAGGCTTTGTTCCTCTATGGTGACAAGCCTTTAGGAATGTAAGTCCAGAGCTCCCCGTAACCACAGGTGTCAGTTCCAGGGACCTCTGCCCAAGAGCTAGCATCTACTGAGGCGCTGGGTGAAAGGAGCGTTTGGGGTTCTGGATCCAGCCCTGTCAGAAGCCAGTATACCTTGGTGGGTTTACTTGTACATGCTGTTTTATTTTTTCTTAATTTATTCCAAGATGGTCTCTGTCCTGAAAGGGCTCTAAGTCATATACATTAACCAGTACACAAATGGTTAGCCCTGGCGATGGCCATAGATTGATTCCATGATAGGATTTGATTGGCAAAGAATCTTCTCTTGCATCTGGAGTGGCCTAAGCTTTTTGAACGACACAGCCATTGCTTGGCTTAGTGAGTCAAAAGGTGTGAGTGTATTACAAGCTTATAGAAGATAAACTTACTGTGTATGTATTTGTGTGTTTGTGTGTATACACTTGCTCATGTGTGTGTAGACAGAGAATGGGGAAATAAAAATCAGAAGAAAGGAGGGGGAAAAAGGAAACGTAGACAGGGAGAGATTTGTTGACAAAAATTGATATTATCATTACCCAAAAATTCCCTTTCCTCCCAAATTCTGCCTGTATTCTTTTTAGCATCTGCAGAGATTTGACTCCTAAGACTTGAGAGTGTATTCCAATTGTAAATAAACAATTTATTGTTTGAATTGGAGGTTATCAGACTGGGCTGCAAGATGAGGATGTAGGTAGAGGTTCCCAGTAGTTGTAAACATCCTACCAGAAAAAAATCTTTGTCTCTCACTTGCCTAAATGAGTACAATTGACACTGTAGACACATTGGATCTTTGAGTCTCTAAAGTACCTTGTCCAAACTTCTGTCCTTACACCAGTAACACTTCTTATTTTTTAAGACTGTTCGGTGATGCATAATATTCATGTAAAAAATCATAGATGTAGACTCAATGGATTTCCACAAACTGAATATATCTGTGACACAACTACCAAGTTCAAGAACTAGAATACAACTTGAACTCCAGTGGTCCTTCTTGGAGCTCTTCCTGAAGTTAATCACTATCCTCTTGATTTCTATCCTCTGTCTTTGAACATAATATCAATGGAATCATATAGATGTGTCTTTTTTTCACTTAAGTCATGTTTATTAGACACATCTTTGTGTGTAGTTGTATTTCATTTATTCTCATTGCTGTATAGTATTCTACTGTATGAAGATCCCCAATCTATTCATCCATTCTACTGCTTATGTTAAACCGAGTTGCTCTGATCATTCTCATGCCTGTTTTTTGGTGATCGTATTTGTTTCTACTGAGCATATTCCTAGGAGTAGAATTGTTAGCTCTGTAATTGTCTTTGATAGTCACTCCTATTTTTCTCTCCCCTCACTGGTTTGTAAATTCACTGTTATCTAACCCCTACATTTGGCAGAGAAGCTGTTGCATAGGAAGTACACGCCTTCTTGAACAGTCCTGAAAAGGTTTTTGTGCTAGACCTATAATATTTAAGCTGGAGCAGGATACAAGTGCTCAGGCAGGCTATTGGCCAGCCCATTTGATTTAACAAGTTAAGGTAAAGCTGCTGTACCAAAACCACTCCAAAATGTGTAATGTCTGCAATACCAAAATCCCTTATGTCCTGCTCTTGTAAGGTCTCCTCCAAGGAGTGGCACAGGGACCTAAATTTAGTCTTCAGCATGCAGCTTCAAAGACATGCATACAGCAGGCTGAGTTTGAAAGGCAGTGTGGAGTGGATGAGAAGGCTCACATGTCACTTCTGCTCACATCCCTTAGTGAGAACCTGTTCTGAGGCTAGATCTGACCGCAAGAGGCTAGGAATTGTAATTATGGGTGCCGTGAATAAGAGAAACTGGTCTGGTGACTAGCTCATCAGTCTCTGCCACAGAGATCTCCTTGGAGTTCCAAGAGCTTTCTTTAAATGCTCCTTTGAGAACTTGTACCTTCTCAGTGTTGTGAGCTCCCCTGGGGGTGGGTAAAGTCTGGATCTTAAGGACTATTGCCGTTTTACTATGACAGTTGCTCTAGGCTTCTGCAATATGTCTCCATGTTCTATATTCTTTTATAGAAGTCTGGCAGTAGAATATATCTCTTTTATGTTGGAGAAGATTTGGAAGATAGATATAGTGAGTTCTGATAGAATGTGACATATGCATTCTTAAAATTATGGCGCTATGCAAAATCATGCAATGAAAATCCAGGCTTACAGGGACAATGGGTGAGAGACACAACACTTAAATTACTCAAAAACTTTGTCAGTGACACATGTTTAAAAGATAAGAAGCTAATAAAAATGAGAGCACACTTCTTCACAAATTGAATGGTTAAGAAATATGGTAAGTACTACAATACCTATGGTGCTTTCCCTTGAAAAGCCCTGAGGTTTGCTTGTGGAAGTGGGTGTGGAAAGATTTGCAGCTTGTGACTGGGAAGGGCTAGAAAGAGGGTTATCTAAACCTCCGAGGGGAAGTTGTAACACCAGATGGGAACAGGCGTGGCTCCTAACACATGCTGTGAACTGAGGTAGCTGTAGATGTTGAGGGGTGTGTGTGTGTGTGTGTGTGTGTGTGTGTATGTGCCTGTGTGTGCGTGCGTGTATTCCTATGCAGTTCTGTTCTGGTGAGTATGGTTTTCTGAGTTCATAGTGCTTCTCCCAGAGGAAATTGTTCATAAGCAAACACAAACTTTGCATCGTATTCAAACTGTTCCCTAATGTATTAATTCAATTGAAATAAATTCACATTTATAAAACAAGTGTTATAGCAGAACTACCCATACCTGGATAGTGCAAGTGGTTACAGGTAGACACACTGTGGCATCTCTTTGTTGCAATAAAGTTCTGATTAGTCCATACCTGCTTATATGTGGATATGTTAGAACCATGGTTTTGACCACTATTATTCTCAAACCAGGTAATCTACTTCTAGGTAATTAAGAACTGACCGTAGTTTGGAATCTACTGTTGCTGGAGTAATGTGTTGATTTTGTTCTGTTTCAGGGGAGTTCCTTTGTATTTTCCGTGTAACATTTTCTCCTCATTGGTAATCAACACAACTCATAACTAACCCTTAATTCAGTGGTTCTTCTGTGGCTTTTACTCCTTTAATATATATGAAGATTGCTCTGTTTTCCTAATACTGCCCCAAGATATAATTATCTTCTTTCAGAGGAAGGCAGAAGGGTATCACATTCTTTAGAATATCCCTGTGTCAAAATAAGTCATAATTTCTGGTACAAAATAGATCAGTTTTATATTTCATTATTTGGATTGACTGTGCAATGATGTTCAGGGCTTAGAATATTAGTGTTATTATGAGTACTGGTAATAGCAATGCTCTTTGTATTAGTAATCACCAATGATATTAGAAATGTTAGTATAATAAGGGTATTACTAATATGGTTATTAATATTAATATTAGCATTAATATTGTTACTTAATTCTACAATTTTACTAACACTACTTCATGCTATTTATATTAGTTATTACTTTGCTAGTTTCAGAACGTATAATATTACCGCTAATCACTACCTCCTTCTGTTGCTGCTGCTGCTGCTACTACTACTATTACTGCTGCTGCTGCTGTTTCCACTACCATGAGTACCTCAACTGTATTAAGGGCTTATTGTGTCCCAAGAACTTTTTTTTTTTTTGAGACAGTGTCTTGCTCTGTTACCGAGGCTAGAGTGCAGTGGCACGATCTTAGCTCACTGCAACCTCCACCTCCCAGGCTCAAGCCATTCTCCCGCCTCAGCCTTCCATGTAGCTGGGACCACAGGTGAGCACCACCACACTGGGCTAATTTTTGTATTTTTAGTAGAGATGGGGTTTTACCATGTTGGCCAGGCTAGTCTCCAATGCCGGGCCTTAAGTGATCTGCCTGCCTTGGCCTCCAAATGTGCTGGGATTACAGGCATGAGCCACTGCACCCAGCCTGTCCCAAGAACTCGATGAGCATTTTATAAACAATAGCTCAGATATTTAATCAGCATAACAACCCAGTGGGATAGGTTCTATTGTTATTCCGGTTTTATAGAGGTAGAGGACACTGAGGGTCAGAAAAGATAAGTAACTAACTTATCCAAGGAAGAAGCAGAGTTAGGATTTGACCATTGCTCCGAAGTCCCTACTTGTAACCACTTTCTATACTGTAGAAATTAACGCCACTAGGATATGCTGTAATTATCTGCCTCCTATGATCACTGGGATCTGCATTTTAAAATAATAATGCCATCTCTCTTACGATAAGAATAATTTGTTTTGTTTTTTTATATATATTTCTAGAGCTATAGAATTAAATTCAAATAGTCTCATTTCCGATAATGTGAGTATTAATGGAAGTGGTTTATCTCCTCTCTTAAAACAGAGATTTTTATCACTACTATCAAAGGAAATAGATCAATAGGTATTTCAAAAGTCCCAAGTAGCCCTGTTTTTCTACATTGCCATCCTATTACATATCGCTTTCCTTCATTTGGACCCATACGGCCTTTGTACATTTTGTTTCTGCATTAAATGAGTGTGATCTACTAAAAAATAAAAAAGAAAAGAAAAAACAGTGGCTGCCATGAGATGTCAGAGAATGTAAAAAAGTCTGCATCGTGGAAGTTAATATTGAATTGCAGGTAAAACTAGATATTTTCCTTCTGGAATAATTGTTGGAGGGTCTGATTAATAATTTTCAGTGGTGTGTATAATTAACTCTAGGGTGGGAACAGGTTTCTCATATTTAACAATGTTTTCCAGTTGGTAACAATGTACCACTCAATTAATTGAGATGGAGTGTGTGTTCCACTTTGTACCACACAATAGCAAGCTTAAGAAAGTTGGTGATGGTTTCTAAGAATAAAGTAAAGAGCCTTATAAGAATAGAGGCTTTAATATTACTGCAGCACCTTCTTCTTGGAACAGCTGTGGTTGCATGAGGTGTATTAGTTGGGAGACCAGATTGCCCACTCAGAATGCAATAGTAAATTGGATCCAGATTGTTCTATAAGCAGATGCATTTTTTTATTGGTAACTTGCTTCCTGTTTATCATTTTCAGTGACATTTACAATTAGTGCCCTTGAAACTGAGGACCACAAGTGCCAGGGAGTGTTAGTTTATGTAGCGGTGAGTCACAGTGGTGATAACATATGCTTTCAGATTTACGCAGCATCTGGGGTTTAGTCCCAGGCAAATCAAGGAAGAACATCTGGGAAGACTCTTCTGTTTCTACCCCTAGCAGGTGGCATGTCCCCTTTCCTGTGGTGAACATGGCATTTTCAGGTCAGGGAGATTCTTTAATGGCCAAACATACACTCTGCTTATGTTGCAAAATGGTGAAATTTGACATGTTTCTTTTCCCTCTGATTTCAAATGTTATGGGCCCTAGAACTCATCCAGCTGTTACAGTCTTCACCTTTGTGAATCTCTCCACTACTAAAATATCCAGATTGACTGTATTAAATAAGAAGTTTCCTTCATCTTGTAAATATCTCACTAGTAACATCTCTTGAGTCCTCCTCCTTATGTCACCTCATTAAAAAAAAGGAGGAAGGAGAGAAAAGAGGGCACAATTTTTATGTACAGGTGAAAATGAAATAGATGGTTGCCAGAAGATGGTTTCCAAATGATAAATGGAGCCATTAGGTTCCAATTAGGGACTTGAAACCTCCCCAGTACGTGGGTAGCCTGCAACAGAGATATCCAGGGTCTAATGATATTTGTTGGTGAGATTTTTCCAGGAGTTTGAGCAAGATAAACTATTCCAATTATTTATTCTCCTTTTCTGGAGCTGTGTTTCTTCTCATGTTTCCCATTCTTTGGGCCTGCTTTGGGGGTTTTGTTTGTTTCTTTGTTTGTTTTTATTTTTTTGCTTATAAGCCCAGTTTTTTTTATCATTCTTGATAGTCATAATTTTTCCTGACTGATTTTTTTTATTCCAATGACCCTTTGTAAAAAAAAAAAAAAAAAAAAAAAAAATAGAGTGGCTCTTGAGACCTTGAGGTTTTGAAGTTTGGTTTTGATAGCAGTCTTCATTCTAAGTTCCCTTACCTAGGTGAACTGCAGCCATTAGGGTTTTCATTCAGTGCCAGGCAGTGTTTACACTTGCCAACGTGCTATTCCTTTTGCCATTAAGGATAGCACTATCCAATGAATGACTTCATGGGGCTCAGCATGTGCTGATTGTTGGAAAAATACAATCAATATTAATTATGCTACTCTTTCCTAAGCAACCACTAAATGTTGATCAAAACATACAAAAGGCACAGGCCCGCCTTTGATTACTTTATAGCAGCTTAATATCATCAAGAATGAGAGGTAGCCATGTTTCAAGGGAATTAAGATCATAGAGGTAAGTAATTATCAGGGGTCCCAACGTTTGGCTGATAAGAACCATTTTTTACCATCTCATGGGATTTGGTCTCACTTGCAGAAGCAGTTTTGTGCATACACTATTGTTTCCGTTTAAGAGAAATTGGTAGGATGGTGGGATTTTATTTATTTATTTTATTTTTTATTTTTTTGCCCCTTAGTTTTTTTTTTATTATTATTATACTTTTAAGTTTTAGAATATATGTGCACAACGTGCAGGTTTCTAACATATGTATACATGTGCCATGTTGGTGTGCTGCACTCATTAACTCATCATTTACATTAGGTATATCTCCTAATGCTATCCCTCCCCACTCCCCCAACCCCACAACAGTCCCTGGTGTGTGAGGTTCCCCTTCCTGTGTCCATGTGTTCTCATTGTTCAATTCCCACCTATGAGTGAGAACATGCGGTGTTTGTTTTTTTTGTCCTTGCGATAGTTTGCTGAGAATCATGGTTTCCAGCTTCATCCATGTCCCTACAAAGGACATGAACTCATCCTTTTTTATGGCTGCATAGTATTCCATGGCATATATGTGTCACATTTTCTTAATCCAGTCTATCGTTGTTGGACATTTGGGTTGGTTCCAAGTCTTTGCTATTGTGAATAGTGCCACAATAAACATGCATGTGCATGTGTCTTTATAGCAGCATGATTTATAATCCTTTGGGTATATACCCAGTAATGGGGTGGCTGGGTCAAATGGTATTTCTAGTTGTAGATCCCTGAGGAATCGCCACACTGACTTCCACAAGGGTTGAACTGGCTTACAGTCCCACCAACAGTGTAAAAGTGTTCCTATTTCTCCACATCCTCTCCAGCACCTGTTGTTTCCTGACTTTTCAATGATTGCCATTCTAACTGGTGTGAGATGGTATCTCATTGTGGTTTTTGATTTGCATTTCTCTGATGGCCAGTGATGACAAGCATTTTTTCATGTGTTTTTTGGCTGCATAAATGTCTTCTTTTGAGAAGTGTCTGTTCATATCCTTCGCCCACTTTTTGATGGGGTTGTTTGTTTTTTTCTTGTAAATTTGTTTAAGTTCTTTGTAGATTCTGGATATTAGCCCTTTGTCAGATGAGTAGGTTGCAAAAATTTTCTCCCATTCTGTAGGTTGTCTGTTCACTCTGATGGTAGTTTCTTTTGCTGTGCAGAAGCTCTTTAGTTTAATTAGATCCCATTTGTCAATTTTGGCTTTTGTTGCCATTGCTTTTGGTGTTTTAGACATGAAGTCCTTGCCCATGCCTATGTCCTGAATGGTATTGCCTAGGTTTTCTTCTAGGGTTTTTATGGTTTTAGGTCTAACATGTAAGTCTTTAATCCATCTTGAATTAATTTTTGTATAAGGTGTAAGGAAGGGATCCATTTTCAGCTTTCTACATATGGCCAGCCAGTTTTCCCAGCACCATTTATTAAATAGGGAATCCTTTCCCCATTGCTTGTTTTTGTCAGGTTTGTCAAAAATCAGATAGTTGTAGACATGCGGCATTATTTCTGAGGGCTCTGTTCTGTTCTATTGGTCTATATCTCTATTTTGGTACCAGTACCATGCTGTTTTGGTTACTGTAGCCTTGTAGTATAGTTTGAAGTCAGGTAGTGTGATGCCTCCAGCTTTGTTCTTTTGGCTTAGGATTGACTTGGCAATGTAGGCTCTTTTTTGGTTCCATACGAACTTTAAGGTGGCTTTTTCCAATTCTGTGAAGAAAGTCATTGGTAGCTTGATGGGGATGGCACTGAATCTATAAATTACCTTGGGCAGTATGGCCATTTTCACGATATTGATTCTTCCTACCTATGAGCATGGAATGTTCTTCCATTTCTTTGTATCCTCTTTTATTTCCTTGAGCAGTGGTTTGTAGTTCTCCTTGAAGAGGTCCTTCACATCCCTTGTAAGTTGGATTCCTAGGTATTTTATTCTCTTTGAAGCATTTGTGAATGGGAGTTCACTCATGATTTGGCTCTCTGTTTGTCTGTTATTGGTGTATAAGAATGCTTGTGATTTTTGCACATTGATTTTGTATCCTGAGACTTTGCTGAAGTTGCTTATCAGCTTAAGGAGATTTTGGGCTGAGACAATGGGGTTTTCTAGATATACAATCATGTTATCTGCAAACAGGGACAATTTGACTTCCTCTTTTCCTAATTGAATGCCCTTGATGTCCTTCTCCTGCCTAATTGCCCTGGCCAGTACTTCCAACACTATGTTGAATAGGAGTGGTGAGAGAGGGCATCCCTGTCTTGTGCCAGTTTTCAAAGGGAATGCTTCCAGTTTTTGTCCATTCAGTATGATATTGGCTGTGGGTTTGTCATAGATAGCTCTTTTTATTTTGAGATACATTCCATCAATTCCTAATTTATTGAGAGTTTTTAGCATGAAGGGCTGTTGAATTTTGTCAAAGGCCTTTTCTGCATCTATTGAGATAATCATGTGGTTTTTGTTTTTGGTTCTGTTTATATGCTGGATTGTGTTTATTGATTTTCATATGTTGAACCAGCCTTGCATCCCAGGGATGAAGCCCACTTGATCATGGTGGATAAGCTTTTTGATGTGTTGCTGGATTCGGTTTGCCAGTATTTTATTGAGGATTTTTGCATCAATGTTCATCAAGGATATTGGTCTAAAATTCTCTTTTTTTGTTGTGTCTCTGCCAGGCTTTGGTATCAGGATGATGCTGGCCTCATAAAATGAATTAGGGAGGATTCCATCTTTTTCTATTGATTGGAATAGTTTCAGAAGGAATGGTACCAGCTCCTCCTTGTACCTCTGGTAGAATTCGGCTGTGAATCCATCTGGTCCTGGACTTTTTTTGGTTGGTAGGCTATTAATTATTGCCTCAATTTCAGAGCCTGTTATTGGTCTATTAAGAGATTCAACTTCTTCTTGGTTTAGCCTTGGGAGGGTGTATGTGTCCAGGAATTTATCCATTTCTTCTAGATTTTCTAGTTTATTTGCGTAGAGGTGTTTATAGTATTCCCTGATGGTAGTTTGTATTTCTGTGGGATCAGTGGTGATATCCCCTTTATCATTTTTTATTGCGTCTATTTGATTCTTCTCTCTTTTTTTCTTTATTAGTCTTGCTAGTGGTCTATCAATTTTGTTGATCTTTTCAATGAAACCAGCTCCTGGATTCATTGGTTTTTTGAAGGGTTTTTTGTGTCTCTATTTCCTTCAGTTCTGCTCTGACCTTAGTTATTTCTTGCCTTTTGCTAGCTTTTGAATGTGTTTGCTCTTGCTTCTCTAGTTCTTTTAATTGTGATGTTAGGGTCTTGATTTTAGATCTTTCCTGCTTTCTCTCGTGGGCATTTAGTGCTATAAATTTCCCTCTACACACTGCTTTAAATGTGTCCCAGAGATTCTGGTATGTTGTGTCTTTGTTCTGGTTGGTTTCAAAGAACATCTTTGTTTCTGCCTTCATTTTGTTATGTACCCAGTAGTCATTCAGGAGCAGGTTGTTCAGTTTTCATGTAGTTGAGCAGTTTTGAGTGAGTTTCTTAATCCTGAGTTCTAGTTTGATTGCACTGTGGTCTGAGAGACAGTTTGTTATAATTTCTAAGAATATGGGGAAAATTGTAAGGTTGAAACATTAGCTTTGGCTCCAGTAATCTAGTTTTCTCGGATGGTGGGATTTTAATTGGGGGAAATGAATATCAAGTGGTAGCCACTTAGATCTGGAAAACCTCTCAAGGGAATCCGTTTTCCTCAGGCTTTTAATGACTTCTTATGCAATTCAGTCATGGAAGTTGTGCCTGTGGCCCATGGAATAGTTCTGAAATGCTTGGGAAATAATCCAAGGCACAGAGGCAGGGCACTTGTATTTTATGGGAAGACGATATAATGGACTTTCCGGCTACAACATTTTGTTTCCAACAGCTATTGGGATCATGTGCCATGTGTACGACATAAACAATGATAACTTGATTTGATATATATATTAAGAAAACCCTTTAAAGTAAACAAATTATTTGTCTTCCAGGAATAAAAAGAATTCTATCTGGGATGGGTGATAATACTGTTTTTGAGTAAGTCGCTTGTTCTCAGTGAAGGAGTAGGGGTTGGGGTAAGGACAATTGTGCCCCTAGGGGCCGTTTGAAAATGTCTGGTGACATCATTTTTGGCTGTCACAACTGGGAGAGGGGCTGCTACTGGTATCTAGTGGCTAGAGGTTAGGGATGCTGTTATGCACCTTACAATGTGCGGGGCAGCCCCCACACAACAAAAAATGATCTGACTCAAAAAGTCAGCACTGCCAATATTGAAAAACCTGGTCTAAAGGTTTAGAGGAGGCAGAGCCCATAGATGAAAGGTGTCTAGGACTCGGAACAACTGTGCAGAACAAAACACACTCTCCTTCCTTTGCCCATAATTTCACTGGACTGGGCTAATGAAAAATAAACTTCAACTGAGTTAAGTCACTAATACTTTGGAGTTGTTTTGTTATGTCAGATGGCTTATCCTGCTAATAGGGATTCAAAGCCAGATTGGGAAAAAAAAAAAAAAACAACTCTCCAACTTGCAGTGTGATCGGAATGCCATCTGCATGCAACTTAAATGAATGGCACAAACTTTGTTGTGATGCAATCAAACACAAAACCGCAAGAAAATATAATTTAGGAAGATTTTTAGATGCTCCTGTTTGAATCAGGGGAAACATTTTATTAGATAATAAGTTAGTTTAAGTTTCTGAAAATTATTTTTGTACCCTTTTGAGATTTTTAGAGGGTCTTAAAGACACTGACCCTTTTTTTTTTTTTTTTTTTTTGAGACAGAGTCTCACTCTGTCACCCAGGCTGGAGTGCAGTGGTGTGATCTCCGCTCACTGCCAGCTCCGCCTCCTGGGTTCACGCCATTCTCCTTCCTCAGCCTCCTGAGTAGCTGGGACTACAGGCGCCCACCACCACGCCTGGCTAATTTTTTGTATTTTTAGTAGAGACGGGGTTTCACCAGGTTAGCCAGGATGGTCTCCATTTCCTGACCTCGTGATCTGCCCGCCTCGGCCTCCCAGAGTGCTGGGATTACAGGCGTGAGCCACCGTGCCTGGCAAGACACTGACTCTTTATTAGGTCTTATTTCACTTCACAGAGTTTCTTTCATCTTCTTCAACATAGCACATCCCTAATACAACTATTAAACTTATAATTCACGATGAGGCTTGTATTTTGACTCATATGTAAATGTGGTGTTCTAATGCCATTATACAAACATGTTAGGAGAGAATAATAAATAGGCTAGACATATGTATATGTGAGAAGAAGATTGTTCAAAATAGATGTAAGTAAACAGTGATTAGTGGAATCTAGAGGAAACAGGAAACATATATATATGCATGATCCCCCTAAATACAAAGGAAAGGGGTAGTGGGAAATAAAGGTTTTTGTTTAGTTTTCTGGACTGGAGGAAAACTAAAGAGGAGCCTAGCAAGAAAGGTGTTGGTTTAGTTTTCTGGACTGGCCAATAATCATTGTCATTGGGATATATACCAAATTTCATTGACTTGAAGAGGCCATCAATTGCAAGACATCTAAATGCAGTATACCTTTTTGTGTATATTGCTAATAAATTAAGACATGTGTTTTTATCACTTAGATCATAGGTTGACAAATTGTCCTGCAGGTCAAATCTGGCCCACTGCCTGTTTTTATAAATAAAGTTTTATTGGAACACAACCACACCCATCCATTTGTGTATTTCCATGGCTGCTTTCCTACTACAATGGTGAAGCTTAATAGTTGTAAAGGAGATTGTATGTTCTATTAGGTCTAAACTATTAATATTTACCATATGGCTCATTATAGTAAAAGTTTACCAAACTCATAGACTTTTATACTTCTTGAGTTAACTTTTTGACTAAGGCATACATTTTAATCATATAACACTTTTGTGCATACAAAAGAAGTGAAATATAAGCAAACAAATTAGTTAAGCTGTTTGTAAGATTTTAAAACACATGACATATAGAACTTGACCCATATGAATCACTTTTCAGTGGATGCAAACACAAATGGGTGGGAGTGGTTGTGTTCTAATAAAAGTTTACTTATAAAAACAGGCAGTGGGCCAGATTTGGCCTGCAGGCCAATTTGTCAACCTGTGATCTAAGTGATAAACCATTTCAGATTTAAATCTGAAATCAGAACCATAATTTTCCGCAAAATATTTTCCTCAGTGCCATGAAAAGTATAGATACAGCATTGCTTGAATGAGTATTCCATTATTGCCTCCAAGATTTTCTTCCAAGCTACTGAAGCCCATTCTGCTTGCTTTGATTTAGACACTCTTATCTTTCCAGAAATTTTCCACAGAGTTTTTTTTTTTTTTCAGTGACAACAAGGTCTCCTATTCTTTCTTCAAATGGTCTTGAAATAGTTGGTTGCTTGAAACGGGGAGGAATTATGGTTGTCAATCATGAACCGAGAAATAACCAACCAATTGTGCTACCTCCAGGTAGACAGACATTTGAAATTGCCATTTATTATAAGATGAACCTGGAATCTTTAAAATCCAGTAGATATGTGCATGTTAGCATCCGTGAAATACTGTAGCTTGTTTGTTGCCCTGCAGATGAGGAATGGTTTGGATGCTGGTTAATTGAGGGGAGAGAAGAAAATAAAACTCCTGTCACATGTTATGTTCCAGCAGGTCTTACTTGTATACTTGAAATTTTCTGTTTTCTCTTTGCTTTACTTTATCAAGCTGAATAGGTGACTTTTTACCACAGCTCAAAATAAAAACTTCATGGAAACATTCTTCATAAGCCTCTAGATTTTAAGCTGCTCCATTCTTCTGGGAGCCCCAGTAATTCAGACTGATTGCAGTGCTGCTTGGTGGCAACTCCCGCGACTCCAGCAGCTTGGCTCTGGGGCCTGAGTAAAGCTCTCACTCTAGCAGCCACAGGATCTAATGTGAACTCTGGAGCTTAACTCATCTCTCTCCTCTTTCCTGTACATAACATAAATGGCCTGTGAACATCTAGAAACCCCTTGTTGGGTTAATATGATGAGATCATTCTTTGGGTGGCTTTCCATTCACTGGTGTGGTTCAAAAGAGGTATGCCTAATGAGCAGGTGTTTCCACTTGTTCTCAGATTCCTAGATGATAGCGCACTGCGCTTAAGAGAAGTTTCCTTCAGGGGATTGTTTTTAGAAAGCATCTGAGGGTCTGTTAAGTGAAGATATTCTTTCCTGTCTCAGGGTACTCTGCCTTTTGGAGTCTAGAAACCACTTTTTATTTCCCTGGTCATAAGAATCTGTAACCTTAAATACAGTTGACGAGAGGCTGCTAATTTCCAGTACTCTGTGGATGGGACCCTACACAGTGAAAAGGCAAAGGACTCAAGCAAGTGGAGGAGCCTAGCAAGAACAGCCAGCTTTGAAATGCATCAGGCAAGGATCAGGACTTGATGGTAGGGCCTTCTACTGTTTGTGCATCCCCGTTTGGCATGCAAGTTCTATTTATTTTTATTTTTTGCTATATGACAGATATGGTTATATAAGCAGCTTTCAAAATGAGGCATAAAGCTTTTGATTTTCTCATCCTTTGCTTTTCTGAGATCCTGGAGGCCTTTTTTAAAGAGTTGAGGCTGTTTGACACAGCAAAAACAACAGAGAAATCAGTCGGTTGCACTTTAGAGTAGAGCTTGGGGTATGTGCTTCTAACTTGTTCAAGTTGGAGGGCTACCTTACAACTTGGCAAGATACTGGAGATAAAAGCCAGAGTTGTAGTGGTTACAGATTCAGTTTTTCAGAGTCAAAATCAAACAAGCAAAGCCTGTTGTTGACCCAGAAGCCAAAACCTGGTTGAGCTGTTCTTTGATGCAAGCCGATGAGCGTGGGACTTCATATCTGGTCACCATGACTTAAAGGAAACTCAGAGGTTTCTTGGATTCATTAGCTTATAGAAACAAGGAAAGTCATATCAACGGCTACCAGAGACTTGGGGATGAAAGAAGAGACTGACAATAGCTAAACACAATCTGGCTATCAGGTACAGCCATTCTCAGGTATTAAGAGGCTGGACCCCAGAGGTCCCTCTCTGCTTGGCTCCTGGTCATACCACAAATCCTGATGCTGGTTACCCTCCTCCCATCAGCCCTTAACACACACTTACACTGGTTATGCCCTTTAGTGAAGCTCTCTTCCCTTGAATTTCTGCTGGCACAGAGAACTACCATGTCAGGTCACCAATGCCTGATAGTGGTACACTGTTGATGCTTTAGGGTTAGTTATATCTTAACCAATGCATAGGATGTCTGTAGAATAGTCTATCAAGCTTGTCCAACCTGCCTTATTTTGCTGTTGTTGTTGTTGTTCTGTTTGGTTTTCTTTTAGGAGTTTAGCAGCCTGAAGCCATGATTTTTAGTTTCTGTCTCTAGTGATAAGGAAAAAAAAAAAAAGGGATAAGGAAAGGGCTTTAGAAACTAAGAACTCATGACTGTATTCTCTCCCTTGGACACCCCTGGTTGATGCTGACCTAGCAGGCTCCAGTTTCTTTGTTAAAGTCTTTTCTGCAGCATGAAATGAAGTTCAGATCTCAAGTCCTTCCCTAAGTACCTTATATCTTGCTCTCTTGTAAACTGCTTAAACAAGACCTTTTCCTGTGTTCATATCAGAATCACCTTGCAGGACTTGTTAAAACACTGACTGCTGGGCCCACTCCTAGGGTTTCTGATTCAGCAGGTCTGGGGTGGGTCCTGAGAATTTGCATTTTTAAGAGGTTCTCATGAAATGCTGCTGCTGCTGTTCCAAGGACCACACTTTGAAAACCAAAAAAGAAGAGAGAGAAACAGCAGGAGGAGTAGAAGGGAGAAAAGTCAGAGATTTGAAGGTGAGAGAGACCTACTATGGCTGGTTTTGAAAGGGGCCATGAGCCAGGAATACAAATGGCCTCCTCTCTAGAAGCTAGATCTAAGCTGTAAACAAAGGACAGCCAAATCCATCATAGAAAAGAAACCTTTCTTTAAAGCAAATGTTATCTGCAGGGATGTGATTCTGTCTATAACTGCTTTCTCATTTGCCACTATAGCAGTTTTAGCATTTCAAACATCCCCTTGCTAATTATAGTCTCCGCTTTACATTTGCATAACTAAATAGTCCATTCAAGCAGCTTTTGCCAAATAAAGTAATTCTCTGTCCAAAATGTGTATTCAGTTTCTACCCAGAAGAACCCCAAATTGCTGCAGCTCTTGGTTTCAAAGATATAAAATTCATACTTCGGGCCAAGCCCAAGCTCAAGGTCTCTATGTCTTTTTTCTTTGACCAGAGAAGTCTCTGGAAATCAGAAGGTTTTCTATGATGAGGAAGCCTTAAGTGACTTCTGCTTAAAATAGCTATGGTTGTATGAGGCAGGTAATTGGAAGATATTAACAGATCTTGCACCCAGATTGTAGTAGTAAATTAAATCCAGGCTGTTCTCCAGCAGATACATTTGGGGCATGGCATCACAGCCTCCTTGTAACCAGCCTCAGTGGAGTGTGGCACTGAGGTGGAGCCCACAGGTGTGCCTGTACATCTTGCTCCAGGGATCACCAGCTTTTCCCTGTGGCTGTATGTCAGTGAGGCCAAAAATAAAAATAGCTTAAATGTTCAAATTCAAGGAGAGCCAACTGCAGACAAGGTCATCTGAAGTATGAACAGAGTGTTGGGAAATGAAGGTGTATAAGAAAATGTCACATTTCTCTCTCTTACTAAACCACATTCAACCTGGCTTTGCTACCACCTGCCTGACAGGTAGAATATGCAGGGGAGGGGGCTCCTGCTCCTATATTTAGGATCATTTAGGAATTCTGAGGATTAAATAGGGCAGGAACATTAAAGTGGGGCCTCTGGTCTTGATTTTGTCCTGACTGCTGCTGAGATGCTCATGGCCCAAGGTGGCTTTGGAAGTAGGTGGCCTTGCTGACAGCCTGCTCTCCTTCCTGATAAGCTTGGCCTCTCGATGTCCTCTGCAGCACACAAGTCCACAGATCGTGGTGGCCCTTCTCTAAGCTGTCACTAGGATGGCCCCGGAAGATAGCTGCTACCTCTGGGGCTGAGAGCAGGCATCCAGGGCTCCACTGTACATGAAACCCACCAGCTTACTGTCCCAGGCTGGGACACTCTTCCAGGGGCTCTTCCAGGGGCTGCCTCCCTCCCTTCTCCCTCAACCTTTAGAGACTTCTCCAGCTTTAGACCTTCATAGGCTTAGGCTTTAGAAAGGGGGTCAGCCAACATCTTCTGCCAAGGGCCACATAGTACACATTTTCAGCTTTTTGGGCCATATGGTCTCTTTCACAACTATTCAACTCTGCCCATGTAGTGTGAAAGCAGCCACAATTTGTAAATGAATGAGTATGGGGCTGTGTTCCAGTAAAACTTTTTTTACAGACACTGAAATTTGAATTACTTTCATGTGTCATGAAATATTATTATTTTTTCAACCAATTAAAAGTGTAAAAACCATCCTTAGCTTGTGAATGGTATCAAAACAGGTGATAGGCCAGATTTGGCTCATAGACTACAGTTTGCTGACCCCTTCTCTAGAAAACCAAAGCTGCTGCTTGTTAACACTCCTCAGGGGCAGTGGAGGCCTAGATGGCTAGGAGAAGACATAAACAGTTCCTTAATTGTTTGTTTTGTTTGTCTGTGGTTTTTAAACATATTTTCAAATCATTCCTTGCGGTCTGGCCCTGGCTTCCTCTCTACTCCGTCCCCTTCTTCCACTCTGGGACCCTTTGTGCTACTCTAGCAAACCACATCTGGTCAAGTATCTGTGAGTCAGTGGTTCTCAAACTTTGATGTATATCAGAATCAACTGGAGAGCCAATAACAAACACAGAGACCCCAGAGAGGGCCTGAAACTTTATACTTTTACAAGTGATTCTGATGTCCACCAGAATTTGAGACCCATTGATATCAATACCTTGTTTCATGCCTTCCTACCCTTAAACAAGCTATTCTGTTTGCCTGAAATGGTTTAGCTCCTTCCTTCTTCTGGTCCACTTAACCTGCCTCTTATCTTTTAAAAATGTAAGTCAACTGATAGTACTTTTGGGCAGAGTCACTGATCCCTGTTTTATTTTGAGTTCTTAAAGCAAGCTGCATGTACCTTTATGATGGCACAGTTACACGACCTTGCCTTGATTTTGATAGTTGCATGTCTTCCCAAATAGGATGTAAGCTTCTAGACTGGACTTTGTCTGCTTTGAACTTTCATTTCTAACATAGTATCTTTAACAGGTATATAACATAGACTCAATAAAAGATGGTGGTATGTGTTACAGCTCTGGTAGGATTTGTTTAAAGTTTTCTGATGAAAAAACAAGATGGTGGTAGAAGTGAATAACAAATACACCCAGAGAATGGAGGGCAAGGAATAAAGAATGGGCAGGAGATGAGAGACATCAATAAATAAAAATCTCTAGTATTTAGGTCTTGGGAGCTAAATTTCTAGTATTGTGAACAGTGATCTCTCTGGACTTATTTTGCCTCCTCTCAATTTCCAGTTCTAAGTGGTCCATTTGTTAGTTGACATTCATTAAATGCCCTGAACTGGTGTTTCTCAAAATGTGGTCCCTGGACCTGTTTCATCTGCATCACCTGTTAGAGATGCAAGTTCTTGAGCTCCACCCCAGATGCACTGAATCAAAAATTCAGTACGTATTTTTGTTGTTGTCGTTGTTGAGATGGAGTTTCGCTCTTTCGCCCAGGCTGGAGTGAAGTGGCGTGATCTCTGCTCATTGCAACCTCCACAGTTCAAGCGATTCTGCTGCCTCAGCCTCCCGAGTAGCTGGGATTATAGGCGCCTGCCATCATGCCTGGCTAATTTTTGTATTTTTAGTAAAGACGGGGTTTTGCCATGTCGACCAGGCTGGTCTCAAACTCTTGACCTTGGGTGATCAACCTGCCTTGGCCTCCCAAAGTGCTAGGATTACAGGCATGAGCCACAGCGCCCGGCCTCAATATGTGTTTTAACAAGTCCTTCAAGTGATTCTGTTGAGCCCTCAAGTTTAAGAACCACTGTGTCTAGATGACTGGTTCTCAAACTTAGTTTCACATTGAAACCATCTGAGGAGTATTTAAGAATACAGATGCCTTTGTCCCACCTGGTGATGTGCTGGTAATGGTTAATAGTTGACTCCCTAGAAAATAAAGAGCCCTGACTTACAGTATTTGTCCATTCCTGTTATGTAAATACTCCGTCACCAATTTCAAGCTACTAATATTGATGTCACAGAACAGAGTTGGGAAGACATGTGGACTATCAGCTCTTGTAAACTGGTAGGAGCCAAGCAAGCTTCAGCGCATATTAGTTCCATCCCCAGAGATTCAGATTAATTGGTCCAGGCTGTAAACTGGGCATCAGGATTTTCAAAAGAAGTCCCTTAGGTGATTGCAATGTGGAGCAAAGGTGAAATAAATTTGTTAGTATTAATAAATATAATTTCTCTCACTCAGCCATAGGCAAAATACTTCGTATTCCTTTTATTTAATCCTCTCTGTATTCTGGCAATCACAGAACATGTTCTGTAGGGAAGTCACTCACCTTCCAATCAAGACAAAAAAAAGCCATATAAGAATTTTATTGTGGCCGTATTTCCCCAAATTTTATTTTCAAAAAATGTTTGCGTAAATATAAGACTAAATGTGATGTTAAAATCTGTATAATTAAAATCAAATCTAGTATACATTCAGTAATTAAGTCAAATTTTTAGATCATAAAATATGTTTGCAATAATTTTCTCTCACTATACAAGTTTATTTTAGGACAATGATTAATATTGTGTATGTTTTAAAATTGGTTTCAAATATTCTAAACAATTAATGTGTTATCTAAACTTGAGCAAAACAACAGTGTTTTGTATTCTGAACATGAGAACAAACTACATTTGGGATGTATAGTTTGGCCAAAGGCAAAGATAATATAAGGAAATGTGGCACTTTGAAAAGTCTAGTATTAGTGGAAAAGGTAAACCATTAGATGAGTTTCTTTTGCCTGGCCTGCCATAGTCATGTCTGGAAAATACAATTTCTCAGATCCTCGGGGAGAAAAATGGCTTAATAAGAGCAACAAATATAAAATTGATTAAAACAAAAATGAATAATTTATTCTAGTGTGACATTTCGTTTTCTGTGGAATAAAAATAAAAAGCCATTATGAGTGGGTTATTTTTCATATACTTACCTGAAATTATCACTTAATGAAAAGATGCTATTAGTTAGTGCTCATTAAATACAAATATATCTGGAAATGTCACCCACTAGATTATAGGTGATAGTGATTATGTGGAACTTAAAACCAATTATTCATTCTAAAATATTAATTTTGTGTGGGATCAAAGGAAGTGGATGTGCTTTTTGTGGAACAAGGTTGACCAAGAATGGATGATCACTGAAGCAGGGTGGTAGCCACGTGAAGATTCATTCAGTTATTCTATTTTTATGTATGTTTGAAAATTTCCATGAAAAAGTTTAAAAATATTCATTACAGTTTTATTGTTTACAGGTATGGTATACTAGGCAGAGTGGAAAATATAGAAAAATGCAAGAGATAATTCTAGTTTTCAGGATGCAAGGAAAAAAATAAGACATTTCTAAATCACTTATCTGGCAGTTCATATTCATAAATTTTTCAGATGAATGAAGGTTACTGCTTATATATGTACAAACTTTGAAAAGCAATTTTAGTAGAAGTCTTTCAAAAATGTTATCTCCTGCCCTGTGTTGTTGGTGTAATGAACGTATTTAACCTTTTCCTGATAGTCAAGTTCTTTCTCAATTTAGGCATCAATCTCATCTGTGCTGTCTATGGTGATTGCCTTCAAAGTTGTTCATCCAATCAACAAATGTTTACGGAACTTATTGAGTGCTGACAATGGGCCAGTCACTGGAGGTATAGCAGTGAACAAAAGAGATAAGAATCCTGGCCCTTGTAGCACTTATATTCTACTGGCTGTTGAGATGCTTAGAGTGGCTTAGGTGAGCACTTTGAGTGAGAAGAGACACCGAATAATTCAGGGGTCTATACTTTTTCTGTCCCTCCTATCTGTTCTTTGTAGTTGATTTCATTCATCTTTCCGTTTCTGCACTGTCACTTTTGTTACCTCTTGGCTTGCCTACTGCTGTGTTCTCAGTGTGTGTGTCCTTCACAAATTCATTTGCTGAAACCTAACCTCCAAGGAGATAGTATTAAAAGGTGGGGCCTTTGGGAGGTGATTAGGTCATGAGGGCTCTGTTCTCATGAATGGAATTAGTACTTTTATAAAAGAGGCCTAAGGGAGCTTGTTTGCCCCTTCTGCCATTTGAGGATACAGCAAGAAGGCACCATCTTTGAAGCAGAGAGCAAGCCCTCACTAGACATCAAATCAGCTGGCACCTTGATTCTAGGACTTCCCAGCCTTCATAACCGTGAGCAATACATTTCTGTTGTTTATAAATTACCCAGTTTAAAGTATTTTGTTATAGCAGCCTATACAAACTAAGACACCTACCATGAGTGATTTTTTAAAAAATTAATTGATTTAGGTGTTCTTGCCCAGCATTCAGGTCATTGCTACTCTAGTCTGCATGATATGATCACAAAGTTTTTTATAAATGTGTCTAAAATAAGATATACTAGGCTTTGAGTAAATTCTTGAGTTGCGATTGGGTGGCTCTTGCTTTGCTTTTTTCTCCCCCTAATTACTTTTGTGTTTTTGTGTTTCTCAATAGCTTAAGTCTCTAGATGAATGATTCATTCATTTAGCATTTAACAAACTGTTATTAAGCCCCTGCTGTGTGCCAAGTACTGTTCTAGGAGTTGTGGATGCAAGGTATAAAAAACAAATAAGGTGTATGTCGTGAGAGCTAGGAGAAGGCATAAGAGTTCGTAATATTGTGTGCTGGTTGGAGAAGCATTTGCAAGGGCAACTCCTGCAGGCTGGAGATGGGGGTGGGGATCAAGGAAAGCCTGTGGAATCCCAAAGGGGATGTGGATGCATTTAATTGTGGAGTAAAGTTTGACATGCTTCTGAGATGTGCCAGTGGAGATAATCTGGAGAGAGGTGGATTTTCCATTGTCTCCTGTTGCACATCAAACCACCCTAAAACTTAGTGGCTTAGAATAATAGCAACTTATTATTTCTCATGATTCAGTGGGTTTTCTGGACTATTTGAATGCTGGTTTTGCTTGAGCTCACTCATCTGTCTGCATTCATCTGGGGCATGGCTGGGCTGGAAGGTCCAAGGAAATCTCACAGACTTGTTTGGCAATGGCTCTGACTATTGGTTCTTTTCCACATCATCTCTGATCCTCCAGGATGATAGATTTGCTTCCTTCCTTACATTGGTGGTCTCTGGGCAGCATACCAAGGTAGTGGAGACAGAAGTGGCTTAGTCTCTTAAGACCTAGCTTTGGAAGGTATATAATGTCATTCCAGCCACATTCTATTGACCGAGCAATTCAGATGACCAGCCCAGGTCTCGGGGTGGGGAAATGGACTTACCCTCTTAATGGGAGGAGAAACAAAATCACCTTGCAAAGGGTCTTCATACACAGAATGGGAAGAATCCACAGCCATATTTTATAATCTATCATAGTTGGATAGATGCATCTGAATCACAAGAGAGTAATTTGGATGATAGAGATTTGAAAGTTATCAACGTATAGATTAAAGGCTTGTAAATCTTGGCTGCATATCAGGACATGGAAAATGGGAGGTTTTCCATATGTTCTACATATAAAAATGACAAGTATGCAAGAAATATATGCCCCAAAATGTTGGGTGGGAGAACTGGGCTTCATGGCAAGCTGAGGCTTGACACCAACGCGTGCAGAATGCAATCTCACGTTTTGAAGTGAAGTCAAAGAAACTAGGTTAACAAATCAGCTTTCACCCCTAGTCTTAACCACAAAGTTTAGTGCCCCATGGAGGGATTTTATTATGTTTAATAAGGAATTTATAATAAAATTAAAACTTAATGAATTCCCACATAGCCTCTGTTGTGTTCTAGTTTGCATGCTATCTTGCTAACCTAGCCTTTTTTTTTTTTTAAAGTATATTTGTTTCTTTCCCAGAATTCTTTCAAACATGAACTGGGGTTCAAAGCCCTCATTTGCCATTAACTGTCATGGATAATACGGACTTCAGCCTACCAGTTATCTGTTGGTATTGGGTATGGGAGAAATGAGGGAATTCTCTTGAGGCAGTTATAGCAGAGCCTTGAAAGAGTCTTGAACAAGAAAATATTGCTTAGAGAGAATGGAGACTTCACTATTCCTTAGTGGTCTGAATCCTCTAATGCTGTACTGTCCAATATGGTAGCCACTAGCCACATGTACATAATTATATTTAATTTAAAATGTAGTGACTTAAATAAAATTAAAAATGCAGTTCGTCAGTTGAACTAGTGCTCAATAGCTACACATGCCAGTAGTTATCATCTTGGACACTGCAGATGTGGAACATTTCCATTAACATAAAAAGTTATATCAGGGACAACTCTTTTGACATTTCTTGTCTAATTAAGAATAAAACAGGTAATGCTAGTTTTAGATCCTCATGCTGAGGATTGAATTAAGAGTTAGGGGTAATTTCCTCTGTGATCCAAAATACCCATCGCAATACATCATGGATCAATTTAAACAAATTTTAGTAAGAGACTGGGGATAAGGAATATGATTACGTTTAAGAGACCATTTGTGAATTAGATGTAGGTTACATATTGATAAAATTAAAGAAGATTGTACCAAGCTGGAATAAAGAGCCTGTCTAACAAAGTTAAATCTAACAAGATAAATGTAATGCTTATATTGTTGGTTTAAATCAGAGGTTGATAAACTTTTCTGGAAGATCCATGTAACAAATATTTTTGACTTTGCAGGCAAGATAGCTTCTGTTGTAATTACCCAAACCTGACATTGTAGCATGAAAGCAGCCATAGACAGTATGGAATGAAAACGGGTGTGTGTATGTTCCAATAAAACTTTATTTACCAGAACAGAAGATGGTGGTCTGGATTTGGTTCACTGGCTATAGTTTGGTAATCCCTGGTTTAAAGAGTCAGTTATTCAAGTTTAAATTGAGGAAGCTTGGCCAGGGCCTGACATTGGCCTGGGAGTCTTCTGCTGGCTGGTTGGGTTGAGCCAGTTGCCTTAGGGTAATGCCATTTTAATCTGCTTTAATAGACATATTCCTTCCAAAGTCAGAGAAGGAAGAATTTCATTGTAGTTCACAGTGGGGGTTTGCATTCAATCTGGATGTTGACAAGCTGGATCCTGCATGGCATGTTCAAGATTTGGAAACTGAATAAAAGGAGAATGGAAGGAACTGGGGTCTAACTTAACAGTGGAGAGCTGTTGGAGGATGTTAATTTAGCTGTCTTCAAGTATGTGAAGACCTGTCATGTGGCAGGAGGTATAATTTATCTGAATAATTCTAGATATTAGAAATACAACTAAGAGGTACAAGTTTATAAAAGGAGAATTTTCAAAACAACAGTTGTTTCAAAATAGACTCCCTTATGAAGTAGTGTTTTCCACAACTGAAGGGTTTTAGAAAAAAGATGGATAATCATCTATGAGCTGGTTGAAGAATTTGTTCTAGAATTGGGTGAGAGGTTGCAAGCATAGTCATCTAAGTTGTTGTTATACTTTGAGATTAGAACTGGTTGCATGTAGAGAAATCCCAACCAAAATTAGCTTAAACAAAAAAGGGAATTTGTTGGGTCCCACTACTGAAAGGTTCCAGGATAGGTCTAATTTTAGGCATGGCTGGATCCAGAGGTCTTATAAAAGTCTTTAGGCAGGACTGGCTACATAAGTTGTGGGCTCTAGTGCAAAATGAAAATGTGAGGTCCCTTGTTCAAAAATTATCAAGATTTTCCAGACAGTGGCAGCACAGTATTAAACCGAGTGTGGGTCCTTCCAAGTGCAGGGCCCCATGAAACTTCAGAGGCTGCATGCCAATGAAGCTAGCTCTGTCTTCAGGTCATGGTCTCTATCTCTGCCTCTCAGCCTCCTTTTTCTCTGGGTTGGTTTCATTTTCCGGCAGCCTTTTTTTCCCTCCCATTAGCAGCTTTAAGGCTTTTGTTTTTAAATCTGCAAAAGGGTGTTCCTCTCCCCTGGTGACACCAGCAAATGATACCAGATAATTTCTGATAGACTTTTCTCACCTCTGAACCCAATTACATGGTGACATTCCCTTTGCCCAGGCCTGAGTGATGTGTTCACCCTGGAGCTGAAAGTAGTCAGCTCTACTGAAACCATAAGGACCAAGAGGTCAAGAGATGAGCAGGTAGTTCCAAAATAAAAACAGAGTGGAGTTACCTGAAGAAGAGAAAATGGATGCAGGGTAGTCCAATGTCTACTCTTTTTAGCAAACAATTGAACAGTAGTGAAGAAGTGACTAAAGGTAAGAAAAAGTCTTAATTCAGAGATCTTGCCAATCAGTAAGGGTTCCTTTCCCCCTGAAGAGTTTGCTAAATTTTTTAACTCTATTTTTTCAGGTATGCAAGCAAGATTTTTGCTGTGTCGTGTTTATTTACTGTCATATTTATATTCTTAACATGAGCACGTTTAAAATGATCTGTCAAGATTCTGAGATCTAACATTTACTGCCCTGCCTGGAAATTATTTTAATGCACTGAGGAATGTTGCCTGGAACCTAGTTACATTTCTCAGTCCCACCTTCTATCTAAAACTTTGTTCAGTCTCTTAGGAGGGGGAAAATAAATAAATAAATAAATATATATATATATGTCATCACTTTCTGTCTTAGTTGGCCCTGCTTTGGAACCAGCACATTGTTTAATAAGCTCTGCTCAAAAGCTGACTTTTTTTTCAGATTATGGGTCAAATGCCTGGAAAGGTGAGGAGAACTAGGTAGCCCAAGGACCATGTAGAATTTGTAATGGACTTATCACCTACACAAATCAGTTCAGCCAAGATTTTCATTCGAATCCAGTGAGATATGGCCTTGTTTTTACCGACAAATCTGACACTTTCGTGGAAATGAATTAACTAACAATTTTATTCTGGACAGTTTATCAGGAGAGGTGGGGACAATTGATTACAGTCAATGTCTGCCATGGTTCATGCAGCTTATGGAGAACCTTGTCCTGAAGTCTGCTATACCAAGGCAGGAGTTAAACACAAGGTCTCTGGAGCCAGACTTCTGGGATTTGAAGTCTCGTCCTGCTGCTCCTGACCTATGTTTCCTTGGGCTAGTTTGCCTTTTTGAGATTTCCTTTTTCTCATCTATAAAATGTCATTGTTGCTATCTATCTATCTATATATATATATGTCAGCACAACTGAAACAATAGAAAGTGCTTGCCTCCCTAGTTCCACCACACCTGCCGAGATTCACAGGGTGCTTTTTCTGGGTCATTCAACCAAGACACTAGAATAGAAAATGGGATGGGTATGTCTTGACTTCCTCTTAATATAAACAAGTTATCAATGCATAATATGCTTGGCTAAGCAGCCATTGGCATACGTTTATATTGGTTGACTTCCACCCCAAATCTGTCCTTCACAAGCACGGCTTATCCTCCACAAATCCACAAAGCATACATTTACATTCATTGAACATGCAAGATGGTAGTCTTTTTGCCTCCTTTTTCCTATGTCAAATAACGGTCCTCACTAGAAAAAAGAAGTTTTGAAGCTTTTGGAAAAATAGCTATTTCAAGGAAGGAAGAATCTTTATTTTCTGATCTTTTACCCAGAGATTGAAGTCTGATCTAATAATTACACCAAAGAATTTCCCTACCCCACAAACATGGATTTTGTCAGTTTACAGATTTGTGCTTAGCTTTGGTTACTTTTGAAGATTTTATATATAGCGAGCGTAATGGCTTGATCTCCCTTGCTGTCTTCTGTGGAGACAGCTTTAACATGTCTTCCCACTGATAGACACTCACAATCCATGGCTTTTTAAGACATACACACCAGTCTCGTGTTCTTTAGAATATATAAATAGAAGCATTGAACATACACTTGGAGCTTTCTAAATTGACTTCCCTGAACCAACTTAGCAATTAAAGTTGAGCTGAGGTGCCTGTCTTTTGCTTGTTAAGTCTTGCAGTGTTTTCTCTGAAATGGCAGGTCTCCTGTGACAAATCAAAGACATGTTCTCTTTAAATTCCCTGAAAATCAGAAGGGCACATTTTTCCAATGATTTTTAATTATTCTTTACTGGAACTGCATATTGAAAGTGGAGCATATCACCTGGGTAGATAAAGGAAACAGATGAAAGAAAAAACCATATTTATGATTGTATTCACCAGTAGTCTGCAACACTGATTTTTTTTAAAGTCCCAAGTTAATTTCCCATCATTACTAACAGAAATACACTGATTTAAAATTTCCTACTGCTTTAGAGAATAGAAATAAAAAATCCTGAACGCCAAACAAATGCATGCATGGAGGAAGCCTTTTGAGAAATATTTGGCTGCCTAGATATTACAGAGATGGCATTGAGCCACCTGAGAATTCCTGGACATACCTACAATACATGGTAGACAACCGTTGAGTTTGATTTCAAAGTTCAGTCTCTGGTGGCCAGTCACACACATGCTGAAAGGGATAAATACCCTCACTACATGCTCAGCCTTAAGACAAATTGCAATCTAAGCTACCACTAAGAACGATAAAAAATGACAATGAGATTTCTGCCAATGCATTCTTTTCCACATGAGCCAAAGAGTGCACCAGTATTACACATTTACTCCAGTAAGTGCTCATGTAAAAACTAAGTTCATTAAAAAGAAAATGTGGTACATATACACAGTGGAGCACTATACAGCCATAAAAAAGAATGAGATCCTGTCATTTGCAAAAACATGGATGGAACTGGAGGTCATCATGCTACGTGAAATAAGCCAGACACAGAAACACAAACATTGCATGTTCTCATTTATTTGTGGGATCTAAAAATCAAAACATTGAACTCGTGGAGATAGAGAGTAGAAGGATGGTTACCAGAGGCTGCAGAGGCTGGGAAGGGTAGTGGGGGGTGATGTAGGGGCGACGTAGGGATGGTTAATGGGTACAAAAAATAGTTAGAAGGAATGAATAAGACCTAGTATTTTATAGCATGACAGGATGGCTATAGTCAATAATAATTTAATTGTACATTTAAAAATAACTAAAAGAGTAAAATTGGACTGTTTGTAACACAAAGGATAAAAGCTTAAAGGGAGGGATACTCCATTTTCTATGATGTGATTTTTATGGACTGCATGCCTGTATCAAAACATCTCATGCACACCATAAGTATAGATACCTACTGTGTACCACAAAAATTAAAAAGAAAAAAGTGAAGTTTATTTAGTTAATAAACTAATAAGGTCTCCATTATATAAGACTAGTTCATAACCAAATATACGTGAAGAAAAACACAACTCCTCAGCTCCGACTTTAAAAGGATTCATTCACGTCTTAAAATAAATAGTGTGCATGTTCACCATGGAAGTGGTTATTGACCACGGGTGAACAAATGACTCACTTGGGGAGATTCTATAGACTATAGATGCCTCACCCCGCACCCACAGAATCAGAATCCTGGGGAGGGTGTTATAGCATGGGTACAAAGATAACACCTCCCAAGTGAATATCATTAAGAATTACTGGAGCAAAATGAGACCTAGAAACTTCTCTTCCACTATTAGACTTAATGTCAGGGCTAACTCTTCCAAGGGTCCCTCTACGACCCAAATCACTCATTTTCCCCCACTCCTATCTTTCTCTTTCCATTGCCTTACTCCCACAATTGCTGGAATGGGAAACACCTCAAAGGGAAAAAACTGTTCATGGAGTCATTTTTGAAATGTCAGTGCAAATGTAAGCAATTTTGGCCTCACATAAGTAACAAAGGAAAAAATGGAGTGCTAATAGTGGTGATGGTTTAAGGAATCCAATTTATTCCCAGGGGCTCCATTCATCAAATATCATTGTAACTTTATTGCATATTCACCGGAAATCATTACATTTTGGTAGTTTGTGAATTCCACTACTTGGGGTCATAAAATTCCCTCTATTATAAGAAATCACTGCTGTCAAGTCCAGTCTGATTAAAGTGAAGGACAGATGATCTGCAGTCTTGTAGATGATGTTTTTGGCTGCCAATTACTTACATATGAAAGACAATTAAGTGATTATAAAAGGAAATCCATAGGTACAGTTACACATCATAAATAATTTTAAAGATGGGTAATCTGCTTTCATGTCTTTTATTGTTTGCATGCAGTTCCTTGAATTGCCTCCACTCCAAGGCATTTCAACTCTATTTTTTGCACAATAACTTTAAAAAAATCTCACTGGCTATGCACAACACCATGACCATAAAACTCATGTGTCAGATGCCTCCCTGCTAATAAGCTAGAATACTCACCTGTCGTGAAGTGCAGCATACTTATCAAACAAAGAAACAGTGAAGGTTAATTCTTTCTACTGTCTGACCTTTGTAGTATATGGGAGTTGCTGAAATATTTTGTTTCAAATAATGTTTAAATAAAATAAGTAATGCTTAAATAATTATTATTAAATAAATAATTATTTAATTGCTTTTTAAGCATAATTATTTAATTGTTTTTAATGGAATCTCCCAAAATACTCATTGGTGTTGTTTCTATTTTACTTATCATATGTCACGTAATAATACAATAGTATCCCAAAGAGAGGATTTAAATAATTTTTTATGACGACAACATCAATATATTTCGACACCTTGCCTATTGAAGATTGGCAACAGTGACTTCCTGACAAGAAAATATTAAATAATACCAAGGTTCAAATGTGCCTTTGGTGTGTGGCTTGACGATGAATACAGAATATTTCATTAAAAGGAAATATTTCATTGAAAGGAAAATAACTAATAATGCTCCCATTCATATGGTGAGAACTGGGTTGTGAATCCTGGAAAGGAAATAGAAGTATGTGATGACTGTCTTTCTGTGGGTTCCCCTTTGTCTCCACTTGCACCATTGTATATTTTTCTCTCTGACTTTTGGAAGACAAGTATATCTGCAAATGTGTCTCATCTTCTTGTATTTCCTATAACCTTTCTCTTATGTCTCGGCAAAAGCCATGCACAGTAGGGGTTACAGGGAGTTACACTGAGGCATATTTTGAGGACATCTGGAAAATCTGAATTTATCTTACCTGTATAGAAAATGTGACATAATTTTTTCTCCTCTGATCATTGAAAGAAAACACATTAGAGTGGAAAAGGTGGCAGTAATGCAAATAAATATGATTTTTTGAGAGACTACTTTAGAAGATACTAACCACGTAATAATAAACAAGAAATATACCCAGGTCCTTATTCCTTGAATGCACTTGCTCATCCACCCCTATTCCTATGGGTACTTCTCAGTGGGATTCCAGTGTCACCTGTTTTTGATGGTGCCTTCTCCAACTCTTGCCTACTCCCATGTATTTCCCAATAGCCTTTCATAAATGCTGCTTTACATTATCAACCATAATGCATTATATTTTAGTTGCTTCCAAGACTATCTTTTCTACATGAGTGTGAGTTTTTTTCCATCAGAACTGTATCAAATTTACCTCGTTGCCACAGTGACTTGATAATACTGGTCAGCAGTGTTTGTTGAATGGCTATCCAATTTTAAGAATGAATTTGTTTTTAAAACTAAAATATCCTTGAAAATATTTAGCTGATATTCTTGGGCAGTTTTTTTCAAAATGCAGGTCCTGGTTTGTTAGTGAGTTATGAGGTCAACTTAAGTGGGTTGCAACCAGTATTTTATAGTGAAATAGAATAGAAAAATATTAGAATGTGTCAGAATCTATTACACATAGTAGGAATATTGTGTAAGTATTGTTCTGTATAAGAATTTGGTGAAATTCTCATTTCTATTTATATATGTCTATGTACCTACATAAATATACATGTATGTATGCTGGGATGTTTCTGTGTGTGTTTGTATAGATACACATACATTTGTGTGTATACACTAGGTATAAATTTAAAATTTATTCCTTTTTGTGAGTCACAGCCAAAGAACGACACTGTTCTAGATCATAAGGACCCAAGCACCTTCAGACTGCAAACAGGCAAATGCTTTCAAACATACAATGATTATTGATATCCCTTAGTGTGAACACCCCAAACCAGCATTCTGGCATATCAAGGAGTGCCAATCAGTTGTGAGAAATGGCTCAGGTTACATTCCTGTATTCAGTCGGTATCATCCAAGCCATGGTCACATAGCACTGTGGCACAGTGGCACTGGAGTCAGCTGACCTAGACTGGAATCCCAGCCCTACAACCTATCAGCACCATGGGTTTTGGCAAGTTAATAAATCTGAGTCTTGTTTCTTTGTCTCTAAAAGCAGCATGTCTCCTAGTTCTCCACAGAGATTAAATGAGTACATATGTAGCATCTAGCATTATCACACAGTACATGTCAGTTGTTATGTATCTCTACACCTTGGATGGTGTATTTTCCCTCTTGCACTGTAACTTTTTCATCTGTAAAATGAAGACAGTAATAGCACCTAATGCATAGTATTGTTTAAAGAGGATTAAAAGAATCAGCAGAAGTATTTGGAGGTGTACTTGGCACACAGCACTGTATATGTCATTGCTATTGTTGTTATTGTGTATGTTTGGGTCTAAAGAACATCTTGTCAGTATCCTGTAAGGATTTCAGGGATTCTAGTCTATGTTCAAAGATATTTACAAGGAATATGGCATTGAACTAACGTTTTAACTGAGCACAGAATGACAAGAATTTCGATACGAAACCTAGATTTAAAATATAAATGAGCATATAAACCACAGTTTATTTCAGCAAAATCCTTGCTAGACTCTCACCAAATAAAAACACTGCCATCCCTTTTTGTCCAGCTTATGTTTTGCCAGCTGTCTCTTTCCTGGTGTGTAGACATAACCCTAACAAACAATAGCAAAATCATCATGAACAAGTAACATTGGTAGGTGGTGCATCAAATTATAGCATTCAAGAAAATAATTTTCTTACATGCAGTCTTATATAAAGAGTCCAGCATTTTCACCTTTGTTCTTCTTTAGCTGAAATGAAATGATTAAACAAAAGAAAATAAATAATTACAATTAGAGCAGATACCAGTGAAATTGAAAACAGGAAATCAATAAAGAAATTTCTTTTAAAAGCCCAGAAGCTTGTTCTTTGAAAAGATCAATAAAATTGATAAGTCTCTAAGCCAGACTAAGAACGAAAGAGAGAAGACATGAATTACTAGTATCAGAAATTAAAGAGGTGACCTTACTACAGCTCCCATAAAGATTAAAAGCATATTAAAGGAACATTATGAACAAATTTGGAAACCTAGATGAAATGCAACAATTCCTTGAAACACAATCTGCCAAAACTCATACAAGAAAAAATAGACAAACTGAATACGCCTATATCTATTATAGACATTGAATCAGTAATTAATAACCTCCCCAAACATAAAGCACCAGGCCCAGATGGGTTCACTGGTGAATTCTACCAAACATTTAAGGAAGAAATTATACCAGTCCTCTACAACCTCTTCCAGAAGATAGAGGCAAAAGGAATACTTAACTCATCTTATGAGGCCGGCAGTACTCTAATACCAAAAGCACACAGACATTAGAAAAAAACTACAGACCATTATCTGTCATGAACATAGATTCAAAAATCCCCAATGAAATATTAGCAAATTGAATCAAAAAATGTGTTAAAAGAATTTTACACCACAACCAAGTAGGATTTATCCCAGATATGCAAGTCTGGTTCAACATTTGAAAATTAATTAATGAAATCCATTACATCAAAAGGGTACAGAGGAAAAGTCACATGATCATATCAATAAATGCATGAAAAGCATTTGGCAAAATCCAACTAGAAATAGAGGCAAATGTCCTCAACTCAGGACAGAATGCACATAAAAAACGTACAGCTAACATACTTAGTGGAGAAAAACTCAAAACTTTCTTACTAAGATCAGGAATGATGCAAAGATGTGTCCTCTCACCACTGCTTTTTAACATTGTACAGGAAAGTCCTAGATATGGCAATAAGAGAAAGAAAAGGTATACAAATTGGGAAGGAAGAAATAACTGTCTTTTATTCACAGATGACATAATCATCTATATAGAAAATCTGAAATAATCAACAAAAAAATTCCTGGAATTAATAAATGACTATTGCATGGTTACAAAGTTAATATACAAAAGTTAATTGCTTTCCTATATACCAGCAATGAATAAGTGGCATTTGAGATGAAAAACACAATACCATTTATATCAGCACCAAAGAAATAAACACTTATATATAAATCTAGTAAAATTTATACAAGATCTGTATGAGGAAACTACAGAACTTTCATGAAAGAAATTAAAGAATGGAATAAATGAAGAGATATCCCATGTTCTTGGATAGGAAGACTTAATATTGTCAAGATATCAGTTCTTTCAGATTTAATCTATGGGTTCAATACAATCCCAGTCAAAATCCCAGGAAGTTATTTTGTGGATGTTGACATTTTGATTCTAATGTTTATATGGAGAGGCAGAAGACCCACACAAAGAACAAAGCCAGAGGACTGACACTACCTAACTTCAAGAATTACTATAGAGACCAAAGCCAGATGACTGACACTACCCAACCTTAAGACTTACTATAAAACTACAGTAATCAAGACATTGTGGTGTTGGCAAAAGAATAGACAAATCAGAGATCAGGGGATCAAAATAGAATCCAGAAGTAGACTCACATTAATATTATTAGTCACCTGATCTTTGACAAAGGAGCAAAGACAATACAGTGGAACAAAAATAGTCTTTTCAACAAATGTTGATTGAACAACTAACGGGACATCCACATTAAAAAAAAAAAAAAAGAATCTACACACAAACTTGATGCCTGTCACAAAAATAACTCAAAATGGATCACAGACCTAGAAGTAAAATGCAAAAAAGTTATAAAACTCTTAGAAAATAACTTTGGAGAATACCTACATGACCTCAGGTGTAGTGAAGACTTTTTAGATTCAACACCAAGGGCACAATCCATGAAGGAAAAAAATTGATAAGCTGGATTTCATTGAAATTAAAAACTTCTCTTCTGCAAAAGACACTGTTCAGAGAATGAGAAGACAAGCCACAGACTAAAAGAAAATATTTGCAATTGACATATTTGATAAAGAACTGTTATCCAAAATATACAAAGAACTCTTAGAATTCAACAAGAACACAACACAAATTTTAAAATGAGCCAAAGACATTAACAGACACGTCATCAAAGAAGAGAGATGGCAAATAAGCTTATGGAAAGATGCTCTTAGCATATATCATCAGGGAAACGCAAATTAAAACAACAATGAGATACCACTATACATCTATTAGAATGGCCAAGATCCAGAACACTGACAACACCAAGTATTGATGAGGATGTGGAGCAACAGGAACTTTCGTTCACTACTTGTGGGAATGCAGAATGATACAGCCACTTTAGAAGACATTTTGGCATTTTCTTACAAAACTAAACATTCTCTTACCATACGATCCAGCAATTGCACACCTTGGTATTTATCCAAAAGAGTTGAAAACATGTGTCCAAACAAAAGCCCGCACACGAATGTTTATAGAAACATTATTTATAATTGCCAAAACTTGGAAGCAACCAAGTTGTTCTTCATTAGATGAATGAATAAATTGTGTTATATCCAGACAGTGGAATATTATTCAGAGCTAAAAGGAAATGAGCTGTCAAACCATGAATAGACATGGAAGAATCTTACAATGTATTACTAAATGAAATAAGCCAATGTGAGAAGGCTATAATACTGTGTGATTTCAACTGTATGCCATTCTGGAAAAGGCAAAACTATTGGGAGAGTAAGAGGATCAGTGGTTGCCCGGGGTTGTAGAGAGGGAGAGATGAATAGGTGGAACCCAGAGGGTTTTTAGGGCAGTGAAACTACTCTGTATTATACTACAGTGGTGGATACTTGTTATCCTACATTTGTCCAAGCCCGTAGGATGTACAACACCAAGTGAACCCTTTGGGTGATAATGATGTGTCACTGTAGGTATATTGATTGTAATAAATGTACCACTGTGATATGGGATTTTGATAGTTGGGGAGTCTGTGTATACATTGTAGCAGGGAATATATGGGAAATCTCTATACCTTCTGCTTAATTTTGCTGTGAAGCTAACACTTCTCTAAAAAAACAAAGTCCATTAAAAGTTAAACTAAAACAATTAAATGAGTATGTATTAACTCTTTCCTTACTAGAGATCTTTCCCCTCAAGCACTAGCTTGCTTTGGGTTTGGTTTCCATTTGAATGAGCTGTGTCTCTTGTCTGCTGGTTGAAGCAACTGTGTCACATTTCCAAATATAACCAACATTTCTGGGCATATTCCTCAAACTGGGGCTCAGAGTCCTGTAGTGGCACTGCTGTGACAAGCCTCTAAGCCACTGGATACTATATGGCACGGCCATCCTTGATGATTTAATTAACTCACCTATGCTATTCCTGTAGTGGTATTTAGGAGATGTGGCATTCTTTAGTTACCAAGAGGTATTTTGACACTTTGCCTGGAGAAAGCTATAGAATGGCAGCTGATAACTTGAGAGCATTTGTTAAGATGGCAGCTGCATTGACATTGGAGTGAGCTCTGATGGGGTGGTAGGAAGGGTTTTGTGAGCTTTGCATGCTCACTTCTCTTTCACCTTGCCAGTCAAGCATGACAGAAGGATTAACCTCCTTGCCATCTGCTTCCCTACCTCTACAGATGACAGCTTGGGTACATCTGTAGTCAGTGTTTCCAAATTTAACTAAGTGTGTGCCAAATATTGAAGAACAGTGATTCCCAAATGGTAGTGTCCATCAGAATCACTTGGAAGGCTTGTTATAATCAAATTAGTGAGCCCCACCCCAGAGCCTCTGATTCCTTAGGTCTGGGATGGTGCCTGAGATTTGTATTTGTAATAAGTTTTCACATGATGCTGATGCTGCTGATCCAGGGACCACACTTTGAGAATCCCTGCTGTAGGAGAAAGTCCATGTAGACAACAGGAAGAATTAGTGGAAGGTGTTATACAACCAGAAAGTATCACGTACTTATCCAACTGCTGTTGTTGCTGCTGTTTTAATGGATAGATTGCTTTAAAAATTTTGTTGGGCAAAAATATAGTGAGTGTTCCAGATGAAAAAAATAGAGTGCGCAACTTCCTTTTAAGGCATCGGCAAAAATTGTATAAAATGAGAGCAAAGAGCAGGCAGGTGTGGAAAGCAAGGCCAAATCAGAAAAATGGGAACTTTTTCTGCCTGGTTCCAAATCAGCTCTTCTTGTTTTTCACCTATTTGTCCATCTCAGGGTTTTCTAGATGGCTTTCTAAATTGTGCTATATACCAGACATGTATGCAACACATCATAAGCCGCTAAAATAAATCTGTTGACTTTGGAAGCTTTGTTATTTTTTTGTACACAGCTTGATGGGCATCTTAAATTGTTGGTAATTACATCTCATTCCTCCAAAATATTATAAAATATTCATTTAATGTAAAAGCATCTAGATGTTAAATAATTCAATTATTTAAACAGACATTTATGCCTTTTGGAGAACATAGGGCCCCAGGTCAGTGTGAAGTGACAGGAGGACAGAAGAGTAGTCACAAAGGAATATATGGTAATTGGATACTTTCGAGATTGAGTGCTTCTTTGGCAAATATCTGACAAGTAAAGGTAGGTGAAATCCCTATCTTCTTCTGCATAAGTTGGCAAGTGTTATAATGAAAGCAAGCCTCAGATCAAAGTTTGTATAAATAATTAGTGAGCTGACCGAAAAAAGAAAGAGAAAGAGAAAAAGAAAAAGATGAAGGAACAGATCTACTACTTAGTCTTATGAGGTCTGTGAATTATCCGAAAGAAACAGAAAGAAAGAAAGAAAGAAAGGAAGGAAGGAAGGAAGGAAGGAAGGAAGGAAGGAAGGAAGGAAGGAAGGAAGGAGGGAAGGAAGAAAGAAAAGAAAGAAAAAGGAAGGAAGGAAGAGAGAGAGAAAGAGAAAGCGAGAAAGCAAGCAAGGCAAGAGATTGAAAAACTAGATGTACTACTTAGTCTTTTGAGGTCCGTGAATTACTTGTACAGTACCTGCCTGAAGAGTTCTCTTTGAAACAGACATGGTCTCAGGCATCTATTTGGATCAGGCATTTAGTCCTCTGTTAAGTGGGTAGGGGTGAGGGGTTATGCACAAGACCAAACGGAATGCTAGAATTTAGAGTATTACTCTTGGGTATTTGGCTGCTGTTTTTGCCCAATTCTTATATTTTTCCTACGCAAGTTCAGGAGGGCCTGTGTAGTCTTTCTAGCTACCACATTTCTGGAACACTACTCATTTCATCAATGAAAAATAATTTCTCATACCCTTATGCTAATTAATAACCCTCTGGTGCAGATTTAGATAACACGTTTGAAGTACTTCCTTTGGCTGCACCTGAAGTGTGGATTCCTGATTAGGGGGCTTTAAGTGTGGCCTAATTTTCTCTAGGATATGAGTGAAAATTCGCTTTTGTACCCATATACACATCACTGTTTTGTTCTAGTTATTAAAAAAAAAAAAGGTAGCAGAGGTGAAGTATAAAATCTTTCATGTTAATCACAGTGGCACTTAAAAAAATTTGGGGTGCTGCCCCGTTATGAAGTGTGTTACAGGCGTTGGGGATGAAGGAGGAAGTTTGAGAGCTATTATTGTTTACTAAACTACTGTTATAGAAAATTTGGGTGTTTTGTGTATGATTTAGGTTAGCATTTAAGAAAATGTAATACAAATTGTTATAGCATTTTTCTGATTCCATCTTGAAGACCCAGGATTTTAGAATCTGCAAAGCAAAAAATGCTAACAACAACAAAGGCATGCTGAAAAGCCTGGATAGATCTTTTTCAGGGGGGAATACTGTTTCTCTTCACACTTCTCTATTCCTAGCTGATAGCAAGCCCTGCATTTAATTATTGAAAACAATGCCAACATGAAATGGAACTTCCCAGTGCTGGCTTTCCCCTTTAATCTAAGATCATTTAATTTGCCAAATAACTTGAGTGAAGGATTGAGGCTGAAAGGTTAATACAAACCATGTTGCCCTTGGCTTAATTCTATCCTTTCTTTTTATGTCATTTGATGTTTAGCTCAAACTTTAAAATTCAAAGACATGACACTAGTGTGTGTGCACGTGTGTGTTACATGTTAAATACTGTATAGAATTTCTGGTTTTTAAAAATACCGACTATACAGACAGATGCCTCAAAATTACAATGAACTTGACAGTTTATTTCACTGAATTTGAAATGTTTAACCGCACCTCTCGCCAACCCCCAACTGTCAAATTCACTAACTGGAACGTCACTAATGTTTAAGTACCAATCCAAATGGCTGTTGAGACAATGGGACTGTTTTGGGATCACAAAGACCACCCACATGTTTGGTGATTTTTTAGAAGGACCCATGGGACTCAGCATACAATGGTGCATACAGTTCTATTTATTTAATACAGCTACACGGCAAGGATACACAGTTGTATCAATAAGGGAAAAAGATACGGACCAAGTCTGGAGGAATCCATGCACAGGCTTGCCGTGTTTGTCCCTGGATGAGGCCACATAAGCACTCTTGCCCCCAACAGGGAAAAGGAAGCAACCTGTGTACAGTTTTTCTGCCTGCGGAAGCCCATCTTAGTTAGACTCAGAGCCCAGAGTTGTTATTGTTGTCTGGTCACGAAGTTACAGTGACTAGCCACAATTACTGAAATTCCAGACTCCCAGAAGGAAAGCAGGTGTTTAGTGTCCCAGGTGGGAAAAACAACCGATTGTGTAGGGAACTTTTCAGAAGCTGAGTTCCCAGGAGCCAGCCAAGGACCAACCCTGCAAGCCGATCCTTCTGAAGATAATAGCTCAGTCCTGCTAGGTTAACACTTTTCTGCAGAGATGTAGACTTTTCTAGTACTACTCAGTATCTTTCACATCATAATCTGTAAATGTATATCTGCTTCTGGCTCCATGAGGGCAGAAGTCATAGGCCATTCATCCATGTTTTTCTGGCACCTGGAATGACAGGTGGACCTAAAGGGAAACCCGATGAATGTTTATGGAATGACGGAATGGATGTGTCAATGGGATGTGGATTTTAGTCTTGTGTGTAAATTAGAAGTTGCATATTTGTTAGATTATAATTTATCTGTGGGTATAATTTGTAGATGGTAAAATTCTCATCATCTGAGCAAGAATTTTGGCATGCTATCCACAATAATCTTGAAATGACCTCATTTCTAGACTGTCCAAGCTAGCTGCTAAATACTATCTTGTATAATTTCCAACTTCCAAGCCAGTTGTGGGGCAATGATCATAAACATCTCCAAGGATAGCAATGGCTGAGGTGGTTTGGCAGTGCTGACATAGCCACCCTGTATCCTCATTGGTCATTGGCAGAGCCCAGATTGCTTCAGTCCCTACTGCCATCACATTCTCCTTTGGGCTTAGGATGGAGCCAGTGAGTATCATGAGAAAGATCTTACGTTTAGGGCAAAATATCACAGTAATCACATTAGGGATGAAAAATGAAATGAGAGAATATGACTGTTTACCCACCACACCTGGGCCAGTTGAAGTTTGGAACTATTTGTGGGAGCCTGAATGAGGTTTAATAGAGACTTCCCATCTAGTTAACCTCAGTGTACATCTTAAAAGAGCCAGTTAAGTGGTGATTGATACTGTTGAACATACCTAAAGTAGAGAACATTTGTTGTTGCAAAAAGAAAGTTTATATATATATAAAAAATATATTTATAATCTATATATTATATATAATTTATATACACATGTGTGTATATAAAGTTGAAATATATGTTTCAAATATGTATATATTTATATAGATTTCTAATAGGAAGCATGGAAGTACATGTAGCCAGGTAAGGATAGAGGACAAAGTGTTTATGAAACAGAGCCTTGAACAGAAAATCAGCAGACATTTGACTGCGTGTTTCTTTCACTTTTTAAATTTGATTACCTAGAATGTGAATATATAAGAAACACACAATTAAATTGAATAATTATGAATGTTAGGAGCCTCTTTAATTTTCAATGAACCTTTTACATATGTGTAGGAAATACTATTATTAAGCCCCATCAGAAAATGGAATATTCTAGTTTTATCACATAGTACAGTTTAACAAAAATTAGCCTCTCCATCTCATATGTATCATCTGTTTTCAAATATAAATATATGTATTTATGTGTTTTTTAAGTTAAAAATTAGTATTGAGGAGGTATTCTCTGAATGTAGGGAACACATCTCTATAACTTTGCCGAGATAGGCCTTGGGAAACAGCAAAATGAGCATGTGTGGACTTTGGAATTCCAGGAGTGACCCCAGTGTGAGCCAAGCCATGACACACTTTAAATCTTGCTTCCATAACTGTGAAATGGGGCTATACAGACCCTATGAGACAGCGACCCATTTACCACCTATGAAATATTGATACAGTGTAAGAGATTACTGCTATTGTCATAGCACTAGCACTTAGATATTTGGAAGCCTCCAGAAATATGTCTGCTCCTGGCCTTCTGCTGGGTTTCCACTGATTGATTTCTTAATAGAAACTGGAAAGTTGGGAAAAGTGGGAGAAGAGAAGTGGGCACATGCTGTGACCGGAAGATGAAACAAGGCACTGATAAGTTTGAACGTGGATGATGGCACTTCTAGTTTCTCTCAAAGACCTTGTAATATCTGGCTGTAAAGGTGACTTTCTTGAGTGTGTGTTGAAGGTGACTTTTGTACACAGAAAAGATTATTTAAGGGCAGTTTTGTGGACAAACTTGATATCCAATGTATTCAAGTTACACATTTAAAATCATATTTCTTCCTTATTTTTTAACAATTTGTAAATCTAGCAAAATTTTATAGTCATTTTTATGAGGACTTGTGACAACATAATTAAATGCCCTTCAACATTTAAATGGTATTTCTGTATTTCTTTTAAAGCCCTTCAGTTATCTGACAAACGCTTCCAAGTATTGAATAACTTTTATAAAGCTGTTTTAAACATATAGATGTGTTTTGTTCTTGTAAATGTCTCAGTCCCATTTATAAACTGTCTTTTAACATATAAACCCAAATCTAAATCAATTACTCAGCACACATTTTAAATTAGAATTCCAAGTCTTATTCTTGCCATATTCTCTTAAATAATGTAAAGCACTCATAATATAAAACATATACAGATTAATTCTAAATTTAATGTGAATATATTAATACTATGGGATTGATTTACTCCATCATTTCTGTACTTAATTCTAAACCTTTCTGGGATTAAAACACACCCAATAAGAAAATCGTTCTCAGCCAGTAAAGTTCGGGTTTCCATCTTGATTCACTGTTTTTAATTCAGGCAGAGAGACATAAGTCTGGTCTTTATTCATACTTGTGACCCTAATGAGAAATACCAGTTGCTGTTAATATCCCGATGATTGCTTGACCAGTGCTTCTTAATCTTTAGTGTGCACACGAATCAGCACAAGACTCGCCTTGGTGTCTTGTTAAAATAAAGGTTTGGATTTGGTTGTGAGTTCTCACAACCCCACCCCGACTTACCAAATCCCAGGTGAGTCTTGTGCACATCTGTGTGCACATTAATGATTGTACCCAGCTCCCAGGTAATACCTGTGTCGCTGGGGCAGCAACTACACTTGAGTGAGTAGTGACGCCTTAGATTCAAGTGCCATTTTACATCATTCTTCATCTACTCATAGATGACTTCATCCCCCATTGAGGTAGTTCACTTCCTTCACAGTTTGATTGGTTTTGCATTTCTTTGACTCTCTTAAGGCATTCAAATGTCATTTCCATTAGACTTCGCAGACTTTTCCAGGCTTTGTGTCACTGTGGTCAGACAACTGAACCCTTGAAGATTAAAATTAATCATTTATAGTGAAAAAATAGATTGTTTTGAAATAAATGCATAGAAATATTTTGATAGAAAAAGAACGTAGAAAGGACAAGTTTGCCAGACTGACAGTTTGAACTCTGTTGAATGAACACGAGGTTTTATAAATGTAAGATACAACATTTTAAAAAGTTGGTTCCTGTATCTAAATGAATTTTTAGATTGTCTCTAGATACTTTGTATTGATCAAACATATTAATACAGATGCAAGTTTTTTTTAACATAATGGCTGTGCCTCCCTCCCTATCAATCCTTATAGTCAGAAAATACAGCTTGCTGGATGATTTTTCCCGTCAAATATCTGAGAAGCAAGGGACCTCATAGAGTATGTGTGCCTTTTGGTTGAACTAGCTTATTCCAAGCCAAGTTTTTCACTAACATTTCTTTATTCTATAAAAGTAGACAATTTAAATGTTAGAAAGGAAAATGTGTGTGTGTGTGTGTGTGTGTGTGTGTGTGTATGTGTGTGTGTGTGTGTTTCCTTCTTTGAATGTTTTTGATGTTGACAGCCTGGAAGCAAGCAGTGAGCATTGAGCCTCTGCTCCTTTCCATTCTGAGACCCTTTGTCACCCTATGATCTTACAAAAGGCCTGAATAAAACATCTCGTTTACTTGCCTGGCCCTATAGGCAGTTAAGTTCACTACCTTACTAGAAATGGGTCCTCTCATACAGTGTTCATAGGAATGTACCTGTGTACAGCCTGTGCAGGTATTTTGACCAAGCAGCTCTACTTCTAGAAATCTGTCCAAATAGTTAATGGGACAGGTATGCAATTTTGTTCAAGAACTTTCTTTGTGGCATTGTTCACAACAGCAAGATATTAGAAACCAACTGAATATCCATCCATATGTAATCACCCAATGGCTTCTCCATGTCTGCTGCCTAGCAGAGCCAATTTATCAAGACAAGGGAATTGCAATAGAGAAAGAGTTTAATTTATTCAGAGCTCGCTGTGCAAGGGCCAGAGTTTTATTATTACTCAAATCAGTCTCCCTGAAAACTCAGGGATTGGGGTTTTTAAGGATAATTTGGTGGGTAGAAGGTCAGAAAGTGGGGAGTGCTGATTGGTCCAGTCAGAGATGAAATCATAAGTTGCTGAAGCTGTCCTCTTGCACTGAGTCAGTTCCTGGGTGGAGACCACAAGACCAAATGAGCAAGTTTATCGATCTGGGTGGTGCCAGCTGATCCCTCTAGTACAGGATCTGCAAAATATCTCAAGCAGTGATCTTAGGTTTCACAATAGTGATGTTGTCACCAGGAGCAATTTGAGGAGGTTCAGTAATCTTGTAATCTCCAGCTCCACGATTCCTAAACCATAATTTCTAATCTTATGGCTAATTTGTGAGTCCTGCAAAGACAGTCCAGTCCTCAGGCAGAAAGGGAGTTTGTTTTGGGAAAGGGTGATTATCATCTTTGTTTCAAAGTTAAACTATAAACTAATTTCCTCCCAAAGTTAGTTCAGCCTATGCCCAGGAATGAACAAGAACAGTTTGGAGGTTGGAAGCAAGATGGAGTCAGTTAGGTCAGACCTCTTTCACTGTAATAATTGTCTCAGTTATAATTTTTGCAAAGGTGGTTTCAAGTATGGATCATTCACACAATTGGAATCCTTTACAGTCATTACAAATCTGTATTAATCATCATGGAAAAGAGCTATGTCATGTATTTTTATTTTTTAAAATTTTAAAATTTTTATTATTTTTGCAGAGGTGGGGTCTCACCATATTGCCCAGGCTGGTCTCCAACCCCTGGGTTCAAGCCATCCTCCCACCTTAGTCTCCCAAAGTGTTGGGATTACAGGTGTGAGCCACCACACCTTGCCTTGATGTATTTTTAAAAGAATAAAGCAGGCTACAAATAATGAGTTATGGTGAAACTCTGTTATTGTAAATAAAATTAATGTTTTAAAAATTATCAAACAAGGTAGACTCATGATTCATACAACTGTAAAATGAACACGTTAAAGATTTTTATTTAACTCATTATTAATGAGGGAACTGGTGAGATGTTAAAACAGTTCAAAGGAGAATCCAAAGAATGAACATATTTAGGGATCAGGAATATTTAAATGAATTTACAAATGATTGCAAAAACAGCTTCTTCCACAGTGGGAAAGGGAGTCAATTGTACCTCCATCTTATGGAATGTAGACAAGTATTATTTTGCGTTGTTGTCAGTTATCTAACACTTACAGAGTTGCAACATAGTTCAAAGGCAATGCAAGGCACAGAGCCCCCCTACAGTCAGAATCAGATCACTTGGAAGGATGGGTTCTCAAGTGGAGAGCCTAAACAAGGCATAGTTTTCTCTTAAATCACATATTTCCCTCATATATGTTTAAAAGTGTGGAATGAACAGAAAGAATGACAAGTTGTTTTCTATGGATGGTAAGATTTTGTGTTATTATTTCTATCTTTTCTGTTTTTCTGTACTTTCACAGCATTTCTAAAAGAACATATAATTTTTTATAATCAGGAGGAAAAACACACTTCTGTATTGAAAAGCATTTACAAATCACCTTCTCATGTTTTTAGTAAATCCTTCAACAATGACAACAATAAAGGAAATTGCTATGTATCTGCTGCCTGTAGGGTATTGTGATTACTAGGGTGAGAATAGGGGCCAGAGAATGTGGGCGGTCAACATCAGCTGTGCTAACCTGCTATTTCTGGTGGGTCCTCCAATTGATTGCTTGGTGTTCAGGCCTAAATTATTTCCACTTATAAGAGATATGATGGAACCAAAGTGCATTAGCACGTCAGAGGTGCTTTTAGCTTTAACACTCAATAAATGAAGTGCCAGGAAGTTGCTAATATTTTCTGTACCTTCTTAAGATGAGTCCAGAAAAAGCCTGTTTACTAATGAGCAGTTCCTGGGTGGGAGAAGGGAGAAGGACAGTGTCTGTGCATGGTCTGTCAGAAGGGAAGATGCTTCCCATAACTGTGTGTGATGACAGTTACTAATGAATAGATGTTTCAGAGTTCATGCTACCCCCCTCTAGTTAATGTTCTTACTTATAGAACTGATTTGAAAATTAAACAGAGATGTTTCTTTCTTCAATTTTATGGCTGTAAAGAGATAATAAACAAACTGATGGCTTGTATTCTTCCAGAATTGTTTGCCTAGGTATCAGTTATTGCCTAGAGATTTGTTGTCTTTCTGTCCTCTGGGTGCTTTTTCTTCTTTTTTTTTTTTAACCTCTCATGCCATTGTATTTCTGGTATAATCCTTATTTTCTTACATCTTGCCAAACTGCAGTTCCTTTTGGATGCCAGATTTTTCTTGTAATCTTCATCCTGACTGATGAGAGATTTACAGAGCAGTTGGCCCACACATACAATATAGCTAAGAATCTTATTGACAGTGTACACGGACTATTTTGGATAATCCTAGAGGCTTATATTTATAGCTTGTTGTATCAAAATGATTAAGATAGCATCAATAATTTAACAGCAGTCTCTTGCTCTTCTTTAGCTCAGAGCTGTTGTGCATGTTGATGTCAAAATGTTTTTGTTGAATGAATGAACTGAACTATGTTTATTTGTAGCAAACTATGTGTCACCTTTATGGAGTACTGGTGTGAGTGGTTATGTAAGCATTCTGCCCTCGGAATAACATCACCTATAAAAAATATTTGGGGTGCTCGTATCCACATTTTATTTGAAGGTTTAGTTCTAAGAATACTTATCTCCAACAATGCTGAGTATCCTTCCCATTATGCTCAGGGCACTGATCTTTAGGGGAAGACTGGCCATGGGAGAAAGGAAGTAGGAGGCAAATTTTGTTTTTGATGCCTATACTAAATTAATTTGTGTTACCCCAAACTCCATGTTCACCTGGTACCTGTGAATGTAACCTTATTAGGAAATAGGGTCTTTGTGGATGTAATCAAATTAAGATGAGGTCATACTGGATTAAGGTAGACCCTAAATCGATGTCTGGTGTCCTAATAAGAAGGCTATGTGAAGACACAGGCACAGAGACACAGAGAGAAGGATGCCATGTAACAACAGAGGCTGAGATAGAAGTGATGCAACTCCAAGAAAAGGAATGCCAAGGATTGCTGGCCACCACCAGAAGCTATTAATGGGAAGAGGCAAGGAAGGATTATTGATCTAGGATTCTTCTCTAGAACCTTCAGAGGAAGCATGGCCCTGCTGACACCTTGGTTTCAGACTTCTGGCTTCCATACTGTGAGAGAATAAATTTCTGTTGTTTTAAGTCACTTAGTTTAGGGTAATTTGTTATGGCATCCATGGGAAACTAATGCAATGTCTCCCACTTGATGTTCCCCTTTCTTCCTTAGTGTTTCTCATTCCCCTGGTATCCTGTGCCCTTATCTTGTAGCTTTATTCATGTGTTAGTCAAGATCGAGTGAAGTAAGAATAAAACACTCTAGATAAATTGAACAGGAAAGGATCGAATATAGGGAATTACCTGCTTACACACTGTTCGAGAAATTTGGGAGTCAAAGTCAAGGATACTTTTGTTGGTATCAAGAACTCAGAAAGTGCAGCAAAGGCAAGAAATGACTACCTAATATCTTAGCAACCTAGAACACTTAATGGGGTCATTCTCAGGAAGATGCTTGGAAGACACCAACAAAACACTACATATATATTAATGCCCAAACGTCCGACTCCAGCTGCTGCCAGTGAATAATGTCTTCTCTTTCTCTTCCCCTACCAGGTTTCTGTCAGTGATGGTCATTGGCAGAATATGAATGCAAACCCTACTGCTAAAGAGAGCTGGGAAATGTTTCCAGACTTTCAGCCCTAGTGATACTGGGGAGAGTTTTGAAGGGCAAGGACAGAACTGAATACAAGAGATGCTGTCCTGCTTACTCAGCTTAATTCCTTTCCTTCAAAACAAAAACAAAAGCACTTGCTTCTCAGAAGGATTCTGTTAATCTATTTATTTACACCAAGGTATTATGGACCAACAATACCTTCAAATGCATTTTTTTCCCCCAGGACAATTTGTACTTTCACAAGAACAAAGATTTGATTTAAAGAAGCGAATCCATCTAATTGACAACTGGTTGGAACAGGGACTCACTGACAACACTGTTTCCTGAGGGGTCCTCAGAGATACAAAGACATTTTAGACAGAAATCTACTCTTCAGGATTTTAATCTATTTAGCCTTTTCTTTGTATGTGCAAAGATATTTGGTTTTGTTGATCTTTTGTTCTTATACAAAAACATAAATGAGAGATTTCCTTCTGGTTAAATGAGGCATATTCTTCTCAATTCTCTGTCGCTAGTGGTTTTCAATGGGGCAGTTTGGATTCCCACGTTGTGCTCTCAGGAGACATCTTGTAATGTCTGGAGACATACTTGGTTGTCACAACTGAGGTTGGGGGAGTACTACTGGCTTAGCTTGTGTTGAGGTCAGAGATGCTACGCTACATCGTGCAATGCACAGGGCAGCCCCCACAACAAAGAATTACCCAGCCCAAAATGTCAATAGTGCCACAGTTAAGAAATTCTGCTCTTTTGCTATATGTGGTTGGAGCAAAAAGGTGAGATAGAGTCTCTGTCTTGATTCTAGGCTGTGGTGGGACTGCCTGCCCTCAGGTACCCTTGGATACTGTTGTCGCCCTTTGATGCTGCTGCCTTAACTTCTTCGCTGTCCTCTGAGGTACGCTGCCGAAAAGTGAGGCCAGAGCTCTCTCCCCCAGCTTCCCAATTCAGAACCAAGGTGCGGGCGCTGCATGCCCTCCCTTTTAACAACTCTTTGGGTTTGTTCCATTCTGAGATCCCTTTGATTTTCGAAGCCTCCTTCCCATATCCTGAGAGCAGCCTGTCTGTCAGCTTCTTCACTGCAGCTCCTTTTCCAGAGTCTCATCTCCTGCCTAGAACGCCTTTTCCCTTCTCTTCTCTTCATCACTGTCTTCTTCACCCCTGCCCCTTGCCAAATTGCTCTGTATCTTGACATTTTAAACATTCTCCTCTTTCTCTACATCACCTGCCTAGATTCACTGGAGCAAAGCTGATGGCATAAGAAATCTGCTATTCTCCCCAGATCCCTCCCCTGATCATTTATAGACACTTGCCATCTCCCGCATTCCCAGAATGCTTATCTTGAATTTACACCTGTTGTAAATTGCCCCATTCATGAATTAGGCTAATGATTGTCTTTCTTTGTTCAATTGCTTCATGCCGAAGGAGTCACCTCTCTGGGTTCTCACATGCTGTAAATTATTAGAGGGCGAAAAGCAAGGTCCCAGTAGTGCTCTTCAACCAAGCTGGACACAAAATCAGAGCTAATCAAATGCTAAAAAAAAAAAAAAAAAAGGCTTTTTAATGATGAAGGCGATGATAACCCAAGCTGGAAGGGACTTTTGAAGCCCATGAAGCCTGTTCCCAGTGCACCTAGGCAGACTAAATCATCCAAGATAGATGAGGATTTATCCAATTTTCAATGATTTCCAGAGAGAGAAATTTCACAGCCTGTTCCAGTTATTAACTACCCTGTTATGAAATGCTTTCTCTAACCTAAATCGACTGTCTCTTAAGGAATCAACATTGTATAAAAATATATACTAAAAAATTTTGAAATATGAGTTAAGATTTTATTTATATACAATACATTTATATAGTACCATTTCCCTTCAAGGTAAGAGGATTCTTATTTTTATCTGAAGAAATTGCTAAGCCAGGGCTTTTGGCAAGGGGATTGGAATTGAGGACAAATGAGTAGCTTGAAAAGACGATAGATGGTATGAAGTAAGAAAAATAGTTTGATTCTTTCTGTATACTCTCAGAGTGTTACTGCACAGCTTACTTAGAATGCCAAAAGCTCTTTTAAGATGACTTATATATTGGGGTGTTTGGGGAATCACCTCTCCCTCTATATTAAAACGGTGCATTGCATTGTTTCCTTTATAACTTCCTACAGGGAAGCTGTTAAATTATGCAACTTTACAGGGCAGTTCTGTCTACCTCAGCATTACCCCTTTCATTGCAGGAATGAATTTTCAAGATTTGTGTAATGTATTCAGCAAATAAGGATTGAACCTCTTTGGTGTGCGCCGGCACCATGTGGGCTAATTATAGATTCAAAGAAGAAGACACTGTCTTGAACCTGCAAGGGGCTTTGGAGTTGAGAAGGGAATTTGGACATGTAAATAAGGAAGTCCCAGAAAGGGCTATAGGCTCTGTGATAGCAGCCTGTGAAACGTACAATGGGAAACATTTGGTACATAACTTTCTAATAAGTGTGTTTTTCTGCCTTCTTCAAGAACACATGACTTTAAACCAAGATAAACCTGGTGACAAATCTGGTCTTTATCACTGTGTGATCTTTCTGAGTCTCAGAATCTAACCTTGCAAATAGAAAGAAACCCCATCTGCCTTAAAGATTATTGTGGTGATTAAATTAAACTAAATTGAATTAAATTCAGTAATGTGGTTTAAAAACACTAAGCAAAGGGCCTAGTATTGCATAGGTATTTAATAAATGTTGTTTTTGTCTTATCTCTTTGATGATTCAAAGATATTGTAAGAGACCTCTATATTTATTCTTTTTTGGGGAGGAGGGGGCTTCTAACTTCAAAATAACCTTCTTACATTTGGAGACTCTCCCAAGTCATGAGGCAGAGCCAACCCTACTGTAGAATCTAAAGATGACACAGACCCATCTTTCCAAACTTCCTTGCAGCTAGCAGTGGGGCATATGGGCAATCAGACATACTAACACCTGTCCTTGAATTAGTAGCTCATGGTTTGGAGAAGCAGGGGCTACCCAGAATCCATTCTTATGATGAGTCACATTGGCAGCAGCCACCACGCCTAGTCTTAGAGGTCTCAGATGCAGCAGTGCTAACAGAGGCAGTTCAGGTTCAGCACTGGTGGTATCTGTGGTACAAGTTTCAGTGTCTGTCCTCAGTGGTAGCAGCTGTGATATCCTTACTATCCTGATCTGTGATGTGATTTTAAATGTTGACCCTGGGTGCATTGACTCCAACCCTGATTCTTATGATGTTTATGAACAACAAATTATCCTTTAATTAATCCCTTTTGAGCTTGTGTTATCCACATTCTGTTTGTTTTGCTCACAACTAGAACTTTTGACTGATAAAAATATTGTTATAAATATCATAATCTTGTTTTGTTATACAGTAATGTTTTATATGCTATCAAATAAGGAAAGACTGTTGTTTCCTTCCATATGAAATAGACTCTTATAATGATCCCTTTTCAATTGGTTTGCATTTTTTTGGTTGTTTTTTAAACCTTACTGCATCTTCCTTTACTGTCATATGTCATTTCTCATTAGAAAAATTACAGCATACCAGAGTTTCCATTTTCTTGAAGCTACATCTACATGATAGGGAGAGAGCTATACCTTGTAGGATTGCCAAAACCTATAATGCCATATGCAGAGATAAAACAATTCAGACTTTTTGTTTTTGGCAAGAAAAAAATGCCTCACAATTTTTTTTATGAATATTCTATTTTAAAACCTATTAAGCCCCAATGCTCTTTTCTTTAGATAGAAATTTCTCAATATTTTAACTAAAGCTGTGAAATAGAAAAAGGGAGAACTCTTTTAATTTTTTAAAAAGAAACGTTGAATCAGAAACAAATCTCTAAGGTTCTCATTCCAATATTGGCAGCATAGCTTGTATTGTGCTAACTATTGGACTATTTTGCTGATAATAACTGTACATTAAAAATTATAAACTGTAAAAATCGTTGTTTGAAAGCTACTTGGAAAGTAGTAAAAGCAAGCCAGAACTATAAGGGATATGGCTCTTGAAAGAAGAGGAGCACATCAGGCAGGATCCACACTTAACTGGTTTTTCTGCTGAGCGTGCTTCCCAGTTTGTTGTGGCACACTGAGATAGAGCTCAAGCAGAAGGTGGCATTCTTATTAAGTGAAGAAGTCAGAGGTTAGAGCTCAGGGCTACCAAAAACTTCTGGAAATCGGGAGGGGGAATCCTGGAAATGGAGAATCCTAAAATCTACATACAAATCCCTAGTTGACTCCTAAACTATGCACATGCAGGTATGATTTCAAGGAACACAAAAGGAAGCAGTAGTTGGAAAGTTAATGATCTGAGCAGAGGTGATACCAGCTTCCTGGTTCTAGGAAGACAGAGATTGGAGTTCAAATCCTGCCAAGTTATAAAGATTTGGCAAACAATTCAAGATTTTCTTTGGAACCCAGAGTAGCTATGCATTAGAAGCAGGGACCATGTCCCAGGAATGATAACTATATCCTTGAAATAATGGCAAAACTAAAATAGACCCATTGTAAGAAAACCTGAAAACCAAGCCTCCACAAAATTAAGGTGACCCACTTGTAATATAATGGTCTGACATGACAAAATTCAACACTCTTCAGAGGAACAGAGCAGAATTCACAGTCTATACAACGTATTATCAATAATATCCAGCATATAATCATAAATTGCTAGACAGGCAACAGGCAGGCAAATATAACCTATAATCAAGTAGAAAATCAAGACCTTGTCTCCATAAAAAAGGAAAAAAAAAAGTCAATAGCTGAAGACCACATGTCATCCAGATTTTGGTATTAGCAGATAAAGACTACTATAATGTGTTTGAAGGTTTCTAGGAAAAAATGGATATAGTGGGTGAAAATATGGGGAATAAGGGGAGAGAGAAGAAACCACTGCACCCTGAAAAAAAAAAATCCCAATTAGAAATCCTACAAAAGAAAAATAAAGATGATATCTTTGGTATCCTATTCACTTTTGTATCCTTTGCAATGTCTTTATGCCAAATAGAATTGTTTTTGCATAGCTGATTGTTAATTACTGTTAAAAGGTAAATTTATTTAAATCCATAAACTTGGACTTCCTCCTTTAAATCATATAAAAATAGGCATATAATACCTTACTATACTATAATAAAATGTTTACAGTAAATTAAAGTAGTAATGAACCTTAGTAATTTTTTAATATATTTGAACAAATTATTTCAGTTAAGCTATTCTGCCCTCCAATTAAATACAATCATGCATTACATTTACTGTCTATATCTAAAGCGTAAAGAGTAAAATTATGGAATAATTCAATTGGAGATATCTTTGGCAAAATTATGCATCAATTGGAAGAAACTACAACAACAATTATAAATTATTCTGGTAGGGTGGTTTTCCTTATTTAGAATCAGCTAACTGAAGTAAGCTAGCTTTCAATAAGGTGATTAATTTGTTTATTTTAATTATTGAACATAAAAACTGTTTGTGAGATTAACGATCACATTATCCAACATAATTAACCTGTAATGGAATTTTGTCTTCTTAAATTGAAGTATCATTTTTTTCAGTCCTCTTATAAATTAGTCCTGTCCGTCTTGAATCAATATATAAATTAAGTATTGTTAATCATAAAATATTTTTAAAATAGCTACAATATAGTACAAGTGGTTTTAATTTAGGTCTCATAAAACTAAAAGCAGATATCCCTACATTTTTGTATTTCATAGAATAGTAATATATTTAAAAGTATGTTTTTGAGATTAACACTAATTTGTTTGCCAACTTTATGTTGCATATTTGAAAGAACAGAACCAAAAACCAGTATATGTACTATCTTTACTTCATAAAAGAAATGACTTTACAGAACCAAAAATTAATTTAGGTAACCGCAATATCAAGAGAAACTGGAATCCTCTATGAGCAAGCACTGTAGATATTTAAAGCCACATCTATTTATATATCCGTTACATAGACTTATCTTTTTTCACTGCAAAGTGTTGGACACCTCCTCACTGAAATCTACAGATTATCATTTAAAAGCCCTGCAGTAGTATGTGAAGGGCTTCAGTGCAGCAGATGGGCTTGGTTCATGGGAGTGGTTGGGTCCTGTGTGTCTCTTTAAAGTGTTTGGATACATTTATCTATCAGCACACGTTAGTACTTTTCTGGGAAGAAGTTTCCTAACTTTCACATAGTTATCAATTGTGTTCTTAATTCCAAGGATAAAAATCCTTGCTAGTAGCCCTTTTCATTTATGGCAAGTGGTGTATCTCTTCCATTTTCTCATTGCTCTCAACTGTTAATAATTGACAAGAGAACCCAGTTTAAAGGGATATTCATTTGGTCATTTCTTAGAATCATTTCACTTACAAGAAATGAAGTGAGCCTTCTCGGTATCAGATGTTGCTGTTGTAAAATATGAAAGCCATTGCCGTTTTTCATAGGTTCCACTGAAGTGATAGTTGCTTGGTTTTCTTTCTGTGGTGGTACATTTGTGAGTAATTATTTGCCCTGTGACTTTGTGTATACCCTACTTCACTCAAGAAAAAGATTGAAAATTGTTCCTAAATCCATGCACAAAACAATAAGACAACATGTAAAGTAAGTAATAAAAGTTAGTCAACAAGAAATGCAGACCAAAAAGAAAGATGATCTGAAGCCAAGTGTTAATACATCAAACATGTGTCTCAAGCTGCTTCTGCATGATACACAGTTCAGAATTGGAACCAATCTTCCTAGTAGTCAGTACAAAGGGGAAAATCAGTTGAATTAGAGTGGGAAAGAACACAGGTCTGACAAACTAGCTTGAGCCAGCAGAAGCCAGCTTGAATGAGCACAGGCCCATGTGGCCCAGCACAAGCCAATATGAACCAATTAGAAGCGGCCTGAGTCACACATCTTCCCTCAGATGGTGGTGTGGTTCTGCCTTCCTTTTCCTGGGAACCTGCCTTCAGCAGCATCTCCCCTGATGAGGAGGGTGAGATGTGGACTTAGAGGGGCTGGCCAGACAGAAAGGATGAACAAGGGTGTCTTCATCTTGTACAAAACACAAAGGGGGAGTAGCTTCTTAACTTACATTTGAAAGTAGCTTGGCGGTGCTCCCAGTGAGTGAGTCTGATGTTCCAGAGACTCCACAGACAGTCATCATGTGTTAATACTGGAAACTGCCCCGCCTCCCCCACCGACAACACACACTAAAAAAGGGGAAAAGAAAACCAGACAACCTGCAGTTTGAATTTAGATGTATGAGACAAAGTGACAGCCTTAACATTCACCAAATTTAAAGAGGCAACATTGAATGGTAAGTTATATTTTAAAATATCAAACACCGAAATGTTAAACTTTCAGAAATATGAAGGTTTTAAAATGTCAAAACTAGGCATTTTTTAAAAATCCCACAGATCTAATTTCAAAGTGACAAAACTAAATAGAATGTCTCTCTGAAAGGTACTTTTGTTAAAATGAAACAGTGTTTGAATTCAGTGGGTGATTATTCATTGCTCTGGCATTTATTTTACGATCTCAGTAAAAACTCAGGAGACAACAACTCCATGTAATATGACAGAGTTGGACTGACTGGCATTTTTGCAGTTCTCACTAACGGGATTGAATCCATCAAGACTTGGATAGTGGTGGTTGCTTGAGCCTCTCAATACCTGAATTTTCCTTCATAAGCAACTCCATGTGGAGCTCTGGCAAGAAATGGTGGTATGTAAGGTTGGGCAAAGCAGCTTGCATCTTCTTCAGACTTGGATGTGTCTCCTGATTCCCCGGATTTAGTTGCCAAATTCTCTCCTCCTTTTTACTCCTCTTGGCTTATAGATCTGTTTACTAGCCAATGAGCTGTTTGATGTCTGAGGGAAACCTCTGCAGATGGAAAGGATTCTTTAGAGTAAGTTGGCTTCTATCTGCATGTTTAGTTTAGTAGAGTTATCTTTGCAAAAATCCTAGTTTTTCATGTGTTTTGAAGTTCAGTATGGAAATCTTATTATTCTATTTTTAAGTGTAGTTAAATAAGTACAATTACCTTCATGTTTTCTTTGGCTAATATTTAATTAATTCAAGTCAAACAAATTCTACTTAAATAATCATACCCATTTTCAAAGGTAGTTAAACACCCTTAAATATTTTATACTGCAATTATGCATTTAATATAGTATATTTTCCTTTGAAGTGCTTCCAGTGACCTGATAGGGCAAATCAGTATGCAAACAATCAAAGCTTTCCAAGCATTTAAAAGTACTCTTATAAATATAATAAACTTACAAAGCAAATAAGCTTTTAAAAATGTTCCAATTATATTTAAAAATACAATCAATTTTCTTATTCCTTTCAGCTTAAAATGGCAAAACTAATGTATAGTTTCTTAAATCACCTATATAACATATATTCTTCATAAAATTAACTCAAAAGTACTAATTCTGTGAGTTGATGTTATTTCCATTGTTGGCTTAATTCTAAACATTCCGGGTGTTGAGATGTTTATTACTGTGGCAGAAACTTCCAGTTCCTCCCCACAGCCATCCTTCCCTTCCTCTATAATAGGCACTGGCAGACTTTTTCTGTAAAAGGCCAAACAGTAAATATTTTAGGCTTTGCAAGCCACATATGCTCTCTGTTGCATATTTGTCCTTTATAAAAGAAAACAACCATTTAAAAATGTAAAAAAAAAAATTTTAACCCTCTGGCCATACAAAAAAGATCAGTGGGCTGATTTTGGCCTGTCAATTGTAGTTTATTGACCCCTGTTCTAGAATTTTAAAATCATTCGATTTTTTTTTTTCTTTTAGGTGGGCACATTTCCCAGACTCTCTTGTAGGTAGGTGGCCATATGACTAATTTCTGTCCTCTTTCCCTCCGAATGCAATGCGGACCTAATGGTGCAGCATCTTGGCTCTGTAGTTAGGAACAGCACCATGGGGATGGCAGAGCAACAAGCTAGAAGGAGACTGGGCTCCAGGGCACTGCAGGAACTTTATGCCTCTCTGAGAACTGAGCGGTGTTGACAACCAGCCTAGACTTCTAGGTGAGACAAGAATACATTTCTAACTTGTTCAAATTCCTGTAACCTGCAGCCAAATCTGTATAGCTAATCTACTTTCTTAGGGGACAGATTTCAAACCTCAGGGGAACTCAAGTTAATGAGTCAAAAATTCATACCCACCATATGGCTGTCAATTATTTGATAATTGCTTTCAACTTCTCTTTATTTTTGTGATGAAATCCTGCACCTTTCACCCAGGCCTAAAGAAGTTCTAATGCTATTCCATTGAATTTTAAAATTCTCTTCATAATTTGGTAGAAAGCCCAGTGACATGTTTTTGGTGCCTTGTTTTGTGCATCAGTTCTTTGGTTGGTTTCTTCTGAGAAGTCTGGACTGTTTGTGGGTAAGAACAAAGGACCCTTGATTTCTTTCATGTAAATTGTACCCCCAAAGCATAAATAACTCTGAGACTCCACTCCTAAGGCTCTGGATCAAGTCTCCCTCATTAATTTCTTTCTGAGACCCAGTACCCATCTGGTCCTGGGACAGCCATGCATTGCTATAGCTGCGTTTCTTCTTTGGCCCTGTGTTTCTGAGCCTCAGTTTTGATAACATGCTCTGACTTCTCGGGTTCTAGAGCTCTGGCTTATGTTTGCCAGTCTTCTTCCAGAATGGAATATACTGCCAAATCTCTGTTTCATGATAAGGTCCCCTTAAAGATGCAAGTGCTTGACACATAGTAGAGATTTAATAAAAACAAATTATCTTATCGTTAATGCTTTTGAAAACTAGAATAAAGCCATAACTTTAGGTGACACTTCTTACTGGCCTTAAAAATAAAATTATACAATATAAATGTTTTCTGCCAGATTAAATTGGTCTCTTTGCACATGAAAGTTGGGTGGGTGGGTGGAAAACATCTAAAATTTATGGAAAATATTTTCTTATGAAGAAGCTGAGACATACTTTCCCCAAAAGCAGCATTAATATCCTGAGAGCACTTTACTTGAGTGGCTCAATTTTTGTTTGTAGGTTCCTAATGACTGATGGACATTTAATCATTTTTGCCTGATGTATGTTTTTCAGTTGAGGTTCTTGATGCATGAGAAGTAACCTACTGAATTTCTTGAAAAATAGCTTGCCTCTCAATGTTAAGAGTGTGGACTTGACATATTTAGAGAAGCTTTCATATACTGTCTTTTACATGCAATCTTTGGATGCTTTCTTTACTTTGATCTGTGTAAATGAGAAAGGATAAAAATGTATGGTTTAACCAAATTCTGGTGAGGTGACTTCTTGATTATTTATGAAGCTGGAAATGTTTAAGTGTTTCATTTATTCTTAAAATTCTGTCTTACTATTAGATGTATATTGAAGATTACATTTATCTTGGCACATATATTTGACTTACCTTTGGGCCACATCTTTTCTAAATTTACTTGAAAGTGGAGTTGGAAATATTTCTTAAGTATCTGCAGCTATTTTATTCAGGAATATTGAAATGTAAGGGAATATTAGAACACATTTAAATTTTCCAATGATGTCATGTTATATGAACTTAATGATTTATTAATTTGTCATCAAGTTGGAAGTTAATTAAAAATCAAAGTTCTTTAGCAACATGAATCACTGAAGCTTTTTCCCTGAATTTTTTTTCTTGGTGACTGGCATTGTTGAAGGAGTTCATTCCTGATTACTGGCCTTTAAAAATACCAACTAAACTTGCTTACAAATTGCAAGCATAATGACGTAAGATATTCTCTTGCCGTTGAATAAGCATAATATTCTCCTCTTAAAATTTTCTCACTTAGCTTTACCAGAACCCAACTTTCCAGACTAGGGAGAGTTGGTACTTCATTTGTCATAGGAACTCTATCTGTACATTTTAAAAAATCTGTTATGATTTATACCCTGTTGTAGATCATCTTAACACTTACCAATGAGTCATTGCTAAAAGCACAATATCAAATTTATTGTTTGTTTGTAAGAAACCTAAATAAAGAGTGAAAAGAGACCTCAAGGCAAAGAGAAATTTTTGAAAAACATAGAACTCTATAACACAAATGACAGAGAATTCTTTCTCCACCTTTTAGTAGAGCATTGTGTCATGGTAGATATCTCTCTTAAACTCTTGATGTTTCCATGAACCGATAGCTGCATGTTTATGTGGATGCCATTGGGCTGTGTACAGCAATAAGCATCTCCTATAATAATGAGGTGATAGAATATTAATCATCTTCAAAAAGTCCTTATAAAAACAATTATATGAGAAAATGCTTAATAGATCATGTTTTGATTAAAAAATGGATAAATATATAAATGTGACATATATAATTTTGTTACATTTTACATTTTCAGCCTTCTTTTTACATAGCAATTATATAAATATAAAATATGAAACATGTAATTGGTAATTATACATAAATTAATATTTTATAGGTAAATATTTTCCCTTCTGATATATATGCATATATGTGTGCGTGTATATATGCGTGTACCTTATACCAGAAGGGAAATACTATAGCACCCCGTTGAGTTGAACAATATAAAATTGTGTTGACATTCAACCTTTTATTAACTCACAAAAATGGTCGTTTTCTGGGTAGTGAGTCGGTGTGAGACTTTTCTCGAAGTAGGTATGTTTCCTTTACTTTATGATCCAAGGTTTTTTTGAGAGGCATTTATTTATAACCTTTATTATCAGGAAGAAACCTCCAAGAAACTTGTTCAATGAAGCCTCAAAGGCAGCCCCTCCTCCTCTCTCTCACTCTGATCTTGCCATCTTTCCATCCTGGTTGTCTGCAGTAGCCTCTTTCCAGGTAGCAGTGCTAATGTTCTCCCCAAACACACCCCAACTTCTTCTTCTTAACCTCCTGCCCCTTGTGTCCAGCTGGTTGCAGACTCTCTTCTTCCATCATAACTGTCTTCTTCTCTTTCTGTTGTTACTCCTCTAGTTAAACACAGTAGAAAGCAGCAATCATTTTAATAGTGATTACTATGTGCCAGCCATTGTTCTAAGCCTTATACATGTTATTTAATCCTCATAGTGACCTAAGAAGTAGATAATATTATTATCCTTCATTTTAAGATGGATGAGGAAACTGGGGGACAGACAGGTCAAGTGACTTACCTGATACATAATCCATATCCACAGATCATACGCTTAAGTAGCAAGCCATACTTCTCTCTAGGTACCTTATTTTGCCTCTTCAGTGGTTTCTATCATTTCTAAAATGAGCAGCCACATTTCTGCCTCAAGGCCTAACATCATGGTTCTTCCTTTGCCTAGAATATGGGCCACCAAACTACATCCTGTGGGCCAAACCTATCCTGTCCCTACTCCCACCTGTTTCTGTAATAGTTTTATTGGAACACAGCCATTCATTTTCATATCATCTGTGGCTACTTTCTTGGTATAACAACAGAGTTGAGTAGTTGTGACCAAGACCACATGGCTTGCAAAGCCTCAGATATTTATTATCCAGCCCTTTAAAGAAAAAGTTTGCCAACTCCTGGCCTAGAATACAGTTTCTGTGTCCAACCATTCCAGTTACTATAGCTGTGTATTCAATTACCCCAAATCTTAGTAGTGCAAACAACCATTTATCATGCTCAGGGAATTTATGGGTCAGGAATTCCAACTGGACATGGCATTTCTTCTCCATGACATCTGGTACCTGGACTGAGAAGACTCAGCCAGCTCAGGACTGGAGCAGCCGGGGCTTTTCAGGCATCGCTTCACTCCCTAGCTCTGGGTGGACTTCGCACATGCTCTTTTCAGCCTAGTAGCATCCAGACTTCTAACATAGGGTCTGGGTTCCCAGTGTACATGTCCCAAGAAAGAGAGCCAAGCATAAGCTGTTGCATCTTTTTTGACTAGCCCCAGAAATCACGCACCAACTACTTCTGTATTATCTTGATCAAGGCAGTCACAAAGATCTTCCCAGGTTCAAGCTGAAGGAACACAGGCCATACCTATCACCAATGACACATTATAAGAAGAGTATGGTAGAATGGAATATCTATTGGTGTGACTATCTTTGGAATATAAAATCCACCATCCACATCCACCCACCTGTCTTTAACTCTAGACATCTTCATATCTCCTCAAACCATAACCAGGAACTCACTGTCCTGGGCTAAAAAAAATTTCTGCCATGTTCCACCTCATCTCTGAAACTGTTGCTTATCCTCATATCTGGGAGGCACATTCATCTTACTGTTTTCTCATTCTGTTAGTAGAAAACTTCAAACTTTTAATCTAAGCCCTGAGGATTACTCCCAGCCTGAAGCTCTGTTCCTTAGGTGTGTCTTATTGTAAATGTGTTTGTTTGCTTGCTTGTTCTTCTGAGCCAGAGTCAAACCTTAAAATCTGCAAGTGGCTTTCTTTCCTCCCTGTGTCTAAGCAAGGTTTCTGCTCTGCCCTAGGTTTAAAAATCTTCATTACCGCTTTCTGCCGTCTGCAGAAATTCTATGTGAAGGGGACACAGGTGGCACCTGGGTCAATGTGAAAAGTGTTTGTGAAAGGAGGGAACCAGGGTACTTGTCTTAAAGCTAGATTTATTACAATATTTCACACACAACTAAAAATGTCAGTGGACATTATTTGAAAATTGCAAGCAGTGGGGTTGATGCCTTTATGTTATCCCCTGGTTCTGCCACTGTCTTTCTTGGTTTTGGACTCTCCCCTTCACCTGGTATAATTTTTGTTGTTTTAGGGAAGTAAGCTGCTTCAGGGTAGCTTTAGGATTTATCAAAGGAAAGAGAAGGTTGAAAAGAAGGGAAGTAGATCATAAACATGATTTGTCTTCAATCCAAGCCTGCCAATAATAGTGGGTAAAAGAAAAAGAATCCTTCCTTAGAAATTTAAATGCATTCAGAGGCTCTCTTAGTGCAGTGGGCAGCGCGTCAGTCTCATAATCTGAAGGTCCTAAGAAATTTAAATGCATTCATGTCTGTAAAGAACAGTAAAAAAGCAGGAACACATTTTTGATGATTCACCACATAGGTACTTGATAAGCTTGATACTCTTAATTGGCAAACTGGATTTTCATTACAGTTCATCTCAGAAAATAATATTTTGGTTATGTCTTTCCCACTCTTATAAAATTTTCCACCCAGGTCAGAGGTCAGTAAACCGTGCCCTGCTGGCTAAATCCAGCCCTTCATCTGTTTTTGTAAATAAAGTTTTATTGGAACGCAGTCATGCCCATTCATTTACATGTTGTGCATGATTACTTTAGCACTACCGTAAGACTGAGTAGCTGTAAGAGAGATCACATGGTCTGCAAGGGAAACATTTACTATCTGGAGTTTTACAGAAAAGTTTGCTGACCTAAAGTGTATGTTGCCATTTAAACTAATTTTTAGATTTTTTTCCATTTAAATGTCAGATAATACAGTGAATCACATGGTGAATTTTAGTAGGGTTATATTCAACTTTACACTGAATTATGTAGCTAGTCAGTATAAAGGTGTCAGGAGAAACCAAGCTACCTCTTAATTTAGGTACCTGTATGATTGGACTTGAGAAATAAACTTTCTAAAAAAGAATTTTGGTCATTAGTGTTCATTAACATCCTTATTTTTTTAACATCTCAAAAGAATTAATGAAAAAAATAAGAGATCAAGACAAGAATTTATGAATCTATGAGATGAACTCTTTGGAAGAAAAAGTAAGATTAATATCCTATTAATGTATAATGATAATTGATTTAAAAGAAATTTATGAAAAGATTTCCAGTGACTTTCAAAAATGGTTACAGTAGTGAAACTCCTTGGCTATAACAACGAAATATTAGGGATTGTTGAGACCTGCAGGCTGTGACAATAGGAGTCTCAGCATGGGCTTGGGGGTGGTAGGAGTGAGCAATCATCACTTATGACCTATTGTGCAAAGTAGGGGTGAATGTTCCTCAAAGAAAGGTAGAAATTTGTCTGGTCAAGGAATACAAAGTTGTCTGAGAATTTAGTTATTGTAGTTTATATCATCCATAATCAAAATTTATAGATCTTTATTGAATTTATTTTTCTCTACTTCTAGCATAACCCACTCTCTCCCCTAAATGGGAGGAGAGGAAATAGATTCACTCTAAAAATAGCAAAATAGTAGAGTTGACTTTAATTAAAGCCTTTCAAGGGTGATAATCATGACTGTCAAAATTTAAAGAAAGTATAAGAACCTAAGAGATCAACTAGACCAGAGTTTTAAACTATGCCCCAGGTTCTGAAAGTTCTGTGGGGCACCCTTAGGGGCCATTGCAGTTGGGGGCCTGTGAATTAGTTCAGTGTATGATCCCTCCCTACTTTCAAACATAACAGCTATGCTTTTGTTTTCTATGACTGCCTTACATATAACATTTGGTTTATGATGGGTTTTTAGTAAAATGTTTTGAAACCATAGGTTCTAGGCCAACTCTTCAAATTTTGTAGATGAGGAAACTGAAGCTACCATAATTTGGAAGGCTTAACTTGGGTCATACATTGAATTACAGTAGAGCTAGAATTAGAATCTAAGTCTCCTGTGTCTCAATCAAGAGCTTTTAAAAATGATTTGGGCTGGGCACCGTGGCTCAGGCCTATAATCCCAACACTTTGGGAGGCCAAGATGGGAGGTTCACCCGATCTCAGGAGTTCAAGATCAGCCTGAGCAACACGACGAAATCTCGTCTCTACAAAAAATATAAAAATTAGCTGGGCACAGTGGTATGCACCTGTATTCCCAGTTACTCAGGAGGCTGAGGTAGGAGGATCGCTTAAGCCTAGGAGGCCAAGGCTACAGTGAGCCATGTTCACACCGTCGCACCCCTGGGTGACAAACTAAGACCCTGTCCCAAAAAAAAAGACAAAGAAAAGATTATATAAAAAGGAAGAGCAGGCTCTGATGCCTTAGTCTACTGAGAGAAAAGGGTAAACTTTTGTATATTTAATGCAATAAGAGTAGGAGTTTAGTATTTGTGAGGTACTTTGACTTTTGTCATCACATTCTACTAATAGTGCTCAAATTTTAGTGTGCATAAGAATTGCCTGGGAAACTATTAATAATGTTTTAAAAGTCAGCTTCCCAGTTATCCTTTCTAGAAATTCTGATGTGGAATATCTGCATTTTAGTCAAACATCCCAGGTGCTTCCATACAATGTTTTATGTACCATACTTAGAAAAATACTGTCTTAAAGCCTTATAGTTGTATCAGGAAGGCTAGCAGTACAGACATTATAAGAGATTCCTTGGTACCAGGCCCTCTATTGAGGCAAACTACTACAAAGTAGATACTTTTAATATATAAGGCAAGTTAGGTTAGGCTATGCTGCAGTAACAAAGCAACCCTGCACCAGGTGCCATGTCTCAAGCCTGTTATCCCAGCACTTTGGGAGGCCAAGGCGGGTGGATCACCTGAGGTCAGGAGTTAGAGACCAGCCCGACCAACATGGAGAAACCCTGTCTCTACCAAAAATACAAAATTAGCCTGGCGTGGTGGCACATGCCTGTAATCCCAGCTACTCGGGAGGCTGAGGCAGGAGAATTGTTTGAACCCAGGAGGCGGAGGTTGTGGTGAGCGGAGATCGCACCATTGCATTCCAGCCTGGGCAACAAGAGTGAAACTTTGTCTCAACAACAACAGCAACAACAACAACAACAACAACAACAACACAAAAAAACAAAAACAGAAAAACAAGAAAACAAAGCAACCCCATTTTTGGCATACTACAGGGACTGTTCCCATATCATACTTCTGTCATTAGAAGCATGTGGTGCCCAAAGTGGCTATGGAAAGGAAAGAGAGCTATAAAGTCATGCTTGATAAACTTACTGAAATAACAAATACAGATATATGTACAACCGTGAGTGTGCAACTTAATGAATTTTTACAACTGGGCATACTCTTGTAATCAGCACCCAGATCAAGAAACAGATCATATAAAAAAACCTTTTGTGTCCCTTCCCAGTATTTACCCATATCCATCCGCAGTAAGCATAACTACCAAGCAGGATTGATTTAAGTTTAGGTTGAGAAGCGGCTTATATTTCTTCCTACCACATTCCATTGGTCAGCACACAGACATACGAACCCTGATGTAACTGTAAGGGGTACTGAGAAATGTAGTTTTCCTGTGTTCCCAGGAAATGAAATGCTGTGGTTAACATATAATATTTTCTTTGTTACAAGTTACTAAATTATAACCTAGAATATACTCTCATGGTCCAAATAATGATACTTTCTGTGCTTTTCTATGGTGTGGCAGATTAAATAAAAATTTGCATACTTTCTAACTTAATCTTTTTCTGTAGAAATTAACTTTATTCCCAAAAGCCTATATATTCATATTGCCAATTACTTGAATATTATTATATGGACTTGTAGATGGCAGATAATTTAGAGCAAGATGGAAGGCAGTGTGAACCTCTAGGGACAATTCATTTCTCAAACATGCCCTGAGCAACATATCAATTTCATGGGAATAAGCATTAATTCCCGTAGGTTCTGGGTTCCTGAAAAAGTCCATGTATGCCCTAGATGTACCTTCCTTCAAATCACAAGACTAATTTCTCCAGTTTACTTTCTTTCTTCACTATAGCCCTTTGACATTTGAGATTGGTACTTGTCTTTCTAATTTTTGCAAAACACTTAAGTTTACTTATTAAACACTTCTCTGTTGATATTTCATTGGAAGCAAGACTATACATTTACATATGCTTCTGACTTTAAGGTTGTTACCATCATCTTTACTCAATTCAGTGATTAAACAACAACAACCACCACCACTACCACCCTTGTTACCTAGCATTAACTAATGCAATACTGCTTAGCAAACATAGAAGGAAATACAAAAATATAGAAGAACTGAAATACATGGTTCTTGTCTACCACGGGCTTACCATTTAGTTGTTCTCAAGATGTAGACAAAGGAAAATACAATGCACAGAACCTTGTCAGATATAACTAGATATCCATATGAATAAAGTACTAATGGAATTTGGAAGAGGTGATTACTGTGAGCTGAAACAGAGGAAGGATGGTTAGAGGAAGTTAGACTTGCTGGAATCCTGAACGATGGGTAGACTGTCCGACTGGAGTCAACGGATAAGAATGTTCCAAGTACAGGTAGGGAAGGAACATGTGCAAAGGCTTCTTGTTAGGAAAGAGCACACCCAATTTGGAGAAAAGTGAATCAACTGGCCTTCATGAAGAGGAAATATGAAATAGGAGCACATTAGGGGGTTAACTTAGATGTAGCTTCAATTTGGTGGACCCTGAATGCTGGGTGGAGATGCCTGTGCTTAATGCTGTAAAAAGGTAGAAATGATATAATAGCGACATCAGGAAATGGTTAAGGGAATTGTGACACATCCACAGGATGGAATATAAAGTGTCATTAAGATGATGTTTATGAAGATTTTATAATGTAAAGTTTAGCTCATAAGTGAAAATAAAGATATGTACATATTTACATGGCATAACCACAACAGTATGAAAAAATATGCTATGAATATAAAACAGAATGAAAATAAATATATTAAGGCCAGGTGTGGTGACACATGCCTTTAATCCCGATACTTTGGGAGGCCAAAGAGGGACGATTGCTTGAGCTTCGGAGTTCGAGACCAGTCTTGGCAACATAACAAGACTCTGTCCCTACAAAAAATAAAAAAGGAAAGAAAATAAATATACTAAAATATTTAAAATCATGTTCTTAAGATTCATAAATTTTGAATGACTGCTTTCTTTTTTCCATTTTACTTTTCCAGTCCTTCATGATCAGCATACATTGCGTTTTATATTAAAAACTAAATAATAATTAAAAGTATTTGTTTATTGTGAACAAGGAACTGCATGGACAGTAAAACAAATATAATTCAGGCTATTTATATGCTAGTGGGAAGAAAACCAGGCATCCCATGAACAGTTAAATAACAATATAGTAATTGAATTATAGCTCTCCAAAATATTTTGACATCGTTTTTGAGATATATTGTTGCATGCCATGAAGTTTACCATTTTAAGTGCAGAGTTTGATGAGTTTTAGTCAATTTGTATGGCTGTACGATTGTCACAAGCATCTAGTTTTAGAATAAGTTTCATCATGTCAGAAAGTTCGTATGTGCTTGCTTGCAGTCAATATCCACTCCCACACCCAGATCCAACCAACCATTGATCTGCTTTCTGTCTTTATAATTTTGTTTTGTCTAGAAATTTCTTATAAATGGAATAAGATAAATGTAGTCCTTTCTGTTTGGCTTCTTAGTGTATTGTTCTTGATGTTCAGTTATGTTGTTTCAACTCTCAGTAGTTTATTCCTTTTTATTGCTTAGTAGTATTCTGTTGTAGAGATGTACCATGTTTTGTTTATCCATTCACCAGATATTGGACATTTGGATTGTTTCCAAGGATTATGAATATTATCAATAAAGTTGTTATGTACATGTGCATAGAAATCTTTGTGTGGGCATACATTTTTATATCTCTTGGGTAAATAACTAGAAATGGAATTGCTGAATCATATAGGAATGATATGTTTAATGTTTTAAGAAACTGACAGAAATACCATTCAACCCAGCAATTCCATCAGTGGGTATATAACCAAAGGAATATAAATTGTTCTACCATAAAGACACATATACACATATATTCATTGCAGCACTATTCACAATAGCAAAGACATGGAATCAATCTAGATGCCCATAAACAGACTGGATAAAGAAAACATGGTACAGATGAACCATGGAATACCATGCAGCCATACAAATGAATGAAATCATGTCATTTGCAGCAACATGGGTGCAGCTGGAGGCTGTTATCCTAAGCAAATTAATGCAGGAACAGAAAACCAAATATCTCATGTTCTTGCTTATGAGCAGGAGCTAAACATTGAGTACACATGGACACAAATAAGGGAACAGTAGACACCGGGGCCTCCTTGAGGGTAAAGGGTGGGAAGGGAGAGAGGATTGAAAAACTATCACGTACTGTGCTCACTACCTAGGTGATGAAATAATGTGTACACCAAACCCCTGCAACACACAATTTACCCATGTAACAAACCTATACATGTACCACCTGAACCTAAAATAAAAGTTGGAAGGAAAAAAAGGAACTGGCGAACTGTTTTCCACAGTGGCTATACCATTTTACATATTCACCAGCTGTGTATGTGAGTTCTAGTTTCTCCATATTCTTGAGAACATTTGTTATTATCTGTCTTTATTATAGCCATTCTAGTGGGTATTAAGTGGCATTTCTTTGTGGTTTAGTTTGCATTTCCCTGATGACTAACGATGATGAGCATCTTTTCTTGTGCTTACTTACCATTCAGGTATCTTCTTTGGTTAAGTGTCTTTTGAAATCTTTTGCTCATTTCTATTTATTTGTTTTGCAGAATACTTTAAAGCATTACATAATTGTATCGTTTAGCGTCGAGTTTATCAGCCTCAGCACTATTGACATTTTGAACATTCTTGGCTGTGAGGGCTACCCCTGCATATTGTATAATATTTAGCACTATCCCTGGCCTCTATCTAGTAGATGCCAGTAGCACAGCTCCTGTCGTGACAACCAAAGATGCCTCTAGATATTTCCAGGTGTCACCTAGGGGACAAAATTGCACCTACTTGAGAACCAATGATGTAACAAATTGATATACATTCAAAGGACTTTAAGAGCAAAGATGTGTAGTAAGAGTAGAAATTAACTTGGATATTTTGTTTTGTTTTATTTTATTTATTTTATCTTATTTTTTGAGACAAGGTCTCACACTGTTGCCCAGGCTGGAGGGCAATGGCGTGATAATGGCTCACTGCAACCTCAACCTCCCCAGGCTCAGGTGATCCTCCCACTTGAGCCTCCTGAATAGCTGGGACTATAATCGCACGCCACCACACCCAGCTAATTTTTGTGTTTTTTGTAGAGATGGAGTTTTGCCATGTTGCCCAGCCTGGATAACTTGGATATTTTAAATGAACAGAATTTAGAAAGGGGGAATTCACATTATGAAGAATTTAGAGGGGGAATTTCAGGTAAAGCATTTTCTTTTTATAATAAGTTTTGCTGCTAAAACAGTTTTCCAATGCTAGAAACTTGAGATGAGATTAGATGCTGTTTGCCTACCATCCTAACAGCACTATTTTCCTTTCTTGTCTTTATCCACAAGTCTCTCTCAGTAAGCAGAAGAATGGCACATGTCTTTTGTGAGACATGAAGATAGGCTCTGATTTTGTGCTCTCAAGCCTAATCTTTCAGTGTGCTCCTGTTGGTACAGTTTTTATTTTTCTTTGAATTATTTTCCTATAATGAATATATATGAATAATATTACTGGGATAAAGGATTAACTTTTTAAAATGGGTTTTTAATATGTATCACCTCTTAGTTTTCCAAACTTGTGCCAGTTAGGAAATGTCCATTTCCAATTTCTACAGGCCCTGTTGTACCAAAGATAGTCTTTGAATAAACCATTTTTCTCTATGTATTGAGAAGCAGCTGCACCAGATTCTAAGCCTCTACCAGTAATAGTCTAACATTTCTTATTTCTTAAAGATCCTATATATGAAATAAACAATATGCTAAGTCAAAATTCCTCCACAATATAAAATCCCTATGACAGACTAAGTTTGGAAGTATAGAATGATAGGAAATGAGTTTAAAAACATAAATCTACTTGTGTGTCAAGTAAGAATGGTGCTTTATGCAATAAAACCTCCTTAAGTAAACATTTGATGGAAGGAATAAAATGTTACTTGCACGTAAATCTTTTTTATTAACAGTAAGGTTGTGTGTATAAGTGAACACTAATGTCCCCAAGGGAAGAGGAAACAGAAGGAGAGATTATAGCAAATAAGATGAGGGCAGAACTGTTTCACCATTTATCATAAATTGATCCAAAGTTGCTTAACCAAACCTGAAGGAAGATAGATGCCCATCTGGATGGGGGTTTACATAACTGAGTGAAGCTAATACTTAATAGCAACTTTCTTCAAGGGTTCTGTGTGCCTTAAAAACCTAATGTAATTCAGACATGAATAGACAGTGTTTCCTGCCCTCCTCCTTTTTTATTTCCCTAGCTTAACCGAAAATGGAACAAAGAAAAAAAATACACAGATTAGATGGAGCTAGCCAGGGATTGGGTTTTGTGGTTACAGCTCTACTTCTTTTATACAGAGCTAGCAACATTGTAATGGGTAGAATTTTCTGGAGTAGTGTGACCTGAAGGCAATTGGCCAAGGAAGTATCTCACTCTCCCTTGAAATGAGTTTTCTAGCAATTTATAGAATTTCACAAATGTGTTCCCTTTTACAAGTGTCAATAATGAGGGATAATATAATTAAATAAGTGAAAGGAATAACAAATGAAGAATTAAACATGCTTGAGCCCAGGTGCTGTACACTGCTGGAGTTCAGAACATGTAGGGTGGAGGTATATGACGTCAGCCTGCCTGGGGTCAGATGATAGTAGCTACCTCCTGGGACTGGCATGCGCATAAAATGAAAACGGTGCCTGGCACAAGAACCCAAGAAGTTTTAGCCATTTATTATTGTTGTGGTAGTGTTTTCTTTGTTTCTGTTTTTGCTGTATTTTGTTTTGTTTATTTTATTTTTTTGAAGACAGTGTCTCATTCTGTTGTCTAGACTGGAGTCCAGTGGCACAAACATGGCTCACTGCAGCCTTGACCTCCTGGGCTCAAGCGATCCTCCTACCTCAGCCTCCCAAGTAGCTGGGACGACAGTTGAGTGCCACCATGCCCAGCTAATGTTCTGTTTTAAATCACAGAAAGCTTAGGACTTCTAGGAGGATAGAATGGGGAGGGGAGAATCATTCTAAAGACAAACTTGGCTCAATGTCAAAATCTCAGTCATCCTGAGGAGGGGCACTTAAGAGAAAAGTGGTGACTATCACTTGAATTTTTTTCTAGTTTAACTTCATAATCTGCATTTAGGTCTCAATTCCAGATAGCCAGTCCCTAAATATAAAAATCAAGATCGGTGACGGGTCCGAGGTTTTTTTTCCCCTTAACTTGTAAGCTAACAAGGTAGCTTGCCACAGTTTCATGGATGTTGGCAGAAGACACGATACCTGTGTTAGAGACAAAGGACAGTTTATTATCCATAGCAAAACAGTAGCCAGAGTATCAGAATTTGTGTCAATTTCTTGAGCCCCCATTTCCACAGGGCAACATGAAGAGGCCCAGATGGATGCCAGACATGCAGTGGTTTCCACTACAGGAAAGGAACCCTGAGCCTAAAAAACTCAAGTCTTCTATAATGGGCAGTAATCACATCTACCCTTTGCTCCAAAGGGAGGCACTATCTCTATCTTCCCAGGCTGTAAGCAAACCTGCCCTCTGCTTGGGAAGGAGGCACTATATTTTAGAATTTTATTCCCTATATCAATATTTTTAAAAAATTGGTCCAGAACAAAGTCAGTCAGGGCCTCTGCTCAGAGGATGTGTTGAAATACAAGAGACCCATGGAGAATTACCTCCCAACATAACATTTGAAAACTATGTTTACATTAGAAGATAGAGAAGTATGCAAATAAACATTGCTTTGATATTTTAAATTTTTTTATTTTTTATTTTTGATGTGACAAAATATAACACAAAAGGGAAAGCGAGTGGCTATGGCACACTGAAGACTCCAGAGCACACGTAGCATTTTAAGGATGTTGACAGCTGGGTCTGGTGGTGATTCTGGAGGTTATGGCACTGGTGGCAGCATCAGGATGCCTGGTAGTGTATCGCCAGAACTTAGTGGAAACAGCTCTTGCATGGCCGATGGAGGCACTGAAGAAGTGCTTCCATGTATATGTGCAGACCTGAGAGGGATAAATGACAGATACTGTGGAGAGGCTAACAGGAACTAGTTGAGAGCTTTAGGAGACACTTGCTGTAGACTCCTAGAAGTAACCAGTAACAGCTCTATAAAAAACGGTGGGCCTCTAATAATTGGAGGAATTGAGATCCAACAGAATACAGGTTAGATTGAGAATGGCTTTTGTGGCCAGGTGTGGTGGCTCACCTCAGTAATTCCAGCACTTTGGGAGGCCAAAGCAGAAGGATGGCTCAAGCCTAGGAATTAGAGGCCAGCCTGGGCAACATAGTGAGACCCTATCTCTACAAAAAATAAAAATATTAGCCAAGTGTGATGGCATGTGCCTGTGGTCCCAGCTACTCCAGAGGCTGAGGTGGAAGGATTGCTTGAACCCAGAGGGTCGAGGCTGCAGTGAGCTATGATTACACTACTGCACTCCAGCCTGGATGACAGAGTGAGACCCTGTCTTAAAGAAAAAAAAGAGAAAGAGAGGGAGAGAGAGAGAGAGAGAGAGAGAGAGAGAATGGCTTCTGCTACTCCTGATTTAAAAGACTATTTCTGTGGAGTGTAGGGGTGTGTATGTGTGTGTGTGTGTACATGGAAATTTGGTAAGAAAAAATAAGCAAATGAAGTGGTGAGACCCAACCCCAACAAAATTGATTCATCTATGTCTATAAATTTTCTGTTTCTGATTCAGATTTTGTCAGTGATCTGTGATTATCAATTACCCATTGCAGTGCTCCCAAAGTGTGTTTTGGGGAGCCCCCAGGATGTACTTCCAGATACTCTACCAAAGAGGAAACCTTTGGCCAAATACATTTTGAAAATGCTGATTATTATACCGTCCCTTTGGGGATTTACACTTCACAATAGCCTATGAAATACTTTTAGGGTTTCCTTGCCTTTAGGATGCTCATGAACTTGGTTTAAACTTGTCTTTCCTAAACGCACCTGAATATAGAATCCTACTTTTGTATGACATTCATAAAAATCTAAAAAACACTAATGTTTTAGAGAGCACATTGTGGAAAATGTTTTATGGAAATTTTATAATATGACTGTAACAATTCAAGTGCTAATAAATAATAAAGGAAAATTTCAGACTCTTTAAGAGCTTTTCAGTGATACCCATTGCTTTACTTCTTGCTTATATTCAAGGTCAGTTAGAAACTCAGCATTTTTTAACCCTGGCACTGCATTGTATTCATCACTAGTGAAAGGGTCTAGTCCACCAGACATGATTTAGAATTTCTGATATTGACACTGGTAGTCAATGTGATATTTTAATAAGCCACAGTTGTCATATTGAGTGGTTACAATTCTGGTGAAAGGCAAACTTACTTGGCATTTCTTAGTTCTTGAACAGCCCTTATTGAGAATAAATTTCCAATTTTCAACATGTTTATGGAATATTAAAACTTGCTTACAAACAGCTGTTTGTGAATTCGTTGAGCATTCAGGACACAAGGTAGGTGACCATTGGATAAGAATGTCTTTTTCTTGGGCCCATGTGGAGTTTTTATTACTTTGTCATTGTTGCCAGGTAAAATATTAAGAATGTGGTTAAGAATTGGATAACAGCCTTGGTTTCCAGCTTTAGAAGCCTGTGTCAGTTGATAGGAAGATTTATTGGTGTTTTTCATTATGTTAAGTGGAAGATAAATTAGTTTTTTATCTCTTGTTTTCACAAATCATATATCAAAATTTATACGTGAAAGCTTCTCCTTTTGCAGTTATCTCTTTAGAAAAACAAGAAGCGTGATAAGACCAAATTGTTGGAATTGGTTGGAGGTATTCTGGCAGGAATTATCATATATTCACGCTGATTTTGACATAAATTTCACAGTGGCTAAAATTGTGATGTGAGCAAAGGTTGTTTGCTTTTTTTTCCCGAGTCATGTCATCTCTTTGTGTTTCATTATGCATTCAAGTCAGGGAGATCAGGAACATTTGTGTTTCAATTCTGGATCCACTGTGGGAATTCACTTAATTATTATGAGCCACAGTTTCTTCTTTTGCAGAGAGGAATATACTTATGTCATAGGATGTTAGATGTGTTAAATGAAATGCCAACTATGAAGGACCCAGTACAGTTCCTGGTACATAATGCATGCTCTTGACATGTTCACTTCTTACCCTTCCTACCCTTGCATCTCTTCCCTTCTGCACATTTGAAATTCTTACCGTGTTACCCTTTGACTGAGCTCCACGTAGGTCTCCCCCAGTTCCATACTCCTGCATATTTCTTTATTCCCCTTATCCTTAATTGAATGGTTTCTGTCTTTTCCATTACTCTTTTCCTTGGGTTCATCTTTGCTCTCTCCTTCTCCACTGGCCTTTCTCCCAGGCGTCCATCATAAGTTGGTCTCACCCATCTTGAAAAGATCTTAGTTCCATTATCTTCCTCCCTTGAGCTATGGACATTGGTCTCTCCTTCACTTCTTCACTAAAATCCTGGAACATGTCTATGCCAGCTGCTTCCATTTCTTTGTTTGTTAATCCTTGTTTAATCCTCAGCATCTGCCCTACAACCTGCTGTTTCACTGTAGCACGTCTCCTGAAGGTTACCAAGAAACCATTTTGCAGTATGTATTGACCTCCTTGTCATTTTTCTAGACCTTTCTGCTGCATTTGAATCTTTTGACCCCACCTTGGATGTGTCCTCTACCATCCACTGGCAATTCATCATCTAAGTCCTTTTGTTCACTTTATGACTACTGTTGTTCTATAGGCTCTTCCATGCCTTCTTCTTCTTGCTGCTGCCTGTTTTACCCACAGACTGTCCCTGGCCTGTTGGCTCTCACCCATGCACTGCAATTCAGTAGAATTAAATTATGTCTGCAGATGAATCTGACCAGCTGTTTTCCTCTACATTCACATCATTATCACTTGAGGAGTGGCGCATAGGGGAAGTGATCCTTTCTAACCAGATTGGCTGTGAGTAAAGTTTTGGCGCTACTATTGCCCTCTTGACATTCAAGTTTTCAAACATGACCATGCCAGTAATCATGTACATAAGTGTATAAGGAGCTGGACACTGGCAAACTGAGACCAAATTGATAGAGACTGCCTTTGGGCACATAAGCAGGAGGCATGGCAATATTGTCACAGTGTCTCCATCATGTTTTTGAGCCAAATCAAAAATAATGAGTCTTGGAAGTCAGATGTAGCCATCCCATCGCCCACCCATTGTATGTCACACATAGCAAATTGAACCTTTCTCAGTCAAGGTTTGGAGGGCCTCAATGTCTGAAAAAGAGGACTAGCATGTATAGTGATACCAGGTGGTAGGAGGTATGGTTCCAAAGGGGCTGGCTGGCCCCAGGGAGAGGCCTGCATGGTGAGTGATTGAACTCAGGACATAAACCAAAGAGTTTTTCTTCCCTATTTGCATTTGTTATTTAAATGAAATTTCTAGTTACTTCTAGTCTGCATAGAGCTAGAGCTATTGATTCAAAGAACTTTACCAACACATCACCCTCCCGTCTATTTTTTTCTAGACCTAACTACAAAGCACTATTAAAAATACATATATATTATATATAATAATATATACTATATATATACTATATATACTATATATATTACTATATTACTATATATACTATATATAGTAATATAGTATATATAGTAAATATATAGTAATATATATAGTATATATAGTATATATAATATATAGTATATATAGTATATATATAGTATATATATATATATATAAAATATATATATATATATATATATATAGTCTCATTCTGTTGCCCAGGCTGGAGTGCAGTGGTATGGTCACGGCTCACTGCAGACTCGACCTGCCGGGCCCAAGCAATCCTCCTGCCTCAGCCTCCAAAAATGCTAGGATTATGGGCATGAGCCACCACACCCAGGCCCCAAATAAATATTTTGTATACAGAGAGTATAGTGGGTAAATTCCGGCCCTGAAGTCAGCTTGAGTCTCAATCTGAGCACTTTTACTTGATGTAGAGCTTTGAGCAAGTTGATTAATTTAGTGTCAGCCTCCTCATTGTAAAAGGATTAAATGAAGCAATACTTATAAAGCAGTTAACACATGGCTTGGCTAGTCCCCCAGTAGTAGGTTTCCTCTTAGCTTAGTAGTTCCTTTATTCCAACAAAGCATTGATGAACAGCCTGCCAGGATCAAGCTTACACATAAGGCCCCCATGTGGCCCACTTCTAAACATCTAAGCCCTTACAACCAAAAGTTAAATGATTAGTAGTTGCCAGACACTCACTTGCACGGAAGACTCACTTCGAGGAACTTTACAAAAAATACAGATTTCCTGGCCCTACCCAGATTTGCTGGATAAGAACTTTCTGGGAGAAGGGGGCATGGAGGGAATACTGCGATTCTGTGTGTTATTGAAGCCTCCAAGGGCCTAGGTGATTATTTTGTGCAGCTGGTATTTTCACCACAAATATGAACCAATAGATGAGATTTAAAAACTCCATTACTTCCCACTTCATGAGTCCTATTCTAGTTTCTTATTCTTGAATAGAGAAGAGAAGCACGTTTAACTGGGGTGAATGTCTTTATAATGGCCATTCTAAGTGCAAACATTTGTGTATTCTGTTGGGTGTTTCCATACCAGCTCCCTATTTAAAATTAATGCTTGAGCACTGTATGAGTGCTCCAAATCAGGGCACTGTTAAGAGTGAAAAGGAGGCTATTAATAATTACTCTGGAAGAGAAGACATAAATGAGGGCCGTCCCAAGCAAAACGGACTGTATGGTCACCTGTAAGAACCTGGCCTAAGTCAAAGTAGGAGAGAGAGAAAAGTGGGAGAGGTCACATGGGAGTAGAAGGTTTGCCACGTTTTGTCTTCTGTTTCTCTCTCCTCCTTCTCCCCGATGCTTTACTTAGTACTTGTATTAGTCTGTTCTCATGCTGCTGTAAGGATATACCCAAGACTGGGTAATTTATATAGGAAAGAGGTTTAATTGACTCACAGTTCCACAGGGCTGGGGAGGCCTCAGGAAACTTACAATCATAGCAGAAGGGGAAGCGAACACGTCCTTCACAAGGTGGCAGGAGAGAGAAGAATGAGAGCTGAGTGAAGGGGGAAGCCCTTGTAAAACCATTAGATCTCGTGAGAACTTACTATCTCGAGAACAGCATGGGGGAAGCTGCCCCCATGATTCAATTACCTCCACTGGGTCCCTCCCACAACACGTGGAAATTATGGGAACTACAATTCAAGATGAGATTTGGGTGGGGACACAGACAAACCATGTCAGTCCTCAGTAGAACATACTGGTCTCACCTAGAGAGATTAGATTGGCAAAACCAGTATTGGGTGGGGTTGGAGTAGGGAGGGGTCAATTTTTCAATGATCTGAGAACTAAATTGTGCTGTATGTGCAGCCTTTCAATTAAATCTGGACACAACAATTTATTAAACGACCAGAGGTAGCAGTATTTATACTTACGCACCATATAATCAGCGATGAGCTGGGCTCTGAGACACAAGGACAAATAAGAGATTCCTTGCCTTCAGGGAGCTAACAGTATAGTAGGAGTTATAGGCAAGTGCACAGGCCATTCAAACACTGAGTGAGGAGAAGTAAGTACAGGATTCTTTCAGGAAGAAGTAATCCAAAAACCTATGTTGTACAACTTTTGGTGGCCCATTTTTACTTTTCAAATATAGTTTATAGTCCTAAATTCTATGTTGCCTTACCCAGTACTAAAGACATAAATGCTTTAATCCCCAAATTCTAAATCCTCCCACTCTACGCTCTTGTTCCTTGCTCACAAATCCAATTTTCCAAAGCCATTAATGCTGGGTGAAGATCGTTTTAAACAATTGACATGAGGATGTGACCCTCCCAGGGTGTATTTTAAATTCAAATATGAGGTACCTTACCCAAAAGAATGTCAAAATAGTATATTTGTAAGGTCAGATTTATCAAATAAAAATATAGAATGCCAAGTTAAATTTGGACTTCAGTTAAACAATGAATATTTTGCTTTTAGTATAAGTATGTCCCATGCAATATTGGGGACATACTTATACTGAAAATTATTCATTGTTTATCTGAAATTTAAATGTTTAAGTAGAAGTCCTACATTTTATCTGGCAACCCTATATGTTTGGGGGAGCTCAGTTTGAATCAATATCTTTCTGGAACTCTTTTATTAGGTCTTATTTTTTATAACCTTAGCCTGAACCATGTTACACCATGAGATTACTTCCTTTTGTTCTTTCAAAAAGCATTGACTAAACCTGCTGTATATCAAGGATATACAGAGGTCACTGTGACTAGAGTGCATAGTAAAGTTGCTGAGTGGTCATTGCAGGCCCAAATGTGTGCAGTGGGTAGGAAGTCACTATAAGCTGTGTGGTTTCACTGAAGCTTCGGTGGAAGACAGTCAGTGGCTGGAGAGTTGGGTGGAGTGAGCTGGGGATCAGAGGGACATTTGGAAATGGAGGCAGACAACCATGGGCCATGTAAACAAGGCAGGGAAGCTTGGTGAAGGCAGGACTTGGCTTTCTTCCTTTTGTGTTCCCAGGGATCTTACAATAGTCTTTGTACATGGGAGCTGTTCAAATATTTGGTGAATTAAGTTGCCTCCTCCAAGGGGATATCTTCTGCCATTTCCTTCTGCGTCATCTGCCAGAGAATGAATGAATTATTTATTTATTTATTTATTTATTTATAATTTATTTCCTCTCTGGCTGCTGCACACGAAGTGCTTTCCTTCTTCAGTTTGCAAGTGGCCTATGGGGTTTGGCAAGATAACCAGCACGAGCAAAAATGGACTGGTAAGCTGTGTGGCCAGCCAAGCTAGGCAGAGGGCTTCCTTTTCACTTTAGGGCAGAGTGCAAGGGGAGGTGTGTGTGTGTGCATGCGCACAACCAGTCAAGCTCTACAGAGGATGTTCTTTCAATGTTATATTTTAATGTAATGTTAATGGTCTAATGTTATGGCAGAGAGAGAAAGAGAGAGAGAGTGTGTGTATGTGTGTGTGTTGTGAGAGTGATAAAGAAGGGAGTGGGAGCACTGTGCTAAGGATAGATTGTTTTGTTGGCACTTTACAGCATAAATCTTTTATTAGAACCTCCAAAGTACAGATTAATTTAAAAATGAGCCAGAGTCAACCCTGGAGGTAAGAAATGAGCCAAGACCAGTGATGCAGCAGGTCGTTGAACATTTGCCATGGCTTGAGCAGAGAGGTGCACTAATACCACATAAAGATGATTATACTGAGCAGCACTCTTGGGTTTCTCCTACTGCACTTTGTGACAACTTTGATTTGCAGCCTCCAGGAATGATGCCAACCACCTCCAGGGGTGTTGAGAAATATCTAAAACAAAATTAAAAATAAATTCACTTTCATTTAAAATGCAATTATATTCTATATAACACTTTTAGGAGCAGTGGGACTGGGTGTTAGAAGATCAGGGAAAGCAATGGGGCAGCAATGTTATGAATTGCAAAATTGGAAAAGAAGAAAACATGCTAACAACTTGTGAAGGATTGGACACTGCTGGGGAGAAGACAGAGATCAGGAGTGAAAACAGCCTCTAAATTTAGCTTTAAAACTTTTGGGGATTCATCTTTTTTCTTGTACTGTCAGCAGCAGAATGATCTGCCCTTGTGGTATCTCATTTTGAGCGTTTGTTTATTTGTTTGCTTAGGATTCATTCATTCATTTACTCAGTGTTTATTTTGTGTGCTAACTCTGTGCTAAGCACCAGGCTTATTAACACACAGGATGGGCTTTCAATGGATTCTTTTAATGTGTTCGTATTGCCATCCTATCAACATATGCTATCCTGGCCTGCCCTGGGAGCTAGAAAGAAAGAGGGTGCTGTGTCAGCAGGTGGAATTGAGTGAGCTCATCAAATGGCAGCCATTGAAAGCTGCGCGTCCCTTCTGGGGGAGATGTGGCTGGTAACAGCTTTGAGGATGAAATAATGTGTGCCGACCTCAAGGACAAATTAGGGTAAAGCAAGGAGAAGAGAGAGGATGAAATAGTCTCTCCTCTTACAAACCTAAATTTAATTGTAGCTAATGGTAGTTCATGCCTTTCTTGTGAGAAGACAGGTCTTCCAAGCTGCATAAGGGGGCCAGTTACTGGAAATTTGGTGTAATTTTATTCATTCGTATAATACAACTTGAGTTTTAAGATACTTTTTTTTAGGCATGAAAATTCATGCTTTTTCAACATCAGAAGAACATGAAAAAGTTAGTTTGTTTACATGCATAGCTGATAGTGTAATCAGTACTATTAAGCTGCTTTACAAAGTTAACCATTGGCAATTATGAAAATAAGTGAAAATTAAAGGGCAGTACTTAGATTTCAGTACAGCATTTTATATCCACTATTCAGTATTAGACTTTTTATGCAGTATCGTACCTTTATCCAGAGCCATCGCTCAATGCATATCTTTGAAAGTCCAATTAGAGTCTCAGAAAGAACATGGCTTTTTGTCAGAAAGACACCCAAATGCCAATTTTATCACTGCTGCTAATTCACTTGGACAAGTTACTTTCCTCTCTGAGCCTCAGTATTTTCACCTGTAAATGAGGATAATAGTGCCAACATCGTAGGGATGCTGTGAAGTTCAGTGATGTACATGTAGCTCTTGGCACATGGCAAGAGTTTAACAAATGTCAGCCACTTCCCAACCACCTGCCCCTCCGGCCTATCTCCCTCCACCTGTTCCTGTGCCAAGAGTTCAGGTGCTTTTCAAGAAGGACACAGACACTAAACCAGTGCCATCAGATTCTCTCTGTGGTTTTTGAATTATTTATGTTGTTTGTAATAGAAAGAGAGCTTAACTAGGACTGAGACATCTTCTGTTTAAAACAACTTAACATTTACAAACTATTTAATCTTGAATAAGTCACTTGGCCACTCTGAATTTCCATTTCCATATCTGTAAAATCAGCATTATCAAACCATACAGTGTTATCTGAGACTCAGATAACGTTGTATGTGGAAAAACTTTGAAAACCCTCAAGCATTATAAAAGGCCAAGTTTGCTCAACAGTTTTATTGAGCACCTACTATATGTCAGTTACTGTTCTCATGTGCTCATGGAATTGACATTCTAGTTGGGAGAGTTCGGGATCAAATTAAAAGCTCTTTAAAAGTAGGGATTCAGTCCTATTTATCTTTGAATCATTACTACTTTCACAGTAAATTGTCATATAGGGTTTCATAAATGTTTAGTGCAATGGAAAGATAATTTATATAAAGGAAAAATAAAGGAATTTATATAATTTTAATGATTATGTTGTCAAATGTTGTGGGAGATTCGTATGACAATAATAACCTCTAAATTCAATCTGTATCCAAGAATCTGATTAGAAAAAAAAATACCTGATAAAACAAGATAGGTATAAATTAGAAAGCTGAAGGCCAATTCTTATCTTGTTCGTGACTTAGGAAATACTGGGTTCTGTAAGCCTGCAGTTCCTAGCATATTGCAGTGTTGATGGATATTAATTTCTTTTGGATATTAGAACATGAATTGCTGTACATCAGCTGTTTTATTTAATCAGAGGTGATTTTGCTCCCAGGAGAAATTTGGCCAGTTCTGGAGATACTTTTGGATTGTCACAACTGACAAGGGGGTTGCTAGTGACATCTAAAGGGTAAAGGATAAGGATGCAGCTAAACATCCTACAATGCACAGGACAGTCCCCACAGCAAAGTATTAGCCTGTCCAAATGTCAATACTGCTGAAGTTGAGAAGCCCTGATCTACGCAATAGAAGAACAAGAGTCTACATTTATTATTTTCTAACATTAATATATATTAGGACATTTTTATGCATAGTTGATAATAATAGACTGGGTTTAATTGAATAAAAAATAATGTTGAATGTATGACTTTACATTTAAGAAATATATTTTTGCATTCTTTTCATATTGTATACATCTAAGTACAGAAATTTTTTTTTTGGTATTTGTTTTGTAGCTGCATTAGAAATAGATGAGTTAGCATGTTCAGACATGCTCCATTCATCCTGAACATGAATGAAATGTCTGCCAGAGAAGGATCATTTCCTGCCATATTTCATGCTGGCAATCAGACTTGGTCTGTTTTAGTAGTGCTGTTAGCATTTTGAACAAATATCTTCCATATTCACAGGGAGGAAGATTTATTAAAATATTTTCAATTAAACTCATTTCAATTCTTGGTGCCAACATATTCTATTTGCTCTTGTATTATATGACTCTCATACTTGACTACACCTTCAGAAAGAGAGGCTATGTTTAGATATTAATCCTGAGGATTTCTGGAAAGTTGGTCATTCAAATATTTTTTACTACTCCTTTCTCTTTGATATTTGATCCAAAGATTTTTATCCACCCAGAGCTAGTTCATTTTCAAGAAGCTTTATGTTATTTATCTTTTTGAAAGTCCAGTTTTGAAGAGGGGTAAGGAGTTGGCACAACATTTCCAGAAGCTGATCAGAAAACTAAAATGTATCATTATGTGTTTTCTATAAGTATAATCCTTGGAATTGTTTTCCTAAATACATTTTTAAAAATGGTTTAAGAAGCGAAGCAACAATGTGTTAAATAAACTCTTTTAGGTTGCCATTCAGAAGCAGTTCAACAGGAATTGACAAATTTGAGTCAGAGCAGTGACCTGTTTTTATAAATAAAGTTTTATTGGTTCACAGCTACAGGCACTCATGTATGCATTGCCTGTGGCTGCTTTTGTGATACTACAACAGGGTTGAGTGGTTGCAACAGAGACTTCTTGGCCTCCAAAGCCAAAAATGTTTACTGGCCCTTTATTTTTATTTATTTACTTATTTATTTATTTATTGTTGAGATGCAGTTTCGCTCTTGTTGCCCAGGCTGGAGGGCAATGGTGCCATCTCAGCTCACCACAACCTCCGCTTCCCGGGTTCAAGCAATTCTCCTGCCTCAGCCTCCAGAGTAGCTGGGATTACATGCATGCACCACCACACCTGGCTAATTTTGTATTTTTAGTAGAGATGGGGTTTCTCCGTGTTGGTCAGGCTGGTCTCGAACTCTCGACCTCAGGTGATCCACACCACCCCTCTCCGCCCCGACCAGCCTCCCAAAGTGCTGGGATTACAGACATGAGCCACCGCGTCCAGCCCTGTCTGGCCCTTTAAAAACAATTTTGCTATCACCAGCAGTATAAGAGTAAATCTTTAAAAATGTGATCTATAATCTTCTATGGTGTTGATAAAACTTTTCTTTAAACGTTGTGTCAGTATTATCTGTCATAATGTATAATTAAAATGTATACTCATTATTTAATCATTGCATATTTGTACTTGAACATCCTAAAGTTAGTTTCATATCTCTTTATATCTGAAATATAAAATATTTACAAATTGATAATTCTGTATAATACAAAGTCATTAAAATTTTTTAAAATTACTCTTGTGAAAACCGTGCCTTCTCTCAGATAATATAGTCTAATAAACTTCAAATTCACTATAAATATTTATTAGTTAATCCTTTTTACACAGTTCTACTTTCCTTAAATACTCCTTTTAAAATTAGCAATGCAGTTACAAAATCTATAAAATCAGGAATGTTGAAGGGCTTAATTACAGTGTCTGTTTGAAGCGTTCTTTAGATAGTGGAATAATCATGCTTTAGAAACAGTATTTGCTCAATTACATGAAATGGACTCTTTTGTGGTTCCATCTGCAGATGGAAATGACTTATTTGTACATGTCATCGTATATGAATTATTTGTTTATGCTATCAATTCATCACATTAAATCAGAATCAAGGCTATTTCCCAGAATGAAATTGTACCTTCTTTCTTTAAGACAAGTACCACTTTTGTTCTCAGGTATCCATCATTTAGAAATTGGTCCCTGGCAAGATTTGTCTCAGAAACACTTAGGAAGTTATGCCATCAGATTATCCTTGGCAAATGTTTAAAAGGGTTGGGGGAAAACAAGAGAAGAATAAAGAAACTCTGCCTGCCTAAAAATTGTAAATAAATCTTTAACTTCAGGGAAATCTGGATGCTGAAGCTTGTCACAAAAACTCAGATGGGAGCATTAGTGTTTCTCCAAGGAAACTCTTCATTTCTGAAGCAGTTTGTATGGTATCTGTTCTTTTCATGATGGTCAAGATTATGCAATTGCTTTTGTATTAGTGAGAGTATTCAACTTATGTAACAAATGTTGAGACTTAACACAGTAAAAATTATTTCTTACTCATGCCATTATCTAGAGAAGGGAGAGGGGAAGATTTTCTTCTCCACACAGTCATGCAGCAACTCAGGATCTTTCAGTCTAGGAAGCAGCTAAGTGTGGCCTGTGGGTTAAGCATGGTGTTTTAGTTAGTTCCAGCTGCTATAATAGAATCCCACAGATTGAGTGGCTTGTAAACAACAAACAGTTATTTCTCACAGTTTTGGAGGCTAGAAGTCTGAAATCAGGGTGCCAGCATGGTTGGATTCTGGTGAGAGCCGAATTCCTGGCTCACAGATAAGCATCTTCTCGCTGTGTCCTCACAGGAAGAAATGAGGGTGATAGAGCTCTCCGGAGTCTCCTTCATAAGGAAACAAATCCCATTCATGAAAGCTGAACACTCATGACCTCATCGCCTTTCAAAGGCCTCACCTCCTAACACCATCACATTTGGGATTAGGATTCAACATATGACTTTTGGGTGGAGAGATAAACCTTCAGTTCATACATAACACGTGGTTTTGACTTTTATAATGTTTACAATAACCAACAAACATTTTTGACCATGAAAATTATATGCAATTCAGATTGCTGAGTTTACCATTGAAAATTGTACTGGAATACAGTCATGCTCATTTGTGTACTTATTGTCTATGGCTGCATTTGTGCTACAGTGGTAGAGTTGAGTGGTTGTGACAGAGACAATGTGACCCACAAAGTCTAAATTTTTTCTGTCTTGCCCTTTACAGAAAAAGTTTGGCAACCTCTATTCTAGAGGCTTGAACTTCGTGGAACTCTCAGGCGGTTTTAAGGGCAAGGCTAATAATATGTGGCTCTGCCTTCACAGTTGGCTGGAACTCAAGCATGTATCCCCAGTGTCTATAAGGGAGGCCGGTAAATGCAGTCTAGTAAAGTGATGCAGATGAGAGACCACAGATATAGTGAACAAGAGTCAATGTCAGACATTTTATAGGAGGAATTTATTGTGTGGACTCACCTTTGAGTCCTGCCTTCAACTATGACTTCGTCTTATTTTAAGTTCAGTAAATGCATGAGCTCTTTTATTCCCTCTCCCCAAGCTGTCATTATTTCAGCTCATCACACTTTATTTCCTTAATGTGCATAGTCACAAAATGAAAGACAACTGGTTTGTTTTTTGGTTTTTATGGGGCTTTTTATAGATCAAGATAAGCAATGTGATTAAAACAGCAGGGGTGTCCAATAATTGAGTTGGGTTTGCCAGGCTCATTTGTGTATTTACTGAACTAGTCATGCAATAGGTGTTAGAAATATTGATCAAGGCAGTGTTTTATTTTTATGGATCCTGTTGTCCTTTTTGGTCTGATTGCACCTGCCAATGTTTGTGAGTTATTTTCAAATGGGCACCTTCCAAAAGGGTAATGTTTCATTGGTGTAGTAAATTTCATGTGAGTGTAGTTGCTCCTATAAATTCAAAGGTTGTGATCAGCCAGATTTTTCCTTCAAGACAGAAGAAAGAGACAAATAACAGGAATATGGCAATAAGAGATTTTTATATTACTAAAGGGAGGCCCTTCATAATAAAAACCAATAGGATCCTTGAGTTTTGTTGGGTTCCTGGGAATTTCTCAATATCAGTAATAACTTTTTAAAAGCTGGCAACAATAGAAATTACAAACATTTATCAGCCCACCAAAAGCAGTGTATAAAACTGATGTTTGACTCATTACATTCCAAAGATTTATCTGTTTTGGCTTAAAATCAGGACAAGACTGACTCAGACCTTGTCCAAGTGGGTCACTTTCATGCCATCAACTTTGGGTGTATGAGAGTTCTTCGAGGACTTTGGAAGAGTCACAGTTGCATGGAAAATGGAAGGTAGAGAAGTGGCAAAGTGTACATTCTTTGTAATTTCCAGCTTTTTAACTTACGTATATCAAAATACTACTGCCAAACCCCAATATTCGAGATTTCGTGGTGAAAGCACACTTCCAACTTTCATGTAGAGTTATTATCTCTCTATTGCCATCAAGGCAGCCTGACCCCTGACTGGGGCGGCTACTCTGGTGAGTGTCAGACATCTTGGGGTAGACTTGGAATTGCTCAACAGTGGCTAGCAGATATAGAGAAAGGAAAATAAGGCCTGGCACACTGGCTCACGCCTGTAAACCCAGCACTTTGGGAGGCCGAGGTAGGATGATCACTTGAGCTCAGGAGTTTGAGACCAGCCTGGGCAACATAGTGAGAAACTATCTCTATAAAAAGTTTAAAAAATTTGCCTGGCATGGTGGCATGTGCCTGTGGTCCCAGCTACTCAGGAGGCTTAAATGGAAGGATCTCTTGAGCCCAGAAGGTCAAGGCTGCAGTGAGCTATGATCGCACCACTGCACTCCAGCCTGGGCAACAGGGTGAGACCCTGTCTCTAAAAAAAATAAGAAGAAGAAGGAGAAGGAGAAGGAGGGGAAGGGGAAGGGGAGGAGGAGGAGGAGGAGGAAGAGGAAGAGGAAGAAGAAGAAGAAGAAAAGTAAGACATTGCTAGGACTTTTCTGGCACTCCATGGCATCCTCACACATCACTTCCTTTCCTCTAAACTTTCCAGTAGGTCCTCCATATACTTTAAGGTTGTTGCCTGACTTTGGAATTGTAACTGAGGCTAAATGTGACTATATCTATATTTTAAAAATTATTTTCAGCTTGTAATTAAGAAGATTCAGTGTATGGGCCCACATGACTAACCAATCCACTGTTCTCCAAATGACTATGCATTTCTATTAGATGATCCTCTCATTTCTAATAAAATTAATGGTCATCTCTGTTCAACAACCTTGTACTCTCATTCACAGCATCCTTTCCAAACTGACCTGTTCTAAAAAAAAAATGCATTGAATGGTGAGTTTACATGCAAGGAGTCTCTATTACTTTATTTTAAACAGGAAGAACAATAATGTACTTCCAACCCATCTAAAACTCTAAACAGTTTCCCCCAAATATCAATAAACTAATCTATAACATTCTATAATGGATTTCTGCATAACACAAAGCATTTAGAACAAAAATTGCCAAACTATTTAACATTTAACAAATGCATTTGTGGGCTTGGGTGCAGTATATAATGCTACTGTGCAATGTTAAGTGCAAATTACATCTTCCTCCTCTACTGCAACAAACACACTACTGCCAATAAACATTGGATTGACCTGTATGCAAAGTATATAGAGACCTGAAAATGACTCAGTTATCTCTTCCTTGTGTTTACCTGTTTCTTTTTTTCTTTCTCGAGACAGAATGTTGCTCTGTCATCCAGGCTGTAATGCAGTACCACAGTCATAGTTCACTATAGCCTTGATCTCCTGGGCTCAAGCCATCCTCCTTCCTCAGCCTCCTGAATAGCTAGGAATACAGGCCCATGCCACCATGCCCAGCTAATTTTTAAAAATTTTTTGTAGGCACAGGATCTTGCTATGTTTCCCAGGTTGGTTTCAGACTCCTGGGCTCAAGCAATCCTCCTTCCTTGGCCTCCCAAAGTGTTAGAATTATAGGCATGAGCCACCACACCTGGCCCCAGCTAATTAAAAAAAATCTTTTGTAGAAATGGGATCTCTCTATGTTACCCAGGATGATTTCAAACTTCAGGGCTCTAGTGATCCTCCAGCCTTGGTCTCTCAGAGTGTTGGGATTACAGGTGTGAGCCACTGGACCTGGCCTGTTCACCTGTTTCTGTATGCTTCGTCATTCCCACCTCGTGTTTTAACATGAGATTTTATAGCTTTCCTATCTTTCCTACTTTGTTCATGGAATTTTCCATCTTCTTAAAGGGCATTTTCAATTGATAATATGGAAAAGACTATCATGCTTATGCACAAGATATTTAAACAACTCAAGCACAGGATGTGTTCCAATCCAATAACTGCAGTGCAATCCACATCCTCTCTTCTAGCCTGAAGAGCACATTGAACATTTTCACTGGCATACATGTGCAAATTAATCATGGCAGGTTTTCATTTTAGTTAGCGAATTGAGTGTACAAATGTCTTATATGTTGTTATAGCAGATATTTGGAAGGTGAGAGTAAAGTTTCGGGGCATCTCTATAAGATTGCTTTTATTCACAAAACTGAAGATGCTCTTGTCATTATATAGCATACTAAAGGTTCTAGGTGGAGGAAACAAACCTAGTTTTTTTTTTTCCATGGAAGTTTTTGTCTATGACATGTGGGAAGGTGAAGCATGATAAGCATTTATTCCAGGCACTGTGCAGCATCCTGGGCCCACATTCCTCACACTGGAGCAGAAACAGTTGTCCATCTAAAGGGCTTTTTTTTTTTTTTTTTTTTTTTTTTTTTTTTTTGAGGCAAAGCCCAGTTCTGTCGCCCAGGCTGGACTAGAGTACAGAAGTGAGATCTTGACCTCCTGGGCTCAAGCGATTCTCCCACCTCAGCTTCCTGAGTAGCTGGGACTACAGGCATACACCATGTTGCCCAGCTAATTTTTTAATTTTTTGTAGAGATGGTATCTTGCTATATTGCCCAGTCTGGTCTTGAACTCCTGGGCTCAAATGATCCTGTTAAGTTGCCCTACCAGAGTGATGGGATTACAAGTGTGAGCCACTGCACCTGGCGTTTTTGTTTTGTTTTGTTTTGTTTTGTTTTGTTTTTTATTTTTTTTAAATGAAGCTGCATTTCTTCTTCCAAAGAGGAGGTATGCCCAGAAACTGCATGAGATTGGGTGGGCTGGCTATCAGTTGGAGTCCAGCCCAGCCTAGAGGATTCTGCCTTTGGCTCAGCTAAATTTCTCTTGTTCACTCCCCTCTAGTTGGGATGAAGTTACTTCCACCTCCCCTCAGGGCTGGAAGAGACAAACATATGCCCCTTCAGACTTGGTCACTCTAAGCACTTAGTGGATGGGGAGATGGTTTTTCTTTTTTCCACATGGGATCTCCCTTCTCTTGAGGCAGTAGAAGAAATGTTATTTTTTCCAGTTAAGGAAGAGGTTCACTGTGGACTGCTAAGTTGACTGGCGCCCTAGTTCTGCTTTATTGGAGAGATTTCAGTCAAAGCCCCTTTTGTATTGCTACACATATTGTTGCCAGGCCAGGGAGGGAGTGAGGTATGAGTGGTGGTTGAAATCCAGAAATAGTGTAGCCTGTAAAGTCTAAAATATTTACTAAAAAATTGGCTCTTTGGAGGAAAAGTTTACCAGCTCCTGTTCTAGTCCATGTGCTGTGGACCTGGGATCCTGAAATTCTGCTTCCAGGGCTCCGAAGGATAGGTCACACTGAAGAATGTTCCAGTGGGTCTGTTTGCAGAGGCAAGGTGGACAGTTCCAGTGGGTCTGTTTGCAGAGGCAAGGTGGACAGAGCTGAGATGCCTGGACTGCACATCCACATGGAGCTCTGGAGTGGCCCTGAGTGTGAGTTGGGGAGAGGAGAGGGGTGGCATAGGCAGGGTCCTGAGGCAGTCTCCTTCTGCCACACCGTGGTGGCACTGTGAGGGGCGTAAAGTTTTTAAATTTGAAACTACCTTGCAAGTCCTTATGAAAGAACGTTTGTCAGATTACGAGGGTAGAACACATGTTTGATTTAACAGATTAGTAGTTGATTTGGAACTTTTACATAATTGGATGTATAGTGTGTGGCCCTCTATTTGCGTTCTTTCCCAAACCTGCATATGTTGAGGGTGGGCCTGCAGGAAGAGGGATGACTGACTCATTTACATAAAGGCACTCTGTATGCAGAGAGAGGTAGTTGCCTGGTTGAATCGCCCTTAATCTGGGCTTTCCTTTTAAAGCGCTCTTGCCCAGAAATGATAAGAAAAAGGGGAAAACAGTGGGTTGGGATTTTTTTCTCACAAAGGAACTATATTTGCGGCCAGCTCTGAGGCTCATAAGCTTCTTAGCAAGACAAAGAGAACCCAAGTGTTGAGAAGTGCCAGCAAGTCCTTTGTCAGACACTAAATATTTTCTGCCAGAGCAGTAATGATAATTGACGTCACCCACTTGGTCTCTTTTTTTCAATCTCTTCTCCTCTCTTATGTCCTCTTTTTTTTTTTTTTTTTTTTTCAAGGAGTTCTTGGCTTCCTCTCATAGAGGATGTCTGCTCTGGTTTGAATGCCACCTCCAAAGCTCATGTTGAAATTCAATTGCTATTGTGATGGTATTAAGAGATGAGACCATCAAGAGATGGTTAGGCTATCAGTGCTCTGCCCTCATGAATGGATTAATGCTGTTATCATGGGTGTGGCTAGTTATCATGGGAGTGGGTTATCTTAGGAGTGGGATCCTGATAAGAAGGATGAGTTCAGCCTATTCCTCTCTTTCACTGTCTCTTGTGCTCCTTTGCCCTTCTGCCTTCCACCATGGAGTGACTCAGCAGGAAGCCCATTGCCAGATATGGGCCCCTGGACCTTGGACTTCCTAGCCTCTAAAACTGTAAAAAATAAATTCCTTTTCAATATAAATTACCCAGTCTGTGGCATTTCTGTTACAGCAACACAAAATGGACTAAGACAATGTCCAAATGTAATCACCATGGATGGATTGACTCAGAGTTGCCTGTACTTAAATTATGGTTCCAGTATCTTCTGCTTCAACCAGGGATGCCAGTGGTATTCTTCCCCTTTAGGGTTTTGCAAACAGATGTTTTGACAACTAACCACTGCTTCTTGTGATTCACTTCCTTGGAATTACTGAACCCCAAACCCCACGGGGTTTCTGAAAAGCCTGCTTCTCAGTTGGATTGCTGCTGTGTTAAAAAATCAAAGAAGTTTTGGTTCACATTGCATCAAAATGAGATCCGTCCTTCCATTTCTAAGAGCTGACTCTTCATTCACTTCACTGAAATGAAGAGCTTCGATTTTCCACCATATTCTGATATGTAAAGGTTACCTTTGCGTGCTCTTAGCAGACAAAAATGCTAGAGTGGTAGAAGAATACTTACAGGATTATTCAGCCCTTAGAATCATTGCTTCATCGATAGTCCAGGGTACAGTGGCCTGCTATGAAACCACTGTGGATTCTAGGATGAGCCCATTAATTTTCTTGAGCTTTATGGTGTTCATTCCTTGAAATTGGAGTAAGACTGAGATTATTTTTAAGGATATATTTTCACATTATCTGATAATGCTGTTGAACCACTTAGAGTCATAGGAAAAATACATATTTTTTTCTTTGCATAATTCTTATGGCAATTTCTGTTCTTTTTTTTTTCTACTGATGAGAAATAGTACAGACAAAAGGAGATACATATTGCATGAGATTCCTGAACCAGTGTAGCATTTTTTAGCACATTTTAGTATAATCTTTCCTGGACACCTTAAAATTAAGGACTCACTTTCCATTAACGTGATGGTCATAGAGTATCATCATATCTGCCAAGATAAGATTCTTATAATTTGAAAAGAAGGTGGTGAAAAATTCAGAAACCAGATTTCTGGCCACCTAAGTTTGTGATTTAAACCCAGAAGTGTTGCCAGCTAATAAGCCTAGGATAAGATATTTTGGTCTAATAAACCAGCAATTGGTGCCAGTTGGACTCTTAAGGGGATTCAGAGTAGGTGAGATTTTTCTTGGATTTTCTTGTCTTACTCTTTCTTTTGCCACTTCCTTATTTCTAGAGCAAGGATTCTCAACATCAGTACTATTGACATTTTGGGCTGAAGAATTCTTTGTTGTGCAGGGCTATCCTGTGCATTGTAGGGTGTCTGGCAGCATCCCTGGTTTCTACCCACTGGATATCCATAGCATCCCCTCCCCTAGTTGTGATTATCAAAAATATCTCCAGATATTGTCAAATGGCCCCTGGAAGAGAGGAGCAAAATCACTCCTAGTTGAGAACCTCTGCTCCCTTCTGCCAGTTGCTGGGTGCTCCACGTTATTGTCTAGAGTTCTGAACTAATCACACCAGTAACCCATCCCCAAGTTCCATCCTCGGGAGTGCCCGAGCTCCAAAATCATTGCTCTCTCCACTAAGGCATGGCCCTCACCAAGGATGGATATGATATATTACTTGTTTAAAGTGGTTCACACTGGTGCATGTATGTCTCAGGGGATAAACTCAGACCAGCATATGTGCATTTTATTTTTTTGTTTTTTAAATTAGAAATGGGGTCTCATTGTGTTGCCCAGGCTGGTCGTGAACTCCTGGACTCAAGTGAACCACCCACTTTGGCCTCCAAAAGTGCTGGGATTACAGGCATGAGCCACTATACCTGGCAATATGTGCATTTTAAAAGAAATTTGTTAAACAAAATTGATGTCTAATCAGTAAAAAATAAGAGACTGTCTGTAGGTTTACTAATAGTCACTTGGTGTTTTTTGAGACTTGTGGCAATTTTATCAGATAGGTAAGGTTATAAAAGCGGATATTGAGACTCAGGGAGATTAAATAATTTGAACAAGTTCAGGCAGTTTGGTATAACAAAGCAGGACTACCATTCAGGTCTCTTGAATCTTAACCTGGTGATCAAAGTGTTTTGAAATGTCAAGAGAGTCCTTCTAGGTGTTCTTCTAATTGTCCCAAGCAATCACTCATATTCCTTTCTTTATCTCCTACCTGTCATGGATTGCTATCTTCTTTTATACCATGTATTGTTCCTTGTAACTCACAAAAAGAGTATTCCAGAGGTGAAATTCCAAGAAACTGAAATGTGTCTTTTGAGAGTTACCACAGTTTAAGGGAGCTTTTACACAAAGTATAACAATTCCAGCTGCTGACAGTAATTTTCTACATAGGCATCCCTTTCCACTCTCAAGTCTCACTTATTGTGAACAAAAGCAAAAACAAGACTCTTCTTCATACTCGACTTATAGGAGATGACAACATATTCATTCTCTTGTCTCACTCTTTCTTTGGCCACTTCCTTATTTCTAGAGCAAGGATTCTCAACAGCAGTACTATTGACATTTAAGGCAAGATATGCTCTTGCCTTAGCAAATTTCACAAGAGATAATTCTGGTAGTCCTTGTAGAGTCCAAGCAACTAACATGCTAATTGATTTCTTAGTTTCTTAGGGAAATGTTAAGGGATTCTGTAACATGTTAGCAAACTTCCAAATACTAGGAGAAGTTGTTAAGGGTCATGTATAGTCTATGTTTAATAAGTATGAATTTTTTTTATTTTCTCTTTTCATAATTATACTATAACAAATTTGGAAACAATGCAAAAACCACAAAGAATAAAGCAAATTATCCATAATTCTAATGCTCGGTCATAACCCCGATGACATTTTGATGTCTGTTCTTTTAGCCTTTTTTTCCTAGTCATATACATATATTAAGAAAACAAGGCCTGGTGCAGTGGCTTACACCTGTAATCCCAGCACTTTGGGAGGCCGAGGCAGGTGGATCACCTGAGGTCAGGAGTTCCAGACCAGCCTGGCCAACATGGCGAAACCCCGTCTCTACTAAAAATACAAAAATTAGCTGGGTGTGGTGGCACATGCCTGTAATCCCAGCTACTCCGGAGACTGAGGCAGGAGAATCACTTGAACCCAGGAGGCGGAGATTGCAGTGAACCGAGATTGTGCCACTGCACTCCAGCCTGGGCGATAGAATGAGACTCCGTCTCAAAAAACAAACAAACAAAACAAATATACTGGAATTATAGTAGTCAGGACTTTTAAGCGTACAAGATTATGGACATTTTCTAGTATCATTATGTATTTGATTTTGATGACTGCATATGCTCTGTTTTATGTTGTATCATATGCTGTGTGTGTTTGAATGTATTCTTCTATTCAAAGTTTTGAATATAATAGGCACACAAGGCATTTTTCAGTGTGCTGTAGGTCACTTGTGGTATTAAATTGTGGAGGGAGAGGGAAGGATGGATGCCTGACCTTTGGTTTTTGTGAAAGCCACAGGTCTGAGCAGATTCCATAGAGAAAAGGTGGTGTTAATGTCACCAACCATATTTAATAGGGCAGCATAGACAGAGTGGGAAGAGTGTGGACAAAGCTAGCTAACACTGAAGGAACCCAAACCAGATGAGCTGCTGTTTCCTGGGGTCATTGCTGGGAATGGTTGCTCTGGGGCAGCTGGATGGAGGTACCTGAGATGAAGGATAAAGAGGAGAGAGGTTTGCTTCCTACTTAATCATGCTTTCTGGGGGCTAGAAACACCATCATTATCATCCCTAACACATTTATTGACTATTTTCCCTATTCAGAGGACCTCTAAGAAAAGCGGGATGCCTTTGAAAGTGTGTGCTTAATAACCAGAAGTATACTGAGAGAGAAAGAAGACCATTTGGGCAGTTTTCAGAGACTTAAGCCATCAAAATCATTCCCTCAAAAATGATTCTAAATTGTCAGACAGGAAAAATGTTAATGAGCTATTGAATATTGGTTATAACTGATATATTATTTCTAGGACCAAAAAAATCCCAACCTAGTCTGGTTGTATTTTGCAGTCATGTGTGTAGTGGTTGGCAATATTCAAAGCTCCTCTGTGTACTCACTTTGTAGGACTTACTTTAGAATATAATTTTTATTGGACAGACTATACATATTTAAGCTTATTTTGTATTGGGTTTAATTATTAATTATGGTATTCTCTCTCTCTCTCTCTCTCTCTCTCTGTGTGTGTGTGTGTTTGTGTGTTTGTGTGTGTGTGTGTGTGTGTGTGTGTGTGTGTCCTGCTTAAAACCTTGAATTATGCTAGGCACAAAAGGCATGAAGGGAATTTTTTGGTGTGCTGAAGGTTCTTTGTGGTATTAGTCTGCAAGGGAAGTTTACTTAGTGACTTAATTTCTGGAAACACACTGCAGTTTCAACTGGAAACTGTTTGTGGAGCAAGTTATAACTGGGCATTTAACAATGTCCTCTGCCATACCTAAATGCAGTTTGAGAGTTGCTTTTTAAACTTTGTAATTTGACAATGATTATTTTCATGGCAAAATAGACAGATGCGATCATCAAATGTATCTACACTTCTGTTCAGTAGGTTATAACATCTTATGAATTCTTAAGTTACTTTTCTTGAGAATACCATATGCAAATACTCTACTATAAAACCATAATTTTCAGATTTGACTAGATATTTCTTTGCTAAAATTCACCGCTGATGCACATTATAAAAGGAATATACCTTTGGGGAGATTGGTGCATATTATAGAATTAATTTTATAGAATGATGAATAATATAGACATTTCTTAAATGGACAGTTTCTTTATCTCCGTCAAATTGGCTACTCTAGGGAAATAAAAATTTCACTAAAGTACAGGCCAAGATTGGATGCGAGCAGTGCCCTTTATTACAGCAATTGTGGAATTGCAGATCAGGAATCCAGGAAGTGCATGCTGTCTCTAGTTGATGCTTCAGGTCAAATACCCCCACTTAGAGCTCCCTTGGCCAAGAGACCCTTGACCTCCACCGCTCTGCTCCCTTGCTCCAGTTGGCCGTTGCTGGGAGAGGCCTTTGCTTGTAAAGATTCCAGCCAGGCTCAGGGCCTGTCTTTCCATCATTTTCTGACCAGGGCACCAAAGCGCCCAGCTGAGTTTTGTTGTTCCCCTGCTTAAAACTAACTTTACTATGAGCACCTATCCGCCAGGAAAGGAATAATAATTCCAGACATTACAAATGGAATGTAAAAATGTGGTAAATTTGCCTGACGTTCAGAAATGTGCTTTTCTGAGTTACAGTCTCAGCCAGTTGCCTTGAAGACCGAGGAGATCCAATTGATCAAAGAGCAAGGAGCAGGTGTCTTCCACAGGGAAGCCAGGCAAAAGGTTGGTGCTTTCCAGGTAGGGCGGACAATGTCAGGGTCTGGCCTGGATCCCTTCATATGCTTTTTACTGTTTCTTTACCTTCCCTCTCCATTCAATTTTATGTTGCTCTTTTGTCCTCTTTTCTTGGTGATTCCCCTTGACTGCTAGAACCTACTTTGAACCCACTTTGTTGAACGAATAGAAAGCTGGAAGTAGCTGGCAGGCTATGCCCCCAGCCCGTACACACAAACACATAGATTTTGGCTCATGACTGTCTAGTGCTGGAACATGGAGGCCGAAATCCTTTGCCTCGGGTCAAAGCAACTTGGAGGTGTAACTCACACTTAAGTCTCCTGTGGGCTCAGGCCGAAGCTACCCCTATGAGACATTTCCAGGGTTCTGTTCTTCTTGGCTTCCTCTCCCTCCTGGGCTGCTTCCCTTCCTCCCTCACCAGGTGTTCCTTAGAGAGTACTGCCTTTATGATTTCTTGCACACAAACCCTCCTTTCAGTGTCTGCTTCTAGAGATCCTGGACTAAGACAACAGATCAGCACATATATTTAGGCCAGGCAGGGGCTCTAATGAGCACTGACACCAACACAGCAAGTTGCATGTGGCTGTGTTGCCTACTGTCTAAAAGCAGAAGGTCTAGACTCAGAGAAACCTCAGTTCCACTCTCACCTCCTCCTTTGGTAGCTGTGGAACATTAGGCAAAGTGGCCGACCACTCTGAGCTTCATTTTCCTTGTGAAGTAGAGGAAAAATGGAACCAAACTCATAAGATTGTGAACCTTAAAAGAAATATTGCACGAAAAGAGCTGCTCATGACACATAGTAAATCCTCAATAAATGTTAGCTTTATAGAAAATCTTAAGTTTTAAAGGAGCCTTATGTTTAGATAATTCTCAGTAGCACAACTCAAAAAGGCCTTGTGAGATGGAGCAGCTATAGGTGTCCCCATTTGACAGTGAAGAAAATAGGCTCAGAAAGGTTAAACGACTTTGTATTAAGTCATATGGCTTGTTGTGGTCTGTGATGAGGACCCCAGGCTCTGGAATAGCAGGGTACTGCATTATCTAGGGTATGCACAGCTTCTCAGCATCTAGCAATCTGACATTTGGGGGCTATATTTGCCTGAACCAGTGAGCACATTGAACTCCAAGTATAAAAATAGACCTGAGATTTCTAAAGATCAGAAATATTAATAGTATATTACTAAAGAAACATGTAAGATAAAGAAAAGAAGGAGAACACAGAGTATGTCCTCAACCATTCTTTGAATGCTACAAACAATAATAGTTCATGAAAAGTGCATTTTTGCTTCATTTCGAATGATTCCAATTGCTGGTATTGATTCTTCTACCTTATCTAGAGGAAATGAAAGAGATTTTAGATGATGATGTTCTCACAAGCTCTTGAATCTGTGAATCTGAAAATATCACAATGAAAAATGTGAAGGTCATGTGCATAAATCTACATATGATAACATTCATGTATGTGTTAATTACTTCCAAATAAATTAAGATCAGACATATGGAAAACCATATGTACGAGGAGGAAAAAAACTCAGGTGTGTTCAATATATCAAAGTGCAGGAAATCTAACCTGGTTTGACTGTTGTGGGAGGGCATGTGTGAGTCAAGTCTTTAATTTGTAACAGAATGAAAGTGACTGTATTTCACTACTTTAGACAGCAAGGTCAAGGGGAGGAAATACACTTAGAAATAGGACTTTGATTAATATATAAAGGAATTCAAATTATATTTGAGTTACCTGGAGGGCTTGGGACCACCAGGTCTTAGAGATTTCAGCTATGTATGAGAACATCCAGAGGACAGAACAGATGCAGTGGAAAAGACACAAAAAAATGTCATGTAGGTGAGGAGTCTTTAATATTTTGTTTGAGGCAAGGAGCAAATACAAGCAAGACATGCAGAAGTGCAGAAATGTTTTTTGAATACTGGGCGGGTTGTGCTCTAGATGAAGACATAGACTTACTGCCAGTCCTTCTTAAAGGTAGAACCAACATAGGAGGAGGAAAGTTACGAAGCAAATCAGAGGATGCACCTCTTCCAGCTCAGCTGGAAACAGCGAGTGAGTTGTCCATCACTAGAGGTGTTTTCCACTTATCAAAGATGTTACAGAAAGCTTCAGATATCTTACTCTCCCCCAGCATTATGAATATTTCATTTTTATTTTCATAATAATTTGTGGTACTTATCATTTAAACATAATCTATGTCCTTAATAAGATCTTTTTAATGTGTCATGAGTTTTATACTCTTGTGGTTTTGTGAATCTAGTTAAGAAGCTTTATCTGTCTTAAAGTCAAATATACCACAGCTAATGTCATTACCCTCTACTCAAAGTAATGGGTATTATTTATTGATGCTAGTTCTCATATAAAAATGAAGATTGTATTTTTTCAAATGGATAGAATTATTCCAAGTGTATTTTTAGTTAAAATAATTGGATAATGTGTGTGTAGTGTAATAATATCTTCAGAGTGCTGGGGGAGAGAGAGAGAAGGGAGGTACAGGTTTCAGGAAGGAGTGAATGAAGGAGGAACTCCACACCAATAATTATATATCCAGAAAAATAATTTCAAAGAATGGGTTGAAATAAATGATATTTTCTAATAAACTGCAAGAGATTTTCTACTAAGAGGAGCAGTAAAGAGTGTACTCCATGAACAAGGGAATATTATCAGGAGAACATGAGATGTAAATAATGTTTGTTGGGTTTTTTTTTTCCTTTTTCCTCTCTCTAGAAAGGGAGGATCACCAGGAAGAAATAAGTCCAGATTCCCCATCAGTTCAGTGGTATGGAGTCCAGAGTCAGAATATAATTTTTTAATAGAAAATGTGTTGTAATATTTCTTGAAAAACAAAATAGATTGGACAGGGGCAAAAGTGGCTGTAGTTAGCCATTTTGTAGGCTACTTCAGTGATTTTGACATTGGAGGGAGGGAGGTTGAATATGTAGAGAAACAATTAAGTGTTAGAATTTATAGGATTTGTTGATTAATGACATGTGAGGAGTTAAGGCTAGCCAGAATGCAGGAAGAGCACCTGAGTGGATGTTGTTTCCTTTTAGCAAGATAAGCAACAGACAGACTTGGGAATAAGACCATTAGTCTAGTCCTGAGGCTGGTGGTTACAAAATGTATGTGAGAGATCCAGGTGAAGACGTCAAGTGGACAATTGAATATATTGGTATAACCTGGTAGGCAGCTGAAACAGCTTGCTTTGGGATTCAAAGAAATTATGTTGAACCCTGATCAACCCTAATCAACATGAAGAGGGCCTACAGCCCTCCTAGTCTCTAGAGATTCTTGATGGCAGGGCTGGTGGCAGAAAGGCAGGCATGTATTAACAGTTTTCTGCTCATCTCAGTCAAAATTTCTGCTTTCATTGAATTTGTTCACTAGACTGTCTCCTTGTCCTCATGTGCTGTCTGTCTGTTCTTCTACATTGTCACAAGTGTAGAAAAGAACCTCACTTTATTGATAATATCACCAACAATTATTTACGCAAGGCTTTTATTTAGCCAATCTGAAGTTCTGGGGGATTGGAGGGGCTAACACTGTAGCAGTAGTTTTCCAACATCCTTGGTTTTCAGCCTTGCCAACATATTGATCAGCCATCTTCTTCTTCAAGACCCTTTCTTTTACTATTTTTTTGGATCACTCCTGGAGGGTCTTCTGGGAAAGTCTGTACCCCTCACTCCATACAGCACAGAATTTGACATTTTCATAATCCCCACTTCACTTCATGCTCACTCTTACCTTTCCCCAATTTCATTAAGATCCTGCCCTGCACTGAGATCCAGGATTTGCCCTTCCGCAATCCAGAACTTTCAGAGGCAGTGACATGTCAGCCTCTTCCTTCCTGCAATGGAGTAGAAAAAGCACTTAATTTTCCCGTAAATAAAATATGGTGGAAGTAGCAACAATTTTACTCTCAAGGAACTTTTACTCCATCCAATGTTGGGTCTTGAGCTCAGAAAAGAGATCCAGTTTGGGGATCAGTTTTGAGTTATCAGGATGCAGATCACAAAAGAGGGAGTAGCTGGAATGGGTGATAATGCTGCACACACAAGGTAGAAAAAGGAAGGGGAATGGTCAGTGTTTTCTGCTCAACTTGCAAGAGGGGAAAAATTAAGCTTTTTTGGTCCCAAACCACACTTCCCAAGAGAATCCTGAAGCGTATAGGGTGGAGGGTGATAGGAGAAGGGTTGAAGGGCAGTTCCATAGTCAGCATTTCAGGGAAGAAATGTTGGCAATTTAAAGGTAGTGAATTATCAACTGCTTTATTGCTGTTTCTTTAGAGTGGAAAAATATTTTATGAAGCATTGTGTTTCTGAATATGAATTCAATTCAATTCTGTTATCGGGCCTTCCTTAAAATGATTCAAACATTCAACAAATACAACATTATTCTACTTCTGTTTGTTTTTAAGTACTTTATATGTTTCAAAAAACAAATTTAAATATTTTGGGCATTCAAAATTATCATTCTCCAGTGTAATTAAAGGAATAATTTGGCCATGCAATCCAATGTCTGTTCATCAAGGCAATAGGTTTGTAGATGAAGGAAACCTCTCTCTTACTTTGGGATTCATCAAAGTGGCCATACTATAAATGGGTGTTGTACAGTTTCTAGTTTCTTCATTTTGTGAAGACAGATACAGAGGGCTGGAAACAGGGCAAACCCATGAACTGATCATGAACATGATGGTAGTAATGGTCTGGTCATTCTCTGTGTTTTGGAACTTGATTCTTGAAGTTGAAAGCCAAGGGCAATCTTCTGCATGCCATATTAGCAACCTAACATTATCAGGTGCACAGGCTAGGATCTAGAGGTTGGATGTCAGCACCAAGGGTAAGTGGCCAGTTACGTATACATGTGCTTGACCATCCCCCTATTGGGAGGCCCATATAGGGTAGAATATAGGCATGCAATAAGTGAGATTTCTGAGGTGGTTGACCTCTTTGGATTTCTAACCCAAACCTGTAGTGTGCCCCTGACAAGTTCCATTGGGGTGTTGGCAACACAAATTTCAGATGCTTTCATGTTTCATCCAGAGATGCCCCTGTCCTATCCAGTGACCTTCCCCACAAACAGGAGAAGACAGTAGATTAAAAAATGATAGACTAGGGCTATATGTCACCAGGCAGATGCAGCTGGAACCTATGCCCCAAGAATCTAGCCAGGACTTCTTAAAAACTAGTTAGGTCTATGAGCCAATAATCAAGACTTATGTTAACCATCCTCTTGAGAGGCTTAACCACCCGTTGAATTTGGTCAAGTGTGAGTGAGTGACTGTAAGCCTTGGAGCCTCATTGCAGGGCATTCTTAATTAACCTTGAAGTTGGGATAATCTCAAAAGACTATGACCAGGAAACAGTAATAGTCAGGCCTGTTCATAAAGTGCTCTTGATTTACAGTTGGAACATCTCTATTTGTGTGTACCTCGGTGCTTCCCAGCCTTTTCAAGTCATGGCAAATGCAAAATCCAGTAAATGGGTGAGGTTATTTGTGGAAGAAGGTAAAAATCCAGAGGACCCAACTGTTCAAGGTCACCCCCTCTGATTAAATATCTGGCTGAGAGTCTTTAGTTAAATATCTCTGGATAAATATCTCTACACACTTGTAACTCATTCATGGCACACCAGTGTACTTAGGCATTGTACATTATTCCACAATTCTTCCTAATCCCTTAAATGTTTGTTCTACTACTGTTGATAAAAATCAACTTATTATCTCAGTGTTCTAATTTATTTAATGACCAAGGTGTGGTTACTCTGTAAAAATATTTTCCAGAAAAGATGTTCACTGCCAAACATTAGAAATACCATCCAGCTTCTCATTTAAATTTTAATTATCATACTAGTTGAAATGACACTTCAGAGTTAATGTTTCTTATTTGGCTTTACTAGTATAGTGTCTCTTAACAACATTTTCACTTTCTTTGTGCTATAAATGTTTCATGCCTACAAGTCATTATGTTTCACCAATATTTGGCTGTATGATCTTTCCTTGCAAAGCCCAAAGTCCAATGTGCCTGGGTGAGGACACTCTCTTGATTGAAAACATTATCTTAGGTTCATCACACCTATGGTTTCTGTGGGTTTTTTTTCCCTTTTCTACCACCTTACAAATTGTAATATGTGCTTTACCCGTTGCTCTGCCTTCTAGCATACACACACACAAACATACAGGTGTACTTTGATTCTTGACTCATTTTCCATATATTGATGCTTGAGGACAGTGTTATTTGATTATCTTGTCATTTCCAGTTTCATAGAAGTCAGAATAAATCTTTGACTTGTTTTGACTTTTTTTTTCTCTTCTGATTTTGCCCATTGAACTATGAGAGTATTGTGGTAAACAAGATTAGGCAAGAAACTCCTGTAATCTGGTGGGCATATTGGAAAGAACATGGGAATATTTTTTGGTTAAATAAACCTGGGTTTCAGTCTTGACTTTATTAATTATATGGCTTTGGAAAATAATTTATGTTCTGAGCCTTTTCCTCAACTGAAAAAATGAAAATCCCAACGCTTGTTTTAGGTACCCTGAAAAACTATTTTAAGTAGTACATGAGAAAGTTTTCTACTTAGAAAAACATCTATATATGCTTTCTCCAGTTTCAGAGGATGAAGTGTCCCTTCTTTTTTTGAAGTTACCCCTCCATCTGTATTCCTGATCCCATTGCCTCTCACCTTCTTCGCGGTGTCGTGCCTACTCTTATTCCTCTTTTGCAGCTTTACCTTATCCTTCCTGATCAACTGCCCTCAGCCTTTAATACTAGTCTAGATTCCCTCTCATCCTGAAGGTACTCTTCCTTTCATTTTTTATTCTTTGTTCTACCTCCCACTCCTCCCCACCAAGAAAATCCTCCCTATCTTTGGCCTTCAAAGGTGAAATACTTTTAATCCAATATGTATATATTCCGAATTTGCTTTATCTTTTAAACTGTCATTCTATCTTCAGTCCACCTGCTATGGTTTGAATGTGTCACCCAAAGCTCTTGTCTTGGAAATTTAACTCCCAGTGCAACAGTGTTGAGAGGTAGGACCTTTAAGAGGTGATTAGGTCATGAGGGCTCTGCCTTCATGACTGGATTAACGCCATTATTGTGGAAGTGGGTTAGTTATTGCAGGAATGGGTTCTTGATAAAAATTTGAGTTTGGCGCCCCCACTTCCCTGTCTTGCATGCTCACTTTCTCTTACCATGTGATGCCTTCCACCATGTTATGACACAGCAAGAAGTCCCTCACCAAATGTGGCCCCCTCAATCTTAGATTTCCCAACCTCCAGAACTGTAAGAAATTAATCTCTATTCTGTGTAAGTTACCCAGTCTCAGGTATTCTGTTAGAGCAGATCAAAGTGAACTAAGACAACGCCACTATTTGGACTTTACTCAAATGAGAAATTCTAGTGTAAATGTCACCATAGATCTCCTGTATTTTTTTCTAATTTATTTTATTATTATTACTTTTTATCGATATGTAATAGTTGTACATATTTTGGGGATACATGTGATATTTTAATACATGTATACAATGTGTAATGATCAAATCAGTGTAATTGGGATATCTACCACCTCAAGCATGTATCTTTTCTTTTTGCAGGGAACATTCCAATTCTTCTCTTCTAGCTATTTTTAACTATACAATAAATTATTAACTCTAGTCTCCCTACTGTACTATCAAATACTAGAACTCATTCCTTCTATCTAAGTGTATTTTTATACCTATCAACCAACCTCTCTTCATTTCTCCCTCTTTCCTATCCTCTGGTAATCACCATTCCACTCTCTACTTCCATTAGATCTTCCATGTTCTTTAGAAGTAAATGTTGAAAGAGATACAACCTTCAAGTTCAATGGCTTAACCAAATACTAGTGTATTTTTTACTCATCAAATAGTAAGTGTTTGATCCTGGTCAGGAGGTTCTTCTTCAGTAAATGATATAGGGACCCAAACTCTTTCCATCTTGGAGTCCTGCCTTCTTCAACACCTGGCTCCCAAGCGGGGGGTGCGTCCATTCTAGCCATCCAGAAGTGGAAAGGAACAGGGAAGATCATGTGTAGGAAGTTTTTATGGTTTTTAGGGTGGGGCCTAAACCCAATATGACTGATGTCTTTATGAGAAGAGGGAAATTTGGACAAAGAGAAACACACACACAGGGAAAATATCATGTGGCAATGAAGGTAGAGAATGGAGTGATGCAGCTGCAAGCCAAGGAATGCCAAGGATTGCCAGCAAGCACTAGAAGCTAGGAAGATGTAAGGAGGGATCTTCCCCAGGAGCCTTCAAAGAGCATGGTCCTGCTGATATTTAGGTTTTGGACTTCCTGCCTCCAGAACTGTGAGACAATAAATTTCTGTTGTTTTGGGCTATCCGTTAGTGGGTACTTTGTTACACAGTTCTAGGAAACGAATACACGGTTAAGCCTAAAAGGGGATACATTACTCCTGCTCATCCTCCGTTGGTCAGAACTCAGACCTATTGGCACGCTGAACAGCAAAGAAACCAGGGAAATATAGTCTAGCCCTGTGTCTAGGAAGAAGAGAAGAATGTGGGTTTAGAGATCATCCAGCATTTTCTTCCACCCCTCCACATGACCACATACTATGAACATTTTTAGTCATCTTCTGCTGAATTTGACCCTGTGGGCTATACAGTTCTTGATGTTGTTGATAAAATAGAGGCACTAGATGTACTTGATGCCTATTATCTTAAACCTTCACAAAAGCCCTGCAAAGTAAGGATTGTTATTTCATTTCTCAGTTGACATTTTCCTGGCAGCTCAGTTCATTTTATTTTCCCCACATAACTTTCTTAGATTTTCATATCTTTGATTATTGCTTTTTTTGTCACTCTTGTAGGTTCTTCTCTTTGGCACATCTTGGATTTAGGTATTCCCTGGTTGTCACCTTGGCCTTTTTTCCTTCTTAGTCAACATGCATTCCCTTAGTGACCTCATCCTTTTGTGGTTTTACCTGCACCTATATGTTGATGACTCCAAAATTTAAGTCTCCATACCTAATCTCTTACCTGAATTTCAGAATATGTCCAAATACCTATTGCATATAGCCTGCAGATACCTAAAACTCAACTTCCCCTAAAAGATATGTCTCCAAATTTATCCTATGTTCTTCCTTGTTTATTCTCACAGTCAGTGACACTACCTGGTCAGGTCACCCAAACCAGAAAACTAGTAATAATTATCAATTCTTCTGGCTCTTGACCAATATTACCTTCTAGGTATAACTTTGAACCAGCTTCCCCAGCTGCTAACCATAAATTGCCTAGTTCTGTCTCATTATTCCTCACTGGATTTCATGCCAGTTCCCTTTGATGGCCTCATTTATTAATTTTGCATCCTTCACATCCATTATCTACACTCATCCCAGAATTTTCTATCTGAAATGCTAGCTGTGTGCAGTTCCCCGTTCACTTATCAGTGACTTCCTGTTATGTACCGATCCAAGCTCTTTAGCATGGCATGTAAGGCCATGAATAACCTTTCTCTTCATGCCTCTTCTTCAGCCTCATCTTCTCTTCCACTCTGTACTGTAATTTATGTTATAGTAATAACAAATTTAGTTCTCCCAATAAAGCATGCTGTTTCAATCCTCCACGCGTTTGCTTAATCTGATGCCTCTCCCTAGATGAACTTCTCTTTTTTCTGCATATGGCTAACTTCTCTTATTTTTTAAGGTGACCTAAGTATCTCTTCTTAAGATGCCCAAACAGCCCTCCCCTGGGCTGTACTCACACCCTGTGGTTTTCTTTATCTTTACACTTACAATGGATGCAGAAATCCTTATTTCTGTGTCTTCTCCCAAGAGTGGGTTCCCTGAGGGCAGAGAAGCTTGTCCCAGTACCGACCTAACATAGCAGTTTCTGAAGCATAGTAGATGCTAAGTAAACATTTGCTAAAAGAAGCTGAGCTTCTTACAGAGGATATTATCACCTGGATAGAGATTTTGAGTCTGGATATAATCATAGATGATAGCTCATCACCTTTAAATCCCAAAAGGAAAAGACATATCCTAGTTTATAAAAATCTGTGAAAATTATATTTCAGAATCATTATAGCTGATAAAAATAGAATGTAAAATATACAAAGCCCTAAATTTTGCCTGATTCTCTGGGCTATATTGATTTAAGAAAAAAAGAAGCAACAATGTTTTGATGCTTCCTGGAACCTCTAACTTCAAAAGCTGGTGATTTGCATTTATCCTCTTAAAATGTTCTCAGTGTATCTAACCTACCCAAATGCATACCACTAGGACTTGACACATAAGAAGAGACTACTGGAAGCTAAAGGACTGCCAAACATTATTTTGGTGATAAAAGACTGAACAACTTAGTCCAGCAAGAGTTCAGAAGAAAAACAGAATTAGAGCCCACCAAAGAACTTATGGCATGATGTGCATTTATTCAACAATAAGTGAGGCATTCATGTTTTAAACTTTATTATAAAAATTTTAAATATAATAACTGAAAGTAAATTGAATAGTAAAACAACCCTGTACATCATCCAGCTTCAACAATTATCAATATGCTGTCATTTATGAGTCGCCTATATGCCTAGACATTCCCATTATTTTTTCTGTCAAAGTTTTCATTTTGCATATTCAAAAGCACAAATGTCAATATACCTATGTTAAAAATATTCCTACCATAAATAAAAATATTAGATTTTTATTATTTGCTTTGTATTGCTTGAAATGTAAAATAACTTTTTAAATCTAGTTTACTTAATAAAATGTGGCAGAAAAAATCAACAAAAATAATCGGTTGTTACTCATATGAATGACATTATTTCCACTTCTGAATTGTTTCCAGAAGCATCTTAATGTAGCAGTTTGGGGCAGAAGCTAGCACACTCTAGCCCACTGACCAAATCTTGTCCCCTGCCTGTTTTTGAAAGTAAAGTTTTATTGGAACACAGCCATACCCATTGATTTGTATAATGTCTGTGGCTGCTCTTGGGCTACAGTGGCAGAGTCGAGTAGCTACAATAGCCTGTTTGGCCTGCATAGCATAAAACATATTTTTTTTATTTTAAAATATTATTTTATTTTTTACTTCTATATTTTTAGAGACAGAGTCTCACTATGTTGCCCAGGCTTGAACTCCTGGCCTAAAGTGATCCTCCTGCCTCGGTCTCCCAATGTGCTGGGATTATGGGCATGAACCACCATGTATCTGGCCCTATACAGATAAAGTTTGCCAATCCCTGGTTTAGCACATGAGGTTCCCCTTGTCATCCTTGTGGCTTTAGACGAGGCACTTAATTTCTCTGATATTATTTAATCATCTGTAAATAGGAATGAAGGTCAAATCTAACTCACAGGGTTGTTTTGAAGCTCAAAAAAGTTAATATGTGAATAACATGTAGAACAGTATTTGGACCATAATAAGCACTCATGTTACCTTTATCATCATAATTATCACTCTCAATATTATTGTTGATGGTACCGATAGAAACCAGTGGGCTTCAAATTGCAGCTATGTCACTTAGGGTCTTGAGGAAGTGAGTTATTCTGGCCGGGCCCATTTGTGTATCTCTAAAAAGGAGATAGTTGTCTCTTCCTTGTGAGATTGTATAAGGAATGAAGGTGACAAATCCTTGGGACATGGAAACATTTCATGAAATGGGGATTGCTATGGTTAGTGTGGTTGTGCAGGTATTCTACACTTGGAAGTCACTGGGCATGTGGGTCCTTGTAGATATCTGGCTAACAGGTACTGAAGGGGCCTCGTGAGGTTAATTTGCTGCAGTTCAGAGTCTGGGCTTCAGCTTTGAAGACCTAGGAGCCTTATTTTGTTATTTCTACAAGAGGGAGTTTCTTCCTCTTAAGCTAACTTCAAGTCATAAGACTGACATGCACACATTTACTATTAAAACTACAACAGTAATGAGCAAACAACCTAAGGGAGAAAGGATGTCAATGAAGGTACTTGGGGGGATGAGTGTTACTGGCACAGGGAGAAATAGGGTGACCAACTTGCCATGGTTTGCCTATCACATACTGTGTTTTTACATTGAAGATCTTGCATCCCAGGAAACTCCTTAGTCCCCCTGGTAAACCAGGATGGTTGGTCACCTTAGGAGAGGTGAGAGTATGCCTGACATGCAAGAGCATTTGCAAGCAGACAAATGTGGCTGGACTGGAGTGAGTGTTAGAGGAAGTGACAAATGATGAAGTCATCAGTGAGGTAGGGACATCAGATATACAGGACCTTGTCAGGCATTTTGAGGACTAGCTTTGACTTGGAATGAAAGCCAGTAGAGAGTTGGCATTGGTGTGACATGAGCTAATGTCTCTTACTAAAGGCCTATGCTGGCTTCTGTTTTAAGAATAGAGAAGGGAAGCGGCAGGGAAACTACTTGGAAGCTACCACAATGACCCAGGCACCAGATAATAGTAGCTTAGGCCAAAGCCTGGGTAGCTATAGAGGTGAGAAGTGGAGGGATCCTGGATATATGTTGAGGGTGCAACCAACAACTCCCTGACAGTTTGGATATGGAGTGTGTCTTAGTCTGTTTTGTGTTGCTATAACAGAATACCACAGACTGCATAACTTGAAAAAAAAAAAAATTTTTCACAGCTCTAAAGGCTGGGAAGTCCAATAGCAAGATGCAGACATCTGCCAAGTGCTTCTTGCTATGTCATCCCATGGCAGAAGGGCAAAGAGAGGGTAAGAGAGTGAGAAAGAGATAGAACCCACAGCCGCAAGCCCTTTTATAATCAACTTTAATCCATTAACGAGGGTGGAGCATTAATACCTCCCATTATGCCCCATTGCTCAACACTGTTGCATTGGGGATTAAGTTGCCAACACGTGCTTTTGGGGGGGACACATTCAAGCCATAGTAGAGTGAAAGAATGAGAAGAGTCAGTGGTGACTCTTGAGCCTTTGTTCTGAGTCACTGATAGGAAAATATTGCCATTTCCTGAGACTGAGAAGAACAACTTTGCAGTAAAGTAAGCCAGTTTTCAGTAGAGGAAAACTAAGGCCTAATGATGTGCATTACCATTGCTAATGTAGAATAGTAGAAGAACAATTTCTTCTCAGTCTCAGGACATCAGGAGTTGAGGAAGGAGAACAGGAATTGACTGGGAGATACCTATTAGATATGCAAGTGGCAAAGTTCCATAGGTAGTTGGATTTAGAAGTTTGGGGTTCAGAGACAGGAGACAGTTGGGTGTTGTCTTAGGGGCTCAAGACCCTCTTCACTTTTTTCAGTTCATTGTGGGTCAGTATTTCACATTACAGCTGCTTTCTGCAAACATTTTATTATAATTTTGCCCTATATTAATATGTCTAAAAATACTGTATGATAATAATTCAATTTCTTCATAACAGGTGTTGATTGGAATTAAGTGAGATGTAAGTGTAGGCTACCGTATGTTTGTTTTCCCACAAGACTTTGATGAGTTTGTCTATTAGTCTAACATAACAAACTTTTGAATACCAGTTGTTGTTTGATTATGCCATAGTATGTTCTTGAAGATTGCCTACAGCTACTGTTTGGTTGATTTAAAAGAGTTCCTTTACTAATTTTCAAATGACAAAGTTATTTTAAGATATTCTGAATTGTTTTTTGCCTTTCAAGATGGGAATTTATGGGGTTGGGTTGTATTAAGCCTAGTGAAATATACTTAGAAAAATGCTAGTGAAATTGGATGTTCTTCTCCTTCCATCTCCTAAGTAGGCTCAGGGTTAAGAGCTGTAGTATAAAGTAGGCCAGTTTTCAGTAGAGGAAAATTAAGGCCTAATGCTGTACATTACCACTGGTAATATATAGCAGTAGAAGAAAAAGTTGTCTTCACTTTGCCTTAATGTAAAAACAAGAGTTACCTGTGTTTCGGTTTCAGCCTGTAATCAAAGACAAAGTAATTCTCAATCTTGGCTGCACCTTGGAGTCATCTGGGAACCTCTAAAAATATCGAAGTCCCAGCCTGAAAGATTCTGATGTAATTGATCTGCAGTTTGACCTGAGCACCAGGATTTTAAAAATCTCTCGAGGTGATTTTAACGTGCAGATAAATCTGAGAAGCCCTGGTATAGAACAGATTTTGATGCTGCGGTTTGCTGGTTCATTCAACAGTGAAGATTTTTATGGTAAATTAATCGACTTCTAAAACTGAAAAAGAAGCCCAGTAACTGTAATAAGAGTCTTCTGTGTTATATGGGTTCTGATTCCTTAGAGGGATTTTTCTGGGGAATGTGCTGACTGTCACCTACACTTGGGCTCTGTGCTAGATGATGACAGTGAGCCTTTTCTAGGCTGTTATCAGCCATATACGTGTTTAAAGGGCATTTTGATTTGTAGACACTACCCCTTGGGGAAATTTTCTCAGCTTTACTTTTCTGAATTCCCTTTATTTCATGAGTTTCTGCCACATTATTTTTCTTTTTTTTTTCTCTGACTCATATAAGCAATATAAACAAATATGTCATGTGGATAGATGTTCCAATAATACTGTAGCCCTTTATGATTACAATACAGTTTTAAACTTGGGTGATTAGATCTCAGTTAAGAACCCCCCCCCAAAACTGCACATGAATTAGATGTTAATAGTCTATCCAGGAAGATAATTGAATTCTGAAATAGAAAATCTATTTAAAACAAACAAAAGCCGGGCGCGGTGGCTCAAGCCTGTAATCCCAGCACTTTGGGAGGCCGAGGTGGGCGGATCACGAGGTCAGGAGATCGAGACCATCCTGGCTAACACGGTGAAACACCATCTCTACTAAAAAAAATACAAAAAAAATTAGCCGGGCGCGGTGGCAGGCGCCTGTAGTCCCAGCTATTCGGGAGCCTGAGGCAGGAGAATGGCGTGAACCCGGGAGGCGGAGCTTGCAGTGAGCCGAGATCAAGCCACTGCACTCCAGCCTGGGCGACACAGCGAGACTCCGTCTCAAAAAAAAAAAAAAAAAAAAAAAAAAAAAGAGAAAACAAAAAATGAACAGGCCATAGTAGGAGAAAACATTATTATTATAGATGGCAAAATATGTAACTGACTAGTTGTATCAGTTAGCATTGGTTGTGTAATTAAACCACCCCAATCTCAATGGCATACAATAGTAAACATTTCCCATGGGTCTGCAAGGGTCACTGATCTAGGATAGCATCCATTGGGTTTACTTTTCTGAATTCCCCGTAAGCTGGCTCTTTTCCTTATGATTCTTATCCTTCTGCTGGGACCAGTGGGTCAGTGTAGACATGCCCTTCCTCTTTAGATGGCAGAAGTGCAAGAGAGCAAATGAAAATACGCAAGGCCCCTTGAAGTCTGGGCTTGGAAGTGACATAGTAGCATTTCTGCCTCATTCTATTGGTGAAAGCAGTAACTGAACCAAGTTCAGAATCAAGGGGTGGGTTGAGTCCTACCTTCACAGTGGGACAGCACAGCAAAGTTACCTTACTCGGACCATTATTGGAATCTACCATACCAGTTAATCACTGCCCTTCCTTATATTTAATTTATGTATTAAAAACTTTGAAACAGAGGAGGTATGGTACATGCATGCTTTTGTGTTTGCATTCTTTCCCCTGGAAATAATATGAGAGATGTACCTCCTACGATTGTATATTCAGAGTAGCCTATAGTGGATTTGGGAGACTGAATTAGATGTGGTTACAGATGCTCCTCGAGTTATGATGGGATTACCTTCCAATAAACCTATCTGAAGTTGAAAATATCATAAATAGAAAGTATATTTAATACACCTAATTTGCTGAACATCATAGCTTAGCCTAGCTTACCTTGAATATGCTCAGAACACTTCCATTAGCCTACAATTGGTCAAAATCATATCCAAAAATGCTGGCAACACAGCATATTGTACAGTGTTAATTGTTTACCCAGCCTGGGAAAATATCAGAATTCCAAATGCAAGGTTTCTGCTGAATGTATATCACTCTTGCATCATCATCAAGTCGGAAAATCGTAAGTCAAACCATTGTAAGTCAAGGACCCGCTATATAATCAAGAGGGAGAAAGAAATGCCCTTTTTCTCCACATTGTAGGTATATGTATTTAGAGGGAAAAATACATTTTAAGCATGACTTCAAAAGCACCTTGTCATTTTCCCAAATTTCTTCTATAATGCTAAATAATGGTTGTTTGATTAAACTTGATTGACAGCCAATTTTCCCCCTTTTATAATATAAAAAATATACAGTGCTCCAAATAGCGCCTTCTTTTTTCTAAGACAGATGGGATGCTTGAAAATGAAATCTTGAAGCATGGTTGTTAGTATTAGTCTTGATAAATTTAGTAACAAATTACTAGTTCACTTTTGGGTTACTGACTGTTGGCAGAATGACGTTAAGCTGTTATTTGTCTTGTTGGTTTATACATATTCGTCTACATGGAAAATATTTAGGAGGAATGGTTCGCTTGAATATTTTGGAGTCTACCATAGCTTTTTGAGAAGAATCTGGTGTTCATTTGCTTTAAGCAGCTGTCACTAGGAATTTTGCTGTAGGCAGGGATAGAAGCAAAGTCTGTGGAAAGTGAACACTGAGCAGAGGGGGAAAGGTTGATGCAGACCAGCCTGCTGGGTTTCCTCACACAAGCTGAAGGCTCTCCTTAGGAATCTACCAGGAATATCTGTAACTCCCTTCTATAGGTTGAGTCCCCAGAAGTTCCCTGACAAACAACTAGTCTTTCCCTTCCTTAAATGTGTTGCTGTCTTAGTCATTTTTGGCAAAAGCAGTGGTGGTTGTTAAGGTAATTTATACTCCAAGACTCAGTGGTTTAATACAATAAAAGTTTAATTTTCACTCACATCCCTTACTTACGCAATTTGGACAGGGTGGTCTAACTCTGCACAGTCATTCAGGGATGCAAGCTCCTTTCATCTGATAGATCCACCCTCCTCTACATCTGTAGCGTCATCTCCCTTTAGCTAGAAGTTTGGGGAAAACAGTGAGGACCTCAAGTGGGAGATTTTTAATTGACCAGGCTTGGAAGCAGCATACTCACTTCTCACATTGCATTGGCAAGAGTTCATCACACACCCATGGCCAATTATAAGGAAGGCTGAAAAACACAGCCTACCTTCCTGTTTGCCCAGCAAGAGGAGGAGAACATAGATACTCATGAGTGGTAGCAGTCTGCTCCATAATCATAGGCAGAAAAAGATAGGGAGTGCAAATATTGTAAACATCCAATGGATAGGAGCCTTGTACTTTACCTTGAGAGGCAGCTGAGATACAGAGCAAAGTTCCAGTCTCAACTCTGTACTCATGAATTGTTCCAGGTCATCCCACCAACAGAAATGAGGGTATTAACCTCTTAGGATGATTTTGAGGATCAACTGGGCTAATGGTTGGGAAATTACTTTGGAGGGGTCATCTTTTGTATTCTACCATCTCCTACACAGTGATAGGCATAGCCTATAATGGCCTCTCTGAGATTCTTTTCCCAAATAAAAGTATTCCATCTCATTGACAAGAGCAGGACATCATTAGTTCCATAGGGTGCACAGCCTTCTGCAAAGAGTTATGTTTCTAATTTTGGAGGCTCTAACTGTAATGCTAAGAGAGTTTTGATATAAATGTCACTTCAAGCTTTACCCTCTTAGTGAAAATAGTCTTAAAGATTCCTACGTTTCTTTTAAAAATAAAATATCTGCGGTTGTTTCCCTCTGCTGGAAGTTTGGCCATATCCTGTATTTCGATCACATGCTTTCCACTAGTCATAGAATGATCATTGAAAATGAATTAAATAACATTATGAAAAGATTCTAAATGTCTTCAACTGTGAATATTTGAAATATCTGGTTGGTTTGTCTCATTTCAATACATTTATTTCTAGAAAATGGAGAGTGAGAGGTAAAATTTGACTGTTCTTTTTGGTTCTGTTGCCATTTCCATATTTTTTTATTCTTCTGTTGTTTACCAGTGTGAAAAGGCTGAGGTTGTAGCTTTATATAACATCACTAGGTAATCCACAGTCTATCAATAAAATGCTAACATATTGAATTATGTGAATAAGAGTTTGGGGAGAAGCCCAGGAGGCAACCCAGCATAATAGGTGGAGCACTGCACTAGAAACCACACCGCTTGGCTCATTGGGTGATTTTGGAACAATACTTACCTCCTCAGATGGCCTCAGATTCTTCATTAATAAAATAAAAAAAAAAATCTTCCTGGAAGCTCTTTTAGAAGCCTTCCAATGATAGGCTCTGTTCTATACATTGATCCACTGGCAAGTCCGGGAATCAGTTTTTTGAAACTGGGATTTTAAACTTATGACACATTTAGGGTCCACTCACGTCATTGATAGATACTATTTCTGGCCATGGTTTATTGTTAAAAGGACCAAGTTTTGTTTGAAACTATGTCTAAGTAATGCTATTATAGTGGTGGTGATTTTGCATGCTTGTCCCCAGTGGACATTTTGCAATGTCTAGAGACAATTTTGGGTTTCACAACTGAAGTGGGAGGAGCACTACTGGCATCTAGTGGGTGGAGATGAGGGATGCTGATAACACATCCCACGGTGCCAAGGGCATCCTCTTCCACTCCACACACACACAGCCAGGAGTTATCTGGCTCCAAATGTCAATACCTAATGCTGCTGAAGCTGAGAAACTCTGCATTAGAGACAGAAGGTGGAGTCTCAGATTCTCCAACTTTGTGCCATTGGCATGAGAGAATGCATTTCAGGAAGAAATAGGTATTTGAACCATGTTTAACTTAGAGGTTGGCATAGGTGAGGGGAGTGAGAAATATGGAGAATAATGAGAAAGTGGCCCTAAAAATCATATACTTGAATCTGGTGATATTTAATTTCCAAAATTCTAATGCACTGGTAGAAAATTCTCTCTGAAATTACTGATTCCTGGATCCTTCAGAAAGAATTTCCAGTTGCAAAAATATTGATGTGTTCACTGTATGTAATGTCATCTACTGGCTATGGGCCACATGTAGAATTTCTTTTTTTGGCTTTAGTTTTATTAGTTGTTTTTCTTTTCCTGATCAATTCTCTATAATGCTAATCTAATGAGGAATATTAGCATGCCAAATACCATTGTCTTTTTTGAAAAAAAAATGCTTTTAAAAATGTTTTCTTTAATTTATCTTGGATGAACTGTGTAATTGAGCCATGTGTCAGATCATTTTCTATTCTCTTAAAACTATCTGTCCATCTGGTTGATTCATATCTCTTGAAAACTGAAATCAGTTTGTTAATTTCCCTTAGGGAATTGCAAGAGGGGAGAAAATACAGAGCAGTCTTGATATTGCAATTAAGTAACTGGTAGGACTAAATATCATGATCAAGTTATGTGACTGTGTCAAGAATAGAAGTTTACATAATGATTGTTTTACTCTTCAATTTCAGAAATATACATATATGTATATAGAGATAGATATATACATATATGTGTGTATCTACATATGCATATGTGTATATATCCACATATATACTTATATGTAATATATATAGAAAAAATAATGTGTAACAGTTACAAACTAGTCAACACATTTCTATCGTATTCACTTACCCATCGTTTCTTCCGCAAATCTATGAAGAAGGCCACAAGGTATGAAACTGGAGCTAAGATAGAATATTCTTATGGGTGAGATCTCAGTGGAGTCTATAGTTTAGTTAATAGTATTGCAGCAGTGTCAATTTTCTGGTTTTGACACTATACTATGGTTATGGAAGGCTGAGTTATTCAGAGAAGCTGAGTGAAGAGTACATGGGAACTTTCTGTATTATTTTTGCAATTTCTTGTATGTCTAAAATAAAATGTTTAAAAAATCAAAACAACCAGGATGCTCTTCCTGCTTCAAATAGTAGTATCAGTGTAAATAGTCTTCCCATAGGAGAGTATACCGTATGTTTTGGTTGGAACACGTAGTAATATTCCCATATACACTAGGTAATTCCCGCCACTCAGCTATGTAAACTACTAATATTCTCTTTCATCTCTGTTAATCAGTGAGACTATGTTCTAGAAATTGTAATTCCTTTTATGTAAACTTTTATCACCTGTAACATATATGCAGAATAATGTCACAAGTCTACAGCTAGCGGATATTCACAAATTAAACATACTCATGTAACCAACACCCAGATCAGGAACAGAATATGACTAACACACAGAGATATCTTCCCCACCCCACAGTGGTGCCCTTTCCAATCCTTAACTGGGCCCTGCCTCTACTAAGGGTAACAATATCATGGCTTCTGGTACCAGAGATTAGCTTTGACTGTTTCGAACTTTGGCATAGTGAAATTGCAGATGTCTCACATTTTCTGCGTAGGTGTGGGATCAGCACCTACTGTCCACGAAGATTGTGTGCTGTACCATTCGAGAGGTTTTCATTCTCACACAGTGTGCCAAAAAGCTGCCTTTAAGCTCTTCTCTTTGCTGCTCACCTGTGCCACGTGAGCTAAACTAAAGCAGAGCAGATTTTCTTTAATTTTATAGCTGAATTTTGTGACTTTGGCTTCTCATTACAAGGTAAAAGTAAAGCTTTTATTCAGAGAACAGTGAGAGCTTTTTTGCCTGGTGATCAAAAAGTCAGTATTATACCTTTTGTCATTAATGAGTTCCTTAGACAATTGCATCCCAAACTTTGTGAGCATCAGACTCCCCTGAGAATCCATTTAAAATGCAGATTCTCATGCATTAGGTCTGCAGTTGAGTCACAGATTGTGCATTTCTTCCAATCTCCCACTGATATAGATGTTATTGGTTCAAGGACCACATTTTGAGTGGCACTGATGCAGACATTTTCTTATTAGAGGCAGCACTGTATGGTGATTAACAACAGGGATTATGGAGCCAGATTGCCCAGATTCAAATCCTGGCTCTGCCATATAGATGTGGACTTTGAATACGTTTCCTAAACTTTCTCATCTGTAAAATGGGGAAAATAATAGTAGAGTTTTGTGGGGATTAAATGATGTAGTACATGTAAAGTGCTTTGAACAGAGCCTGGCACATAATAAGCACTCTATAGATGTCTTCCTCATCATTATTCAATGATTGGGCATTTGGGAATAGTCTCTATTAATCATGGGCATTGAACTTGCAACCACATGGCCTTCTAGATAGGAATGTATTTAATTCTGGGAGAAGTATTGAGGATAAAGTGTTGGTATTCGCATTTGTATGGGAATCCTAAAGTCATTGACAGTGGAGGCTAGCTGCTGCAGAACTGGCAGTCAAGTCAATGAAGTGGAGGGTGACCAGGGAGAGGACGGGAGGCTGAGAGTGAAGATTGGAATCATTTAAATGACGAAAGAGTAGAGGTTGTTGATACCTGAGCAGCATCTGATGAAATGATTATGGTGGTTGGGCCTAGGATGAATTGTAGAAGGGACAGTTTCTACAACCTTTTATTAATTCAACTTTTCTTTACTTATAAAGTGATCTCAAAAGTATAAAGTATGAACATTGGCCTATTTGAAATCTGTAACAGTTCTTAATTAGTAATCATTAGCTAGCTTGTAGGGAAATAAGTCAAGGTGGAAAATAAATACCATACCCAAGTTATTAAAAATAAATATATATAAAATTCTTGCATGAAACAAAAGCTTAATGAAAGAAAAGGCTGCGTGTGGTGGCTCACACCTGTAATCCTAACACTTTGGAGGGCGAGGTGGTCAGATCACTTGAGGTAAGGAGTTTGAGACCAGCCTGGTCAACATTGTGAAACCCTGTCTCTACTAAAAAAGATACAATAATTAAATTAGCCAGGCATGGTGGTGCATGCCTATAATCCCAGCTACTTGGGAGACTGAGGCACAAGAATCACTTGAACCCAGGAGGCAGAGGCTACAGTGAGCCAAGATTGCACCACTGTACTCTAGCCTGGGTGACAGAGCAAGACTTGGTTTCAAAAAAAAAAAAAGAAAAAAAAATAACTGTCACTTTAGTTGCCAGTGCTAAAGGAACTCCAGCTCCTACCCTTTACCAATTTTAGTCTTGTTATTCTAGACAAAGAGGACTTTATAGGATAGTAAGTACTTTTTGGTTTGTTTTTGTTTTACAAAATGAACGCCTTAAAAAGCATTAGGAAAGTGCCCATAAACATGGAATTTTGAAAGTGTTAACAAGTAAATGTCTAAAATTGTTAAATAAGAAGGTTGCTGTCCATTTTAGTCAATTTGCTTATGTGTTATATTTTCTGCCAAATACAGTATGACTTTTTTAAGCACTTACGGTAATTTGGCTTTCAAATCAGACACATTCAAAGACACCAGAAATTTTGCAAGCATAAAAGTTGACACAGATTATTTTCCAAATACAGATTGTTTCAGAAATAAAATAATGAAAATGGCATAAATAATATTTTATATGAATGCAGTATATAATCATATGATATGCTAAGATGATAGTGCCCTCTTAATTTCTAGAAGCTTCTGGTTCCTTGCAGTGTCAATCTCATTAGTGGCGGTGATATTTTAGTAGAAGCACACTAGAATATATACTGCCAGTTATTAAGGATATTTTTCATGTTTTGCTTTTAAGTGCCCATCCCCTGCTAAGAGCATGAAAATCTGTATGTGGCTCTTTTATGCTTCATGCACAGAGTTACTTTGGAAAGATTTTTCTCATTGTACTGAGTTTTCATCTCTGGGTATCAAAACTGCATGCAATTTATTTTGCCTTTTTGACCGAAATGTTTTTTTATTGTGTGGTCACTTTCACTTTGTTTTCTTCCACAGGGGTGACATTATTTCCATGCTGTTACGTGATTTTTGTAAAAGTACCAGTTTCGTCAGTATGGAATACTATGATATCATAAAATTTCACTCATGTAGTCATTCACAGATTCATTCATTCAATACATTTCATGGGTCTTTCATGTGCAGAAGAGGGCACCTACGAAGAATGTAAAATGTGGAGTCAACACATTCCTATGGGTTCGGGGGGCCCCTAAATGGCCTCTAGGATTTTTTTTTTTTAAGATTGAAGAAATAGACTTAGGTATCTACTCTTTCTAATTAAAAATTAAAAGAGAAATAAAATCAGGCACAAATCCAGGTTTTATGGAGCCAGAAACTTTTGCATTACAAGAAACCCTCTTAGGGAAGAATACAAAATCATGGCTACAAATCGCCAGAACTCCACCCAGAGTTTCTGAAGTAGCCTTGCAACTGGGGTCCTTACACTGAAACGTCATTAGCCTCACAGTCAATTCACTGTGGAATAAAAATAGGCTATTTTACTCTGAACAAATGCATGTTCATTCTTAACTTCTGTGAAAAAGAGATAGTGCTTATGGAACAATAAAGCAAAGAAACAACATGTTGACTTTCGTAGTTTCGGTAAGCAGCTAAATAATCCATTGAATGAAGCTTTTGTTTCATATTTTCCTGCATTAGGATTTGTTTCTCAAGAGATGTTAGGAGGGAGCAAGGAGGGAAAGGGGCCCAGTCTGTGATCCTTCTGCTTCCAGTATGGAGCAATGTACTCATTCCATTTGGGAAGTAAAGATGGGTTGGGATTTTTAGGAGCATGTTCGGGAGATAAAACATGTACAGAAGGCGGGGCGCGGTGGCCCACGCCTGTAATCCCAGCACTTTGGGAGGCCGAGGCGGGCGGATCACGAGGTCAGGAGATCGAGACCATCCTGGCTAACATGGTGAAACCCCGTCTCTACTAAAAATACAAAAAATTAGCCAGACGCGGTGGTGGGCACCTGTAGTCCCAGCTACTCGGGAGGCTGAGGCAGGAGAATGGCGTGAACCCGGGAGGCGGAGCTTGCAGTGAGCGGTGATCGCGCCACTGCACTCCAGCCCGGGCAACAGAGCGAGACTCCATCTCAAAAAAATAAACCACATGTACAGAAATAACTGTAGCCCCAGATAGAATGTGATATTGTTTAGCTATTTGTCCCCACCCAAATTTCATGTTGAATTGCAATCCCTAATGCTGGAGGTGGGGCCTGGTGGGAGGTGTTTGGATCATGGGGGTGAATCCCTCATGGCTTGGTGCTGTCTTTGAGATAGTGAGTGAGTTCTCACAAAATCTGGTCATTTAGAAGTGTGTGGCAGGCCCCTCCCCCTCTCTTTTCCACCTGCTTCTGCCACATGACATGCCTGCTCCTGCTTCACCTTCTGCCATGAGTGAAAGCTCCCTGAAGGCCTCCCCAGAAACTGAGCAGATGCTAGTGCCATGTTTGTACAGCCTACAGAACCATGAACCAATTAAACCTTTGTTAAAAAATAAATTACCGAGTCTCAGGTATTTATTTATAGCAACACAAGAACAACCTAATACAGAATGCATTTCCTTTTTAGGAGGCAGTGAGGCTGCCAGCTGAGGAAATAGGAGCTTTCATGGGAAAGATAACATTTCCATGTGACTTTCATTGATGGGTGACATTCGAAGGTGTGTGGATGCAGTAAGATGGAATTTCAAGCAGAGGACTTGATGCAAACTGTGAAAGGGGGAAGGGCATCAGGACAGCTCTATGTGTCAGATGCAGGACAGAGGGTGGAAGTGAGAAGGGAGGATCCTCCATGGAGAGTTGGCAGGTGAGGTGGATTTTGCCCTTCTGTTGAGTGGGTAATGGAGATTCCATGAAGAATTTTGAGTTGGGAGTGACCGGACCTTTGAGGAAGCTCAATGGACAATGTTAGGGTGATCTGGAGATCAGTTCCACTTAACCTGTCACTTTACAGTTGAATAAGCTTTGGCCCAGAAGACGCAGCAGCTTGTCAAGACCACAATGCAGGTTAGGGAGTCAACTTAGGTCTCTAGATAGGCAGTTTTCCTTTCTTGCCATCAAAACAATCATAGTTCAGGATCCATGTCTTGTCCTGTAACTTAGTTCACAAAAACCTTGCTCCTTCCTGTAATAAGGAGGTGGAAAGGGGCAAGATAAAGACTATTTGATGGTTAACTAAAATATTGGATATTTATTTGACCACAAACAAATTTTCAAGTCCATTTTTATATAAAGCAGAACTGTCTGATAGAAATGTGTAAGACATATATTAAACTTAACTTTTCTTGTAGCTGTCCATGAAAAGAGTCAAACTCTGTAAAATATTTTGAAGAGATTTATTCTGAGCCAAATACGAGTGACCAAAGGACGATGACACAGTCCTCAGGAGATCCTGAGAACATGTGCCCGAGGTAGTCAGGCCATAACTTGGTTTTATACATTTTGGGGAAACATAAGGCATCAATCAATACATGTAAGATGTACATTGGTTCAGTCTGGAAAGGCAGGGCAATCGGAAGTGGGGGCTTCCAGGTTATATGTAGATTCAAAGATTTTCCGATTGGCAATTGGTTGAAATAGTTATTATCAATAGAATGGAATGTCTGGGTTACAATAAGGGGTTGTAGAGACCAAGGTTTGATCATGCAGTTGGAGCCTCCAGGTATCCTGCTTCAGAGAAAATAGATTATAAAATTTCTTATCAGACTTAAGAGTCTGCTCTATCAGTAACTCCAAAAGGGAGGAGGGTAAAATGAGGCATGTCCAGTTCCCCATTCCCATCATGGCCTGAAGTAGTTTTTCAGGTTAAGTTTGGAATGCCCTTGGCTGAGAGGAGGGGTCCATTCAGATGATTGTGGGGGGACCTTAGAATTTTAATTTTGGTTTACATAGCTACATTTAAAAAGTTTCAAAAATGTTAATTTTGGCCGGGCGCGGTGGCTCACGCCTGTAATCCCAGCACTTTGGGAGGCCGAGGCGGGCGGATCACGAGGTCAGGAGATCGAGACCATCCCGGCTAAAATGGTGAAACCCCGTCTCTACTAAAAATACAAAAAATTAGCCGGGCGTAGTGGCGGGCGCCTGTAGTCCCAGCTACTCGGGAGGCTGAGGCAGGAGAATGGCGTGAACCCGGGAGGCGGAGCTTGCAGTGAGCCGAGATCCCGCCACTGCACTCCAGCCTGGGCGACAGAGCGAGACTCCGTCTCAAAAAAAAAAAAAAAAAAAGTTTCAAAAATGTTAATTTTAATAACATATTTTTTATTTAACTCAGTAGATACAAAACATTATCATTCAACATGTAATTATAGGGTAAGAAAAAATACTTTTCCTTTTACCCTTAAAAGTTCTCAGCTGGGGCCTTTGTAGCAAAAGACAGATTAACAAGAAAAAAACATGCACATTTATTTAATACAAGTTTTACTTGATATGGGAGCCCTCATAGGAAATGAAGACCCAAAGAAGAAGTTGGAATTGAATGCTTCTATACTGAACTGGACAAAGAATATTAAGTTATAAAAATGTGACAAGACAAACAGGCTTGGGCTAGGCGGCCCATGGTGGAAAAGTAATTAGGAAGATAAGGGTTAGTTTAACAAGGTTTGTTTGTACAGATTTGTTTCAGCCTTCACTTCCAGTCTCTGGTGATAAGACTGTTACTTTTCTTCTGACACAGGGAAGACATCTCTCATAAGGGGGTTTTATCTCCTTTTGGGAAGAAAAAGGGGTCACCAGAGTACCCTTCTAGGACCTGCTGTTTTCGAGTGCCTTTACCTTAAAATAATATTTATGCCAATGTCATATATTTTGGGTAGCATATTTTGTCACCTTGCACAATATCAATAGAGGTATCATTATGATATTTTACTTTTACTGTCTTCATTATTTTGTAATTATGGCACATCTCTATTTGGACTGGTTTCATTACAAGAGCTCAATACCCATGTGCAGGAGGTGGCTATCGTGTTGGACAGCACAGGTATGAAACTTTTGACTAAGGTTTAAAAGGGGGTGATTTCTGAATTTCTAGTATGTCATTTCATGTTTTAGTTGCCCTCACCTATGTCCCATCCAGCAGGTATTACGAATTGTAAGAAAAACTGAATAGCTATTCCCAAATTCAGACCTCTGTGTGAAACACAGATCCTCATTTTTTATTCTCTAGTTAGATAGTGAGGGCTCTGCATAGATTTCAAGTCCACGGCTATTCTTTTCTTTGGCTCACTAGTCTCAGAAATCTCCATTCTTCCAGAAGTTCATACCTTTTCTCAATAAATTTTTTTCCATCTAAAAGTCAGTGTTTAATATCAACAAAAAAGTCAGAAGAAGTACCAAGCCTGTTCCTTGACAGGAAGTGCCGGGGAATGATTTTTTTCCCCCAGACCCTGGTTGATATTCACCCATTTCAGCTGCTGCTTTTTGTCACAGATGCTCCCAGCCACCTGTTCTCTGAATATATTCTTTTCCCAACTGGCTTCTCCATTTGTTTTGATATTGGGCAAAGCAGATTCCACCTATCACTCATTCTGTGCACTCATTTATTAAGCCCATTCAGTCTGAAAGCTTTTTTCTCATCCAGCCAGCAAAACAAAGTCACAGACATCTTTTTCAAATCTAATTCTAATACCTAAAAAAACTCCTCAGTGGGTCTAGCTAGCAAGTGAGAGGGAAGGGCAAGATAGGGGAGGACTTTAAGATGTCTTGGGTTTTCTATTACTCAGATGACTTGGTGTAGCAGATACTTTTGAGGAGCCTTCATTGCAAGGACCTGAGACTCCCAGTGAACACAGCTTCTTTGGTTCTGCTTTCCCACAGGGCTGGCCGGAAGTGGTGGGGAGTTGGTGTCCCTGGTAGCAGCCCTCAGCTAATGACCCAGGGAGTTGGAGAGTACATACCCCAGCTCCCTCACCCCTCAAGTGGAACAACTCTGTGGAACGTTCTATAGCCTCCCAGAGGTCCCCAGCTAGACTAAGTTCAGGTTGCCTACAGCAGTCACATATTTTATTTTTTTAATTTTATTTTGTAATCTGGGAGCATAGATTCCAATTGCCCCGTATATATGCTGCTAAGCAGTCACTTGTTTATAAACCTTTCTCCTATTACCTTCCTTCTCCTGTCTCATTCTTCCACTCTGCCTATCAAAGCTCCCTGTTTGATCTGTTAAATAAACTGTTTTCACTCAAATCTTTGCCTTAGGGCCTGCTTTTGGGGAACCCATCCTAAGATCTTTGCCCTTTCTAGCATTGCTTAGAAGCCAGCGGTGTTTATGACCCTTGTAACGGTGATGATGTAGTCTTGGGCTGTAGTGCACCCACCGTAACATTCAGAGTCCACAGGCTTTTCTCTCCAAATTCCTTCTGTTCCCAACAGTACCCAGGGATGGGCCTAGTGTTCTTCTTGGTGGACCCAACTCTCTTCTCTATCATCACTCATGCAGCCTCCACTCTGCTGCCATCTCTGTCACCTCTGGCTTGTGCCATCACAACATTTGTGACCTTGCCACTGAACTAGATGCTCTGCCCTGCTCATGCTGCCCTCTTTTATGGATAGAAGGCTGCCTGCTTTCAGGTAGTACAGTGACTTTTAGGCTTTCAGAGAAAGTGACCTTGGTCTCTGTTTCTTAAAGACCAGCTAGTACTGGGCTCTTGTTAGCCATGGCTAACAGGTTCCTTTCAAGTCAATTAAGGCAGGTTCTCTTGGGACTGGGGCAGGGGACACTTTGCCTGGAATCTCTCCTGACATTCAGGCTGTGTTCTATATGTCTCTTTTCTTTCACATGAGGTCCTGGGTCAGCCCAGGCCTGGTCCACCATGCCAGGGGATTACATTGTTCCAGTCTCAATGTCCTGGCGAGCCACACATCCTCATTACCCATTGCTCCAAAAGATTCCCAGGTACAGAAGTGTCATGCTACTCTGGGAAGTCTTGCAGAGTCTGGAGAGGAGCACCATGGCCATGAACACTGACTCTGGAAAGAACCAGATGGCCTGGGCTCGATTCCAACTCTGACTCCTACCAGCAGATGATCCAGGACCTCTCTGTGCCTCAGTTCTTCTCTTTACAAAATAGGACTCATAATATGACTTACTTCATAAGGTTGCTGGCAAGATTAAATGGCTTTACAAATGGAAAATATGCAGTACATTGGGCACACTGCTTATTTAGCGCACATGCACACACGTGTATACATGCACACACACACACCCCACACACACGTCCACTCTCCAATCTCAGATATACTACCACACAACCTAGTTGTCAAAAATAGCCTTAACTGATCAGGTTTCTAGTCTAACCATTTACTCCAAGTGCTACATATTTAGTAAGGCTGCTTTAAAATAATAATAATAATAATAATAATAATAATAAAACCAAGTTTATGAGCAAAGAACAAGACTATCCTAGGGAACACATCTCTAATGTAAATGTTGAATCAGAGGTGGCTCCTGGTTGGAGACCCAGGTTCTTTATTAGTGGGAGTGTTCAGGAAAGGGAGAGATTTGGGGTTCAGGTTCCTTGGCCTGGAACCCCCTCTAGAACCTGAAAAAACCCATCTGCCATTCCTGGGCAGCCCAGGCCTCCCCTTCCTGGTAAACACTCATGGCCTACTATTTAATGAACAGGGTTAATCCACAGAAAAACTCAACTTACTTTATTGAAACCATGATAGGCATGAGGATGGGATCTCTGCCCACAGCCCATGAAGTCCCCACTGTCTTAGGGGAAGGAGTACCATTGGCCTCTGAGAGGAAAAATTCTGCTCATCCTCGGATCTATGGATTTTGACACCCTCATTGGGGGTCCTTTCCCACTTACTACTCTATGACTTCAGACAAACTACACATCTCTCTGTTTCAGCCTAGCCACCTGCAAGATGGAGATGCCAGTACCACACTTATAGGGCTGCTGATACCACCATCACCATAGTCACTGTCAGTGCTGTTGTCCTCTCATTCTTGTTGGCCCACTGTATCTCTGTTGGTGCATCCATCTGCTTCCTTGATGCTGGCTCCTTCCCAGAGTCATACAAGGTCCTGATACTGCTCCCTGGGTATCTTCTCTCTCAGACTGTACCAATATTTTCTATTTTCCTAACCTTCTCTCTTCCATTACATGTAAAAATGAAAACGAAAACAAAACCCCAAGCATTACTGTGGGAAAAGTAAACAAAACAAAGCAAAACAATAAAACCAGCACCAAGCTCGTCCTTACTTTCAGTCGTGAGTGTTCATCACCCATTCCTGGTGGCAGGGAAGTTTGGGTGATGGGAGGCTGGCTTTCTATTCTCTACAGAAAGCTCCACATAAAATTAGGGTGAAATACCACCTTCTTTCTTTTGGAATTTCACTTCCCAAACCAAGGAACTATACAAAAGAATAGAGCATCTACCATAATCACCATAAGTTATATTTTTTAAGTGAATAATTCCAAGCCAGTTAAGTCTTCATTTTTTAAAAAAGTCTTTTTTTTTTTTTCTTTTTTGAGACAGAGACTGACTCTGTTACCCAGGCTGGAGTACAGTGGTATGATCTCTGTTCACTGCAACCTCCACCTCCCAGATTCAAGCGATTCTTGTGCCTCAGCCTCCTGAGTAGCTGGGTTTACAGGTGTGTGCCACCATGCCTGGCTAATTTTTGTGTTTTTAGTAAATGCAGGGTTTTGCCACGTTACTCAGGCTGGTCTCAAACTTCTGGCCTCAAGTGATCTGCCTACCTTGGCCTCCCAAAGTGCTGAGATTCCAGGTGTGAGCCACTGTGCCTTGGCCTTAAAAAATATATATATTTTCCAGCCTAGCAAACTTTTGTTGTTGTTAGTTTTAATATTAGTAATGGGATTTCCTCTGTGAAAGACACTGTGCTCTGTAGACATCTTATTTAATTATCATTCCTATTGGGTAAGGTAGATATTGATGTATTTTAGTTATTTCTTTGAAAATTGGGGTTCAGAGATGATCAGTAACATTCCTAGGGTCACAGAGTTTGTTAGTGGTAGAACTAAGATTTGAATCTAAGTTAATGAGATCCCAAAGCCCATGATCTCTATAACCTGTCTTGTATGTATCTGCAAATTCTGAAGTTTGATTAATATGCATCTTGTTACCTAGGAAGCAGGTATTAATAGACTATTGATACAAATTTAATCATAAATTAAGAGGTCTGAAGGATCTACTCTACACTATCCCTTCATAGTGATTCTGAGTCTTGTAAACCAATCTAAAATGTATTCTCCAAGCTAAGTATATCTTTACTGAATTTTTCTCCCATTGTGAAGCCCCTCACCTTTTCCTTGACCCATGGACCCTCCAGGCTGCCTGCTGAAGGGCCCGCAGGCAGTCACGGATCTTAGTAAACTGCAGGCCTGGGCCCAGGTGGGTGGGTCAGGGCAGGGAGCCAGCCCCAGCTTCTCCATCAGGCACAGGGCTGAAGGCCCAAAATACTTTTAATTCTTTTAAATACAGAAGAAAAACTGGAACTTTTGGTGAAAGTTTTAATGTATAATATTAATAAGTTTCTCATCTTTATACCAAGTAGTTGTAAAATATAATTTTAATTTCTTTTATGGATGAAGGGGCACACAGAGGCAAAAGTGCCTTGGGCCCACAGAAGGTATCCTGTGGCACGTGGCAGCTGCAGCCAAAGTCTGAAGTAAAAACTAGATTCAAACAAATCTAGTTTTATTATTTGAATGCTTAGGGGCATTTAAACTACTCTGCGGCTAGGCCTGGAGAAGTTCAAGAGAACACCATGCGGTGATAGGAAAATAGCACCAAGTTGCCATCTACAAACCCAAAGGAAATTAGACTCATCTCTTGGGGCACGGGTGCGCTCATGTTGGAGCTTCTTCCAAGGTTTCCATCAGCTTGCCTTGGCCAGTCAGCCACACAAACTTTATGTTTAATTACCTCAGGTCAAATGGATGTCCCATGTCAAGATAAGTCTGCAATGAGGAGGTCCAGAAATTTCCAGAAAGGTCAATGTCTATACCTGCACTGTTCAATTCATAACCATCAGCTGTAGGTGGATATTGCATTTACATTTAACTTAATTAAAATGGAATGCAATTAAAAGCCCATTTCCTCACCCATACTAGCCACATTTCAAGTGCTCAGTAGCTATCACTGCAGAAAGTTCCAATGGACAGCGCTGATCTAGACTGTATTAAAAGCTTGTTTCAGATCATTGGCTTTGTGGTTTCCCAGAAGAAAAATCTTAAGTTACAGACCCCTTGGAGAAGAATCCTTGGGCTTCCAGACCTTGTTTTTGGCAGTGTCAAAGCTGCCCTTGCAAAGTTCCATCTGGTGCTGTGAGGACCGAATGTTTAGGGTGAAGGCCAAGTGGAGAACAAAGTAGGCATACATGCTTTAATGGAAATATGAGAATTATTTGCAATTAGTTACATTGTTATTTCTAAGTGAGTGTTTTTCAAGTTCTTGAGATCAAGTTGTTCTAGTAAGCAAATTAAGTATGTCTTCAGAAATCTTATTTGTGCCAATAAACTGATGAGTATACTCTTCATAGTGCAGAGATAAATTTTAGCTTAGACAAGGTCAGATGGTGGCACATGCTAAATTGGTGCACTCTTAATTAATGATGTTTTAGTCTAACTATCATTTTCTCTAACAAACATTTCGTTTTAGCTGTGTTTTCAGAGTTTGAATTGCCTAAGTGACTAATTAAAATATAAGACACATTGGATTTCTCTGTAACAATGTGAACCATTTTCCTTTTTTTTTTTTTCCTTTGCTAGTATTTGTTATCTCACTAATTTATCAGACTGGTGTAAAGAAATGATGAATAGCACCCTAGCCAGGCCCAAAGGCACACATAGAGCATTTGTGTGTTTTTACACTTTTGTGCTTGATATTTTCTTAACATAAATTTAAGAAACTCTGAAAAATCTCCATTTGAATGAAGACAAATTATTAGTAACCTTTATTGCATCAGGAAGTATCTCTTGAAGTTCATTATAGCAGCATAGATTTTTCCAAATTGTATTCTGAGCTACCCTCCCTAGGGATCCATGAACTATGATAATAGGTGTTAAGAGAAAAAAAATTCCATGGCCAACTAGTGTAGTAAAAACTACACATGAACCTAATAAAGGTTCTGATAAATATTTCAGTAAATTAATCTGTGGAAGATAGTTTTATTTAGCACTTCTCTCATTTATTTTTGTTTCAGATGACCCCTCTTTAAAGCTTTTTGTTTGTTTTGGTGAACAGCTATTATCGTTGAACAGTATGTTGGTATTATTTCTGGAAACTTTGGGGAAGTATAATATGGGCCTCAAATAGAAACTAATAAACTCCCCTCCTCTGTTTACTGGCTCCTGTAATTTGGAATGTTTGTTTCGTAAAAGCATTCCTTCTGCAATGTACCCTAGATGATGGACAGATTTGACATACTGTCCCACCTTCCTGTGCCTCCTCCCCCAACTTCTGCCCTCTCAAGCTTCCCAACTTCCCTGAGTAGTGACTCTTTGAGTTGTTCCTTGTGACAAAAGGGACTCATTCTGTCACTTGACTACAGCAGGGGAGAGATGTGTTTGCGGAAGTGTAAGACCAAGATTGCAGACAAGAACATGCCTTCCCAAATTGTCATAGGCAGGGGTTAGGAAAGCTGAAATAGCCATACACTGTGTTCCCTAGATAGTGAAGCTTCCAGGGCAGGGCCGAGATTTACAGCAATATGACCCTATCAATTCATGTCACCTTGATAGTGAAAGCACGTCTCCCATCTTCCCATTTCCATACCAACCCCCTCGCAAAAGCATGTGAAGATGTCGTCCTGTATTTGAGTGCAAGATGTTGCATGCATCTGTCAGTGTTACATTTTGTCTCGCTGAATTTCACCTATCCTTCCTAGCTTCCAGAATCCTTAAATGCAACTCAGGGAAGGACCTCACTAGACAGCCTGTTTTCTAATTCTGCCTCTGCCTCTCATAATCTGCATTTAACATTTCTCTATGCCTCAGTTTTCTCATCTGCGAAATGGGGAAAATAAGACAATCTGTATCATGGGAGTATTGGGAGGACTACGTGAGCTAATTTATGTAAAGCATTGAGGAACATACTTGGCATAGAATAAGTGAACAGTAAGGGCACCCACTATTATTATTTCAAGTTTGACCTTTCATGAATGTATTATTCAACTCTTCCAGCTTTGGACCCTCTAGAAATTTGATCAGGTTTCTACCTCCATCCCCATTCAAATCATTAATAGAAATATTGAAGGGAAGAGAACAGTTTGGTGTGCCACTGGTGAGTCCTTCCTAGGTGATGGAGACCTATTCATTGTACAACACTTTTTTGTGCAAGGCCATTCATGAAGTTAGAAATCATGTCACCATACTCCTTCAAACACCCATGGTTCCATCCTGTTCCCAGAAAGGATTTTTTAAATGTAATATTTGCTAACAAAGACCAACATCAACTCTACAAATTTCTGACCAGTGTTACTTAATGGTGGGGCAGGGTTGGGTATCAGAATCATCTGGGGAGATTCTGGGACTGTTATTTGATTTTTTTTCATTTTGTGTTGTGAGATGTTGTGGAAGTGACTAAGAGTCAGAAAGGATGAGATGAGCAAACACATAGAAATATTCGTGATATGCTGGGGAAACTCAGGCAGGTAATTTGATGTGCGTGTGTTCATGTAACTTAGGTGTTTCTTGTAGGCAGGGATATAAAGGCCAGGTCTAGAGGATATAAGCAGGCTTTTTAGGCTGTTGCTGACCCAAATCTTTTAAGCAAGGAATCCTCTAATCAAATTCTGGAGAAAGATTATGGGAAAGCATTTGAATACTTGCTTGCTTTTTATTTCTCTTTTCTGAAGCATTTTCCTCTGACATGCTTCTTACAGGAGTCCAGCATTCAGCAGCCCCAATGCCGGGTGTATCTGAGGATTAAATGTACATCGGTTGCACATATCAAATGATAATCCTCACAAAAGCCCTCATATGTACTTGTATTTAGGACAATTCTGTGGACAAACAAGTCTGACACTGATTTCCTGTCTTGGCCTTTATACTTAATAGTGGTGTAAATAGATAAGCACATAGGGAATTTCCCTGTTAGTCAAGCACGTTGTGAGGCATCCCACTTCTACTCAGCTGACCTTCGCAGGCAACAATAACCCCACTTCTTCCATGATGGTTCTTTTCTTTTCTTTTCTTTAAATGAGCAGAATGCATTTTATATACATTTAGATGCTTACTAAAGAAGACTAGCTAAATGTGAAAATAAAGAAACATACACACATGCACACACACACAAACATCTGTATATTCAGACATCCAACTGTCCTTGACAGATGTATTTTGAGATGATTATTTGCATTTTAGAAGAATCCTGTTTTTTTTTTCTTGTGAGATAATCTTGCTGTCATTTTCTTCTTAATCACAGCCATCCTGTCATATATAAAAATACTCATTGTAAATGCAGCCCAATTTTCTCATCTATAATATGAGGAGAACCCCCTTTATGATGTGAATGGTTTTGGCCAGTGTACAGTTTGCCTCAGAAATGAGGCACTGAATTAAATGATATGAATAAGATCCCTTTGAATTCTATGATTTCTGTGATGCTATAATGAAATTCATGAAACACACACTTATGCTTTTGAGTAAGCCCCATGTACTGCCATTTTGTGATTAGCAGAATGTTGGGATATGCACAAGAACCCCTCTGCTTTTTTTGTGCCTTATGAAGGATTTCATGTTGTTATAGCTTTGATAAAATTGGTCATAGACTGAGTATGAATTATATCTTATGATAGACTTTTTGGAAATTCATGTGTCACTGTGTAGATGTTGCCTCAAATGAGTTGATCAAAAGCTAAAGAATGTGGGGATTTAAGAAAGTCAAGTGCATGACATTTTGGTGTCCTCTAAAGAATGAAAAAAAAATGGTCCATTGATTTTTTTCATTATAGTAAATGCAGAAATGAAAGTGATAACGCTCTTTGGCATATTACACAGCTTGAGTATACCTGACCTTCAGGAACCTTGAGCCTGCACAGCAAACACTCTCTCTGGAGGCATCAATCCTGACTTGGCCTAAGTCAAGAACTCTTGGGAGAATGGGTCAGTTCCAAGTGCTGTCTCTTTTGAGTCATAGCTGGGGCAAGATGCAAGAGAAGGTCCATCTTTTCATTCAACATTGTTCATTCACTGAATGTCTGATATGTTCTGTGCACTATCTAGATGTTAGGAATGCATTGATGAACAAGGCAAGACCAAATGTTTACTTAGGGAGATGATTGTGTTGGAGGTAGATGGTTTGGGAGAAGACAAGTAAACAGGCAATTTTAAAGTTCAAGGAAGAACAGTGTGATATGGGAGCCCTTAAGAGAGATAGCTAACCAGGTCCTTGTGAGTCTCAAAGCCCAAGAAAAGGTTGTTCTCCCTCCCTGATAGGATCAGCCTCCCAGGTGAAGAAAAGACTTGCCAAAAGATGCCAAGAATTGGAGACAATGGTGATCATAGAGCAATTGGGAGCCTTGTCAGAATTTGCAGATTGACAGCAGCAGGAGGCATGGTTGGAGGCCATTAGGGGCAGCCACAGAGGACTTTGTATGCGTATAAAGGAGTTTGGCTATTACCTGGATAGCAGTGGGGAACTAGTGGGGATGGAGTGGGCTTTAAGAAAGAAAATACTATAATCAGGTTTGGAATCTAGGCTTGTAAGCAGCAGACTAAGTGCTGAGTTATTGAGTTGAGACCAAGAACAAGTGTTGAGTTGAGACCAAGTGTCAAGTTATTGTAGTCATCTAGGAGAGAGGAATCAATTATCTGAGTTTTGTTGGAGATCAGATCAGAAAGGTAGGATCAAGAACTTCTAAAGATTTGGATGAAGACTCAAAGGTAACATTTTACTACTCAATAATGATAAATATTGCATTATTTAGGATAGTTTGAACACTAATGAAGTACAGTACCCAATTAACAGTGGCTAAATGTTAAAGGCCTTTATTAGCTCACATATTGAGACATTTGGGTGTTGGCAGCAGTGCTGCTCAGTGATGTCATGGCTCTGTTTCTCAGTAGTCAGCTTTATTTCTGTCTCAGGGGTATAAGGTGGCTGCCACCCATCTGACAAACATGCCCTCCTCTGGCGACATCCAAAGTCAGACAGAAGGGGTGGGTTTCTCCTCACTTAGCTCTTCTGAGAGTTTAATCTTCCCTTTACTTCTCTTAAGACTTCTTCTGGCATCTGATTGGCTACCATGAAGTCACATATTCATGGCAGAAGGGATGATATTACTGTGACTGCTTTAGACCAATTGTGATACATGCCTTGGGTATAATGCCATTCAAATCCTGAACAAAATCCAAATCCAGTTAACACAGAAAAAAGGGAACCTGGCTGTGACTAGGCAATCCTACTGTTAAACGATTCTATAACTATTCATGACTCTCAACCAGAGAAGTGGGAGTGGCTTAAAATGGGTTTGTTACTAGAAACTAAGGGAGATAATATTTTGCCTTTTCTTTTCTAAAGCAACAAATATCCCCCCTCAAACATCCTTAATTATAACACTAATGCTTGGGTGCTATGCCTTAGTTTTGGTGTGTCTATCTTATATGACCGTGATGTTATAGAGAAGTGCAATTCATTTTCCTGGCACCCAAAGGAAGAAATGAGAAAGCTTCACCCTCCTGAAAAAGACTATACTTCCTATTTTCCAAATTCATCTTATCATTTCAATTGTGTACAGAATTTCCCTGCCTTTTTTCTTTATAATTTTTCTCTGCCAAGATGTAGCATCTCCAGTTTTTTGCAGACCAGTCGTCTCTTGGTGATGAATGAGATACAATCCTAGGTAAAATACGTTATACTTTATCATTTGACTTGGAAAAGCGTTAGTTTCTAACAGGATTGAGTAATGGACACTATTTGTCCCTCCTTTTAAAAAGAGTGCTTTGATAATTTGTTGTATGATTTTTTCAATAATTTCATTCAGCCAATTTATTGGAATTTGGCTAACTCTGAATCTTGGGGAAGGCATGGGCACACAGGTGTGTTAGGAGATGAGCTGATTCAGCACAGTGCTAGGAGGAGCTTAGGAAATGATGAATATTTTTACATTGTTAGCCATTTATTTCCCTTGTTTTCTGAGTAAATTAGCTCAGTGGGTGAGTCAGTGGTTTATACTTTAGTGTCTTCTTCCTTTTTTTCTGGATCTTTCTTCCCTTCTGTGCCTCATGTCATGGGGTTTCTAGTGCTTGGGGAGATTTGTCTTCCCTTCACCTCACCTCATTTCCTCTACTTTCAATCTGATTTTTAAATGCCAGCCTTGCCAGGAAAGGTTTAAAATATGATAGTGTTGTTATTTTCCCTGTGGTTTCTGACTTTTTCTCCTTCACCTTGCATTTCTTCTCCTATCTATCATTGGAACTGAATCTTTTAAAGTTTACTTGTATTCTAATCTCTAGACCTGTGTTGTCCAATTCAGTAGACACTAGCCCATATACAGCTATTGAAATTGTAATTAACAACACGAAGTGAGATTTAAAAATCCAGTTGCTCTGTTGCACTAGGGGCATCTCAATGTTCAAGATGCACAGATAGCTAGTGGTCATCATATTGGACAATGCAGATAGAACATTTCCCTCCTCGCTGAAAGTTCTGTTGAGAAGTGCTACACTAGATGCTTGCCAGTCTTGCCTTTTTTTAATTCTTATGGAATGTTCAGGGTGTACAGAGTACAAGGCAGTGAGATGGGTCTATGTCTCTTTAGATGAGGAATTGAAGAGGTAAGGGGCTGTTTCTGACCCGGCCCACCATAGTTTCCAAGGCTACAGTTCATGGGATTGAATATTGATGCGGAAGAGAAGAAAACCCTGAGCACATGAGAAGGCCCAAGTTAACATTGAGAAAGGCCAGTGCCTTCTTGCAGGTGTTGGAGCCTTAGGCCAAGACCCAGCCATGGAATCCAGATAAATACAGTATTTCCTGAGAGGGGTTTAAAAGCAATCTGCACACCCAGACCTTGGTAAGGAAGTAATGTCATTAGCTTGGGTAGTGCAGAATGAGGAGGGCAGAGTAAATGCTAGGACACATTTTTGGGAAATTCTATTTTGAAATAGAGAAGGAACTTTCCCCAGAGCCAACTATATTGCATAGCCATTGTCCTGCAGTTTCAGGGTTCTGCTCCCACATAGTAGCCAGGCAAGTACGGAGACATGGAGGTTGACTGTGATAGTCAACAAACAGCACTTCCTCCCCCAGGGAAAACAAGTGGATTTCTGTGTTAGGATTAGCAAGACAGGGCTATCAAATACTAGCTTCATGCTGTACGGAGCAGAGGTGATGAAGAATTTACTACTGACTGATTTAGTCTGAGCCTCAGTCCAAAAACGATTCAGGTAATGATTCAAGACTTAATTTTCTTTATACTGCCCAAAGGTAAAATAAATAAGTCAGATTAAAAAACCATGTGCTCAATTCCTGGCTTTGATACTTCACAAGCCTTACCATTGATTAAACTCACTGAGCCTCAGTTTTCTCCTCTGTCACTTGGGATTTAAACTTAAAACTGTTTTAAAAATGGCTAACTATCTAAAGTGCCTAGTGCAGTTTGATGATGGTGTGTTACTTTGCCATTGCTTTTCAAATTAACAGAAAAGCCACTTCCACATATTGATGAGTTTTCTTTTTAGGAGCAGTAAAACATTTCACATATCTGGTACTTTTGGAAAATGCAATAATGAGAGACACACATGTATTTTCTTTAATATTGTGTAGTACTCATATTTATATTTCTATTCTTTCTATTGATAAAAGGCTATTTGAAGATGTATTTAAGCGACAGAAGCAGCAAGATGTATGTGTATCTTGTATCACTTTATTAATGTAATCTGTTCTTGACACTCCCCATTGTAATTTCTACCACCCCCTACACATGTGCATACATATAGGTGACCTTATATTTTACAGAAACATGGAGGTAATCGGAAAAAAAAAAATCCCTTAAATACATTAAGATGGACTGCTTACATTGTTATGGCTTGTTTTGGAAGAAGATGGGGTTTCTTTGTTACAGTGCTAACCATCCCAAAGCCTTGGATTCCCTCCCCTTCATCTTGTGACTTTAATGTTCACTTCTCTTGCAAATCTTCGATCTTCCTAGCTCCCTGGCTGCATCTGCATGGTTAATTAGCATGCTCAAATCCCTGGTTGGGTAAAAAAATAAATAAAAGGGCTTTTCCTCTCACCCACTTCCCTTGCTGCCTCTCTCCTGAATGGTTTTCCTAGGAAGCTTCCCTGTCAAGTCCAAAGGCCAGTTTTTGATCTTCATCTTCCTTGAACTGCACGGTAACATTTGTCAGTACCACTTGTACTACCTGAACTTTTCTCTCCTTTTGGTTTCTAGTTCTTCACTTTATCTTAATTCTTCTATACTTCTTTGACTCTTCTTATTCTTTGCTGGATGTTCCATTTCCATCAAATGTTATGGTTTCCAGAGGATTGTCCTCGGCTCCCTTTAAGGCCTCATAGTACATTCTATCCCAGGATGATCTTATCTGTCCTCATGGCTTCAAATGTCATTTATATGCTAATTACTCTTAAATCATTGGCACTGGATTCTCTCCCCATCTCCTTATCTATACTTCCAAATACAGGACATTTTCTACATGGGTATCCTACAGCAGTATCAACTTTATCATTGCCAAATTTTATGAATGATCTTTTCTCCTAAACCTCTTCTTGTTTCTCCTAATCCTGAAACCAGTCAGTGGTAGCAGAGTTCACCCAGTTTCCTCACTAGGGATCACATTGCAAAGCCTCTCCCCTCTCCCTCAGTCTCCGATCATTTCTTAGTTCTACCTTGGATGTGTATCCCAAATCTGGTCTCCTTTCCTTTTGATGGCACTTGTGGTCTTAGTCTTACCCTCATCCTTTCTGCTGGGGGTTGTTGTATCCTACTCGGGCTCCATCCTGCCAGCTTCTTCCTAATTCAGTTTGTTACCACATTACTGTAAGAGTTATTTTCCTACAAAAGAAACAGCACTTGTTATTTCACTTCTCTGCTTGAAAACTCTGCTGTCTGTGGCCTAGGGAATAAAAATTCATAGGCCTGTGCTTGGCAAATACGTGTTTTTCAGTGCTTTCCAGACAGTGACTTAGAACACACCTGAAGCTGAACAAGTTGGATTTACTGCCCATTGCAGTGAGAGAGAACACACATCCTGGGGAACCATGGGGAGTCTCAGTTAAAAGATTATTAGAAAACACTTCTTATAGAATTTGAGCTAGTGTTAAGTGATTTGGGGGAAAGGAAGCAGGACTTCGCTTTGGATTGGATACTTTAGGAAGTAGCAGCAATTCTGATTATAGATAGTATAGTATGTAGTATACAATAATAGTACGAACTGAAAAGTGTTGTTGTGGGCGTTAATGTATGCTAAGTGCTTAGAACATTTCCTGAGACACAGTAAATAGCAAATAAGTATTATCTATTATTGTTTTTGGTGGTGTTGCCTATTATTATTGTTGCCTTATTTCTAAAGTATCAACAATGAATTCAGTGCCTCACCCTTATTCTACCACCATTTTATAATGGTGGTAGAATAGATGTTTTGTGCTTGTGTATTCCATGTCAATCGAGATGTATTTATGTGTTCATTATTTAACTTAGATTTAGGACAATGATATGAGGTAATTCTTTTCATCTTTAGCTTGTAATTGAGGAAACAAGTGTGGAGTCACTAGCTGGCCTGCTCAGGGTCACATAACGAACAAATTGAGGTCAGATACTTCAGGATCCTCATCCAGTATTTTTCAAACTGGTTATGCCAGTTTAAATGGCAACTTTTTCATATGCATTATTATAAACAAACCATGCTTCCTTGGTTGTGAAGTCTCTTGACACGCATTAGGTAAAATATTGAATGATCTGTCATTTGAGTATATAGGAATATAACTGAGATAACTGGGCCAAATGTTGAATCTCTCAGTGAATCCAATCCAAAGATAAAGGGTTTTGGTGTGTATGTACCTACACAAAGGCATGTACATATACATCTTAATATTCTTCCAGGGAATATAGAATATGGATTTTTTTTTTTTTAATGAGAGCTGGATAGTAACTGTGACTGCATTTTTTTTCTATTCATCACCTATCAGGTTGTTAATGCTGACTGACTATGGTGTGTTGTTACAAAAATTTCAACTATATTTTTGGCTATTTCAAGTATGTGCTTCCACAACTTTGCAGCTAGAAGGCTAAACACGCAGCTCGCAGTAATAATAATATAGGAATGTGGAAAGCGAGGCTGGGTGAAAGAATGCTAAGAATTATGTGGCAGAAATAGTTCTGGCAAGTAGATTTACTTCACGGAGTCCACTTGCTGTGTTGCAATTGGTATCCAATGTAAATTATTGCCGGGAGAAGGGGAACAATTTGAAATCCAACTTGTCTTATACAGTGGAGAATAAATATGCAAATTGTTCTATTCTTTGAAATAGCCAGAAAGAATTGTACCTTAATTCACTTGTAGTGTCACTGTCCATTTTAATACTCACAGAAACACTGGATTCTTTCTACATTTAATTTATTCTTTGCTTTTCTTTAAATTGTTCTTGTAATGGGCGGCCACTGTTGTACAACAAGAAAGAATAATAAATTAAGATTGACTTGTATTGCGTAAGCCAAGGCTGCTGACTCTGGAACTAATATTAGGTAATTTTGCTTGAATTTGGTGCAAGTCAGCCTGTGCTTTTTAAGTATTTTCACTTTCAGAACTCATATAGCAGTGCTTTTTAAATTTTATGTACCATTTTAGTATTAATTGTGGTATGAATTAAAGATTTCTACTTTATTGTCTTTAAGTTGCATGCTGTTGTATCATAATTACAAAACACGGGGATTGTTTTACAAGCCTAGTTTTTTGTTCTATATGTAAAGTTGATTATTATGTATTTGTCAGTAAACATCGTTTTCATTAAAGCTATCTTTGACTAAGAATAATAGCGTAGCCCTTAAAGCAATGCTGTCTACTTATGGAAAGAATAGACTAATAAATGAGGAAATATTTATTAGGCATTCACTGATCTGAAGTGGTGATTAAGTGCTAAAACACAGCATAAGACATGGTCTTTTGAACCACATAAGCTTGTGCTCTACATCAGTGTTTTGTAAATCTCCTCCCTCACTTTCTTCTTCCCTTCATGTCCTGGTGTCTATTATTCAAAAAAGCTAGCTATTACCCAACTGCTCTGCTGCAAGGAGGCGTCGTTTGGGGGTTGTGGGAGGCACTCAATTTGCCAGGTGTCCCTGGAGGGTGTCCCTAGAACTCCAGTGTTCCTTAGAATAAGGAATGTGTAAAGACTATTGCTCCATATGATGAAATAAAATGCCCTTTTGAAAAGCTAATGACAGTTTATGGCAACAAAAGATACACACCAAACAGGGACATAGATATTGAGCCCAACAAGTCTTAGAAAATAAACTATGAGATCTAAGTAATTAAATCTGTTCCTCAAAGAAAGTGTTTGAAACATTGTATGAATATCAAACACTTGAGAAAAACTTGGCTATAAACTCATAACTGTACACACACACACACACACAGAGAGAGAGAGAGAGAGAGTTTTATAATGGGTTTTTCTTATGATTGGTATGTAGCAGTTAAAGAGATTGTATTTGACCAAGATGTTACCCCACATATGATGTATGTATGTCACAGAGATTTCACTAGATGGTGAATTCTCTTTCTGGACATGTCTTTGATCTAACCTGGGAAGGGTCAGTGGTAAGATTGATGGCTCCCACACTACAGAGTGTACCTCCACCAGTGAAAGGACTGTGTCACCCTAGTCATTGCTATATCCCCACTCCCTAGTGTAGTCCTGGTAAATATCTTTTTAATGAATAAATGAATACAGAAGGCTGGGCGATAGCGCTGATCAAGGAACTGGTCTTCAAGGAATGCTGTGAGAATGAGATTTCATTCTTAGACTGAGCATAAATTTGCCTCCCAAGGATGGAATCCTATTTCTCAAGTTCATAGGATTCAAGTATAAAAAAATGTGTATCTCATAGTTATTTATGTAAACACACAGAGATTATTTACATAGGTTTCTATTGAAATGTCTGTGTATGAATCTACCATGAGAAATGGAGTCCTCAAACAGACTGGAATGTTCACTTTCTTATATCAATACCTCCTTTCCCTATAGGCAATCTATGAGACAAGCCAAATAATAATCATGCTTCCAGCTTATAAAGGAATCATGAGACCTCTCAAGTCATCTGGAGGTTCATGTTAGCTTGACCTGCTCACTGTATCCCTGCAGAGAATCTATAGGAGAAACCAAATTATCAAAAGGCTGCTTTGATGAGACTGGAATCAGAATAAGGGGTGTTAGTAATATCAGCTGACTGTTGAATTGCATCAGGTTTTTATAGTTCTGGATATACCCATCAGAATAGGGATATTTGATTTGTCTGGAGGGAGCCCATGTCTTCTTGCAAGTGTATGCATGGACTCTGCTGTGGTCTGCCTTCTAGAAAGAGCTGTTTATTATAATAGTAACAACTTCATAGAATTTTTGTGAAGACCAAATGACATAACCTCTGTAAGGTACTTAGAATTTAGTAAATATTTATTGTTTAAATATCGTGTATTTATTATTCCTTCTCCTTACCTTCCTCCTTTTAGTTTTTTCTTAGTTTACCATTTTACTTGCATCCCCACATTGGATGACTAACTCCTCTTCTAAAAGACACCCACTTGCTCTGTAGGTGTTGACATTGCTTAACTGTTTCTATTCAGTTTAAGAGTCTTTTTGCCTCTTTAAGGAGAGTTTGCATTTCTGTATTCTAATTCATTATTTACATATTTTAAAGTTTAGTTCTCAAATATGAACGTTCCTTATTTCCAAGTTTTTGAGGATTGTGGGGAACCTTGCTTTAGTATCTGGATGGATAGCAATTTTGTTATTTAGTGGAGAGGGCTGGCAGTACACAATGGCTGATGTGTGTCTGGCACATAATAGACGCTCAATAAATATAGGTTGAATTAACTGTGGCAGTTAAAAACCCTTTCCTTTAGAGCAAGCCCTATTTACTTTTCAGGTTGGATAATTTTTTCTTGGAGTGGGGGGTGATGTAGGGTCCCTGATCTCTATCCCTGATCTCTATCCACTAGATGCCTGTAGTGTGCCCCCGCTTCCAGTCGTGACAATCAGAAATATTTCTAGACATTGTCAAATGTCCCCTGGGGAACGTGACCATCCCTGATTGTGAACCACTGCTTTAGAGCAAAACATTGCTCATAAGTGGTGTTCACATCTGCATTTTCTCCTTGGATTTCTCAAAATTTCCCAGAAAAAAATCACAGAAGGCAAGGACATTGTCATTAATATTAATAAATTTCCACTAACCTAAGGGCAGTAGTATTTAATGCTGAATGCCACAAGAATCACAGCCACCAGCAATGTTTCTGTTATTCAGGTTCTTCTCTTACAGCTGTGGGACAGGACATAAATGAAAAAGGCCAGAAGAAGGAATTGAGGAGTGAAGGTAGCTGTGTCCACGTAACACAAGTGTGATATTGATCCCATGCCCCAGGGTTGGCTGTGACTTTGTCTACAGTCCCTGGTATACTGGAAATGGGAGTGGGGGTTGGGTAGATCAGCAATACAGACCTGAGTCACTTCCAGCTTGCTGAGCCTTGGCTTCAGGAACTGCAACCTCAGGTTCATAGCCCTTTGCCTTCATCTCTACTTCACAGCAGGTTGGACTTGCCTGAGTTATTTAGATTCAACTAACCCTGGCCATAACTTCTCCCAGGGAACTTCCCTTCGGCTCCTGATCCCCCAGCGTCCCTGGGGTAGATGTTCTCCCTTCAAGTGCACAAAACCCTAATGAGGTATAGTCACCTGGTGATCTCCATGCTGGTGGAAGAAGGCTGGGATGGGGAAAGGGACATATATAGCTGGGCACACCCCAGTCCTCTGGGGCATCCCACCAGGACCTGGCCATGCTCATGGAAGAAACAGCTGCCCCTTGGCAGGACAGGTGGGCATGGGGTAGTTCCTGTCCCTCCCCATGTTGGCTGTGTGCTTCGACAGGTACTCACACTTATCTGAGTGTTTCTCCCAGATTGTGAAGCTCACTGCTCACTCCTGGGAAATGCATTGAATCCTTTATCCCTTCAGTGTCTGCTTACTGACTGCTTCATTGACTGTCCATTTACACACCAGGAACTAAGCTAAGTGATAAAGGATAGCGCTACACAAATGCTACCAGTTTAACCTGAGCTAAGAAGCTCCTACTGTAATGTAAAACTACTGCAGCACTAAGCACAATGTTTGAGATGGCTTTTTAAAAATGGCAAAACTGTCTTGGTCCATTTTCTGTTGCTGTAATAGAATATCACAGACTATGTAATTTATAAAGAAGAGATATATTTTTCATAGTTCTGGAGGTTGGGAAGTCTAAGGTTGAGGGGCTGCCTCTGGTTATGGCCTTCTTGCTGCATCATAACAGAATCATGGGAAGGATAGAATTATGAGAGAAACAGAATTATGGTAAAAAACAGAATTGTGAGTATGACAGGGAATTGTGGGAAAGAACGGAATTGTGGGAAAAAACAGAATTGTGGGGAGTGATACGGAATTGTGGGAGAGACAGGGAACTGTGAAAAATACAGGGAATTGTGGGAAATATAAGAAATTGTGGGAGACGAGAGAACTATAGGAGAGAAGGCAGAATTGTGGGAGAGACAGGGATTTGTAGAAGAGAACAGAATTGTGGGTGACAGGGAATCATGGGAAAGAACTGAGAATTGTGAGAGAGAACGAAGCATTGTAGGAGATAGATGATTGTAAATAGAAACAAAGAATGGCTGGAGTGATTAAATACTGTTGGGAAGAAAAAGAATTAGCCCCCCCTGGAGTCTATTTCTTGGCAGGGATACATCCCTCACTTTTGATCATGCCATATATCTTACCTCCCTCCATGAATGATTTCTGGCAGCCTACCAAAATACAGGCAACACTGGGTCAAAGAAAGAAATAGTCAAAGAAACTGGGGAAAGGGTAGCTTAATGAAAGGAAAATGATGCAGCTAATAATCATATTAATAATTAAGTATGTAGGCCATAGGATCCTGAACTTTCTCCTTTTGAGAAGAGAGGAAAGTGCCTCTGTTAAAGGTAGGCCAGAGATTTGACTGTAAGATTTTCCCATGTTGATAAGATTAAAAGTAACCAGGTTTTTTGCTGTTTATGTTTGTTTGTTTTTAAGAACACAGGTTTTCTTGATTTTTAGTCCTGAGAGAAATCCCGATTGTTCATAAAGATGATGTTGTGAGCTAAGGGTGCTAATAAGTGTGCTGTGGAGCTACACACAGATCCCCTCAATGTAAACTGTTGTCACAGTCACAAAGCACAATTCATTAAACCAATTTTATGAATCATCAAGACTTCTGTTCAACTGAATATACAAGCTCTCAATGTTCTACCTTAATCCATTTAGATCACTGTTCCTAGTTTGGCAAGCAAGTTTCAACTGGCATATCAGCTCTGATTCCCTTATAGTAGCTGTTCTAATAACTATGTTGGGAAGTTTCATAGCTAAGTTCAGACTCAGAAGGAAATGCTCTGTTATTGAGTAGCAGTATCTATCATGGGTGCAGGAAGGGTTTAGAGAAATGGAGGTCTTATATGTAGATATTCTAGGCAGTCCTCCAAAAACCATTCTCGTTGCAGGGCTTTTGATAAATATTAGACAGTAGAGGGGTCAAGGTCATTGCTGTTGGCCAAAACCTAAGGGGAGAAACTCTGAGATGTTTATTAAGTTATCTGATTTGAATATAAATTGGGCAGGGGTTAGTGTAAAATTCTGTTATAAAAACGAGAGCATCCAACCTAAAAGGTGCATGGCCAATGGCCCCTCCACCTCTCTCTGTGTATAGTTAGAAGTACTTACATATAGAGAGAGCTAAGCACATCTGGGTGACCATCAACTCAAAGCCAGATGGGCGATAGAGGACTGAAAATCTATCCATAGAGCATGGCTGCAAGAATTTTAGCCTAGAAAAATAAGCATGACCTTCCAGGACCATGAGAAAACTCTCAAAACAACACCCAAGCAACAGTGGAAATAAACATCTAAGAATAAATGTCAGAAGACTCAGTACAGTCTTGCTTTTACTATATGGGACTCATAACGTATTTGTCTTCATTCACAGCATGAGACACACAGAGCACATGCATTCAGTTTAAGAAACTGTCTTCAAATTTGTACTTTAGAAATATAAGTTTGGCAAAATTGCATCACCTAGCTTATCTAAGTTAGTTTTTCTTTCCAAGCAGTAGTGATTAACTTTCTCTGAAGTAAAGAAGAGGAAGAGAAGTAGGAGGAGGAGGTAAAGGAGGAGGAGGAGGAGGAGGAAGAGGAAGAAGAAGAAGAAGACGAAGAAGAAGAAGAATGAAAAGTTATCCCATGAATAAATAAGTCAAATTTCTGATGTTTATGGCTATTAGTTAACCTATAAAATTTGATGGGCCTTTCGAATACCCTAGTTTCATAAGAATTTCTCATCTTAAAAAGGACATAAGGAATAAGCGCCAAGACAAAAATACTCCCAAAACCAGAGTTCCTTGTTTCTGATAAATTCTGGAAGTTATTTTTCTCTAGAAATGACAAAAAAAAAAAAAAGTAAAGCACCCCAAGACACTTCTCTATCTCAACAGGGTTATGGAACTTCCTAGTACTCCAGTTTATGATTAGGATTAGTCATTTCAGTAATATTCAACAATCAAGTATCCATAGGTTATGAGAAATGCACAAATGAACCAAACATAGTCCCTGCCCTCTGGGAACTTTTAGTTTTGTAGGACACAAAAGTAAGTCATGCTGACAATAGATGCGTGGAAGAATGTGAATAAAATACCGTGGGAACACAGGAGAAGAAGAGGATAGAAGGTTAGTGGATTTCACAAGTCAATTCTAAAACTCTCCAACAAAAGCAAAAGAAAGGAAAGGTTTCTTAAAGTAGGGGATAATCAAGATAGACCTGGAACAATGGCCAAATTGTTTAAAGGTGAAACATAAAAGCTTACAAAATTCAAGTTAAGGAAATCACGTGAAAACAGACACAAAGGACAGAAGTGGGACACAGTGATTCTGACTCGCAGGGACTTGCTGTTGGTAGAGTGGCTCAGAGGAGGGTCGGGGAGGGAGCTTCAGTGTAGATGCATCTGAAAAGCCAAAGTGGGGTTAGACCTTAGAGGACAGAGAGTTTGGATTCTCTGACACTGGCCCAGAGGGGCTAATGAAGATTTCAATGTGGGAATAACTTCAGTGTAAATGACAAGGAGAAGGACAATGGAAGGTGGGAAGGGCATTCTCTGACTGAGTTTTCAGTGTCCCAGTCCTTACTGATCAAGGGCTGTTGGATGGGCAGTCCATATGGCCTATGAACAACCAGGGGAGGGCCAGTAAGGCTCTGGAGGCAGGATGGAAAGGGGACAGGGAATTCGAAAGAGGAATGAATGAAAGGGGGAAGCAGGAGAATGGGGTCTGAAAATAAAAGTCAGGTGATGTGGACTTCATGCCACTCTTTCTGGCCTTCAGATGTTTCCACTTGGAAAGTGACATGCTGGAGTAAAGGACATGTTAGATTTCTTTCAGGATTTCTAATCATGCACTACTCTGTGGTGTTCCATATTATGAACAAATGTGAGAAAAGAATGCAAGGGGTTTGAGATAGGTGCAAGGTAATCTGAAAAGTAGTTCCTGAACTAACAGATGCCAGAGAGCTGCAAGAAAAAAAGAAAATCTCAAGAAAGAGATGACTTAAAAAGCTCTGAGAAGGAAAACTGCCTTGGGATGTGATTAGAACCAGGTGGTGGTGGAGGTGGCCCAATGTTAGATCCACAGGGTCTTAATCCAGGAGACTCTGGAACAAGCTTTGACTTGGAATAGATGATTGGATCCAAGGACCATGAGGAAAAGGTGAGAGCAGTTCAGTTGCCTCCTTCCACCTTGCCATCCTACAGGTCTCTCAACCTTAACACATCTCCAGCTGACCTCAGCGCACTCCCTTGTGTCCTGCCCCTTCTTCTGTATTTCACCAAAGAGCAGAAGTGTTTCCTCCACTCAGTTGCCCTGGGCTGGAAACCTCCGTGGTCTATAACTGCTTTCTCTTTCTCACTTTCCACAGTCAAGGGGTGGGGAGCCCTGTGGCTTCTGCCTTCTCAAGGTGTCTCAAGTTTGTCCTCACTTCTCCACATACCAAGGCATCACTGTCTCCTCCCTGACTCACTACAGCTGGTTACAGCTGGCATCGTAGCACCAGTCTCTCCCATACCCTTGCACTGTCCTGGTCCAACAAGCAAATCAGATCGTGTCTTTCTTTATTTCAAAACCTGAACTGGCCTGGCATCGGTCTACGGATGAAGTCTATTATCTTTAGCAGAGCTTGTAAAAGTCTTTATCATCTGGCCCCAACCTACTTCTGCAGCTTCTCCCAATCCATCCACTCTGATTGCAGCAGTGGCCACCCCCAAACAATATACAGATGCTCTGCTCCTTGTCTCACACAGGTTCTTCTTTCAGTTCTCTTTTTCCTCCTCTCCCATGTTAGTCTGTCTTGCGAGACCCAGTCTGAACATCACTTCCTCTAGAAACTCTCACCAGTCCTCCAAAAATCAGTGTAGTCATTGCATTTTCTATGTTCCTTTGACATTTCACAGATTTTTACAAATACAGCATAGTATTATACTTACTTAAATAAAATCATACATCCTACTTCTGAAGGACACTTGTACCCCTGGCTAAAAGTGATGACCATATAGTAAACACTCAATGGCTATTTGTTTAAGTTCAAATTCAGCTAACTTGTGAAATATCCCTAGTAAGTGCCAGATACCATGTTGGAGAATGAGGCTCAATATCAACTCTGTAGCCTTGGAGTAAAACCTAAAGTAGTAGATGCTTAAGGATACAATGAGTCACCTTCATCATGGCAGTTTAAATAAGGAGAAGCCTGTCCGGTACTCACTGTATGTAGCTTGTATCCCCAGGCTTTTACTGTCTCCACACAGCAGAGTACTTCTTGCTTTATGGATAAGCTCCCTACCCTTATGGAAGAAACCAAAATGGAAGCAGCTGGAAAGAAGGAAATAGGAAACAGCCCAAGATAGCCCATACCTCAGTCCCAAGATAACCACTTCAGAAAAGTAGGCTGCAGTTTTTGGCTTCTGGCGGGAGAAGGTCACCTGTGGCAAAATAACAGGAGTCTGCTATTTGCGAGGGGTCACCCTGCCCTGGGCTGGTTTCCTTACATGTATCCATATCTTTTGGCAATCTTGCTCTGTCATGATAGTTTATATGCAGATTGGGAATTTTCACTTGACTGTTTTGCCTGTGAAGTCTACCACTCACCAACATTTGCTTTATTTTTTTCAAACTAAACAATTTATTAATTATTAGATGTTGCGTAATTTATTTTATTATTATTATAGTTAGTATTTATTGACTGCTTACTATGTGTCAGGTACTGCTTAAGCATATAGCATACAATATCTCAATACTCACAATCTTAGAGGAATTACTGTTATTAGCATCTTATTAGAGGTAAGGAAATACTAAGTGAGATGTGCAAGGCTAGTCCTGAGCTCACTTGGATGGGGTCATGATGAACAGTTCTGTGCCCAGATGCTAATAACACTTCCTTGAGGTTATCATGACAGCTCTTAGATAGCAAGTCTATTCCTTATACTTGGGTCATGTGTTGCCTACCTTCTGATAAGCTTAAGAAATGTGGCTATTGCTCAAAGAGCTTATTCATTATAAAATCTTAGTTTGAAAAAAGTGTTTAAGAAGACCCCAACTCTCATATCATTAAGAATATTTAAAAATTTATAACCAGTTATTCTTATTTTCCAGGTAGGCTTTTTGGAATAATGCAATACATATAATGCAATAAAGCTACACAAACTCAAATTTTCCATCACAACTTATAATTTAATATTATCACATACAGCCATTGGACACTTATGTGCAAAGACCAAGCATTCAGTATGGTTGCAAGATGGTCATTGCCAGTGATACTGGCAATGAACATGCATTTTGGTTAAAGGTCTTCAAATAGCCCCAATACAATAAACTGGAGGATGTTAGGGAAGGGGAGAGGTTACAGGACCTCTGTGTGGGAGAGATGCAACTTTCTCCACAAACAGCATTTGTTGGAATCAGCCCACTGCCAAGGACTAAGGTACCACAAACATGTCAACTCTATGTAAAGAATTTCAGCATTGTTACTCAATGCTAACAGTTAAATGTTTATTCAGAAAGAATCTTTAAAGGGGATAAAATCTGAATGTACTATTTATATTAAAAATTGAAGTAAGATCTTTTCCCACAAGCCTTAAATAAAGAAATAAGATGAAATTTTGATTTTAGTCACATCAGATAACATAGATGGAGAGTAAAATTAATCAGTTATAATAATGATGACCTTAATTGAGATTTAATTGGAAATAAAAATGATAGGTTTGGTTTATTCTTTTTCATTAGTCTTTTTAATTAGGAGATAAATGTGCTTATTGTAATAGTAAATTCAGAATATGGAGCAATTGATAAATTATAAGTTTATAGTATATTTGATGACTATGAAAGTGTGGGTCTATATGTACTAAACTGATATCTCATTTTAACTAGTATTCCATGGGTGTATTAAATTATAATCACTAGAGAAACATTATTTAGGCCTTTAATTGGTATTTTCTTCCTCTTTATTACTTGGGTGAATAGAAATAACCCAAAATAAGAAGAGTTTAAAAAGGGAAAACAAAAGAGAAGAAATTTGTAAATTGTAAGTTAGGCTGATAGTGGCAATATGAAAGGAAACCAAAAAGATCGATCCTTGGATAGGCCAAAATGCTGTGCTAACTATAGAGGAAAACAGATATTTAGAAAGAGAAAAAACTCAAGTCAAAGTAAAACTTTATTTTGCACAAGCAGTGGAAAAGGTTACAAGCTAAATCTGTATTATGTTCAACATAAGATGGACGTGTCCAAGTTGAGAACTCTTCAAGGTAGACTGTACAGTCCTGAGCTGAGAAGCTGCTACACAGCAGTCAAGACTGAACTTGATCACTGTCATCTAGGCAATTAGAGAGAAAACTCACTTCACCTCCAACTAGGAGGTTTTCCTCGGAATATGACATGATTGATTTATTTATATATTTATTTTTATTGTAAACAATAAAAGTAATGATGCCAACTTACCAAGGTGTCAGTACTAAATATTATCTCTAATATACTAAGTCCCAAGTGGCTATTTCTGATACTGAGAAACTAAGAAGGAATTTGTGTTCTATTACCAAAAAGCCTTAGACAATTAAAGTGGCAACATGAGAGTAAAATAAGGTCTCTCAGTATCAGCACTATTGACATTAGAGGCTTGATAATTCTCTTTTTGCTGGAGACTGTGTGTCCTGTACATTGCAGGATGTTTAGCAGCATCTCTGGCCTCTACACACTAGATGCTAGTTTCCTCCCCATTCCATAGCTGTGACAGTCAGAAACGTCTACAGACATTGCCTAATGTCCCCTGGGAGCAAAATCACTCATGGTTGAAAACCACTGCTTTATAGTAAGCCTGTAATATACAACCCACACCCTCCTTTTGGTCCCAAGATATTATAAGTAAGAAAATAAGCCAGGGACAAGGAGGTGTAGATTTCCTGTCACTGTTCCTTATCAACAGAGAAAGAGCAGCCTCCTCGCCTGCTTCAGCCCAGTGGAGCCATTTAAGGCAGCCCTTCCCGTCACTCATTCACTCACTTGAGGCAAAATCCACCCTGGAAAGATTTTTATTTTACAATCATATATAAAATATAGATGCCTGGTGCATGATTTTGAATTTTGACTTGATGCATGTCTTATGAAATGAATCATTCATGATGAAGACATGATACAATCTGTTGTAGAACAATATGCCATAGAGAACCTCATTAATAGGGTGGCTATTGTAAAATATGAACATTGCAGATCAGATCTTACTCTGCCATTTTACCAGTTAGTTGCAGCCCGCCGCAAGATTAGGGGTAGTGAAGATTGGAAATTTGGAAGCATGGTTGATAGAAAAAATTCTTTGTACATTCTGACTTAAATAGAACTCCTCAATAGGGAAACAGTTCTTATGAGGATTTTTCTTTGACTTTATGCAGAGAAGTAGCCTCAGATGCACATTTAACTTACCTAAATTCAATTCTCTTCAGTGAAGGGTCAGGTAGATAGAGGACAGGGGAGAGGTGAGGATTTACATAGTCCCAGGAATCCTGCTGCCCAGGTTTCCACAGAGTTAGCCTGTGCCCACAGGCAGGGAGGTAGGCGAATTGGAAACATTTCTACAAGCTGCTATAAAGCTCTGGTAAGAAAAGATGAATGACCCTCAAGCTTCCCCCACCACTGACAGAGAGAAGAGAAGCACATTCTCAGGTGACAGGCAAGTGGCTCCAGAGACATACTGACCAGGGAAGCATTAGAGGGAATCCTAAAATTGTCCCTAGATGGCAAAGGTGGTGACAGCCAAAAGTCAGATGTGGAAATCTTCATAAATGTGCTGAAGTGTCCTAGGCAGCAAAGCACTTAAATGATTTGATGATTAAATTCTTTCCATAATCCTTTTTTTTTTTTTTCAGACAGAGTCTCACTTTGTCACCCAGGCTGGAGTGCAGTAGCACAATCAGAGCTCTCTGCAGCCTCTAATCACTGAGCTGAGGCGATCCTCTTTCTTCAGCCTCCTTAGTAGCTGGGACTACAGGCATGTACCACCACAGCTGGCTAAGTTTTTTTTTTTTTTTTTTTTTTACAGAGACAGGGTCTCACTATGTTGCCTAGTCTGGTCTCAAACTCTTGGTCTCAAGCAGTCTTCCCACCTTGGCTTCCCAAAGTGCTGGGATTATAGGTTTGAGTCACCATGCCCAGCTTCCATAATTGTTTTTAGATTAATGTATATAAATTCCTGCACAGGGTTGGCTACTCTAAAAAACTTTGACAGCCGTGTCTCATGGATAATTTCAAGAGAGTCCAAGAGTGACTAGATGCAAACTTAAGACCCTAACCACCACCTTGGCTACATCTTCACTTTATACTTTCACAGGAGATTTTGGTCGTTAATTTTAAAAACTTATGCTGTGCTTCAAAAAAAAAAAAAAAAACAAAACCCCCCAAAAGACTGACCCAGTAGACGTTAGCTAATAATGTGTCACTATGGTTTCTAAATTGACAGAGGCTATTTTTACAGAAATTATTTCCACAATCAGAAGTACTGTACTGATTGCATTTCTTTGTCTCAAAAAGTTTTCCTTATGTTTCTCAAAGCAGTATTTACACTAATTATTCAATTCTTATCTTTCTTTCAGTTTTCTCCAATAGACTGTGAGATCTTTGAGGGCCAGGTTGACATGTCTCTGATACCTACACCCTATGCAGCTCCTAGTGCAGGACCTTGCAGTGACGAGCATTTAGGAAAGGAACAAAGAGTGAATATTCATTATGAGAACACAGGCCAAATGTAACCAGTGATCCTTTCCTATTAATTATTTTCTTTCTCTTATTAAACTCACAAAATTCAATGTCTTTTAAAGCACTGTTTTATTAAAATTAACCAAAAACTGAACTTCATCCAGCTAATTTACTTCCTTGTGATTTGCCAGATTCTCCCACTGCTTAAGTGATTAAGCAATTTGGAAAGTGAGTGTTTACTTCCCAAATGGAATTCCAGTAACCTAAAAAAGGCATGTCCTTAAGAACATGGCACAAGTAACATTGGAAGTTTGAGTGAGAACAGCAGTTGACCCTTTGTTCCATTCAGTTTTCCAGGTAATTATTATGAAGTCACTGGGATTAGCACTACTGTGCCACTGGAAATAGTGGCAGAATCTTCCAATGCAACAGACTTCAAAGATGGGAGATATGATGCTTTCTCAAGACTTCCTGGAGGATCTGGCATTTTTAGATGAGTGTAGATGGTGGATGTTTTCCATAGGCCCAAATGAGAATGTATTCAGAAGAAGGCGTTCAGGGCCCAAGCCATGGCAAAAACAAAGGCCACCAAGTGGGAAAGCAAGTGTGGGGTGTGCTGGACTGGTGGTGAGAGATCTAATTTGGCTGAATGAACACAAATATGGAGGACAGGGATGGGTGATAAAGGCTGGATGATGACTGAAACTCAGTAGTGGAAACTTGACTGTTGGAACAAGGAGAGTAGTTTTACTCAGAAAGCCAGCAAGAAGCCATTGGAACTGTATATGCTGTGGAGGCACATAACAGGAGTTATGCTGTGGAGATAATAATCTGGTGGCTTGCACAAGAAGAAACAATGATAGGGAAGAGACTAGATGTCAGAGACTAATAAAAGGCCACTGCAGGCTTTATCCACCATAGCCCCAAACTGTAAACAACTTAAACATTCATCAGCAGTAAAATACATAAATACATTGTTGCATAGCATTTCATCATATGAGTATAGCACAATGAAAAAGAATGCATCATTGCTCCATGTAACAACTTGGATGAATCTCAGAGACCAATGTTGAGCAAAAGAAATCCGACACAAATAATTCAATATATATGAAGTTCAAAAACAGGCAAAACTAGTCTATAGTGTTCGTCATCATAGTAGTGGTTGCCTCTGGGGAAGTATTGACTGGGAAGAAGCCTAAAGGGCCTTCTGAGGTGCTGGAAATAGTCTGTATACATGAGTGTATTCATATGTAAAAATTCATCGAACTGCATACTTCAGATCAGTACACTTTGCTGCATGTCTATTGTCCTGCAATAAAAAAATAGGAGTAAAAATAATCAAAGAAAGCTATTGCAATCATCTTGTGGAAGGGAAGGGGCCTTCACTAAGGACCAATGAGCATAAGCAGGAGACAAATGTCACACAGCACACATGAGGCAGACCGAGGGTTATGAGGACTTGGCAAGCGTTTGGATGAGGAGTCAGTGGAGGGAGAGGAGTAAGAGAGGGCTCTGAGATGACAAGTGCAGGTAAAGTGTAGAGATGTGTGGGTATGTGTTTGCGTGTAGCTATGGTAACTAAAGGGCTGGGATGATCACAGTATGTTGGGCACCATATATTTGGAATGACCATTTGATTTTCAGGGACATCACAACCTTGACAGAATTACCTCAGCTGTGAGGTCCTAGCATATTCCAGCATGCTCCTGCTCCCTTTGTTCCCAGCTACAGAAATACAAGAACTCACGGGCTGTACTTCCCATTTCACAATCCTCTGGCATCTCATTAACATCCACCTTGTATTCTACACAGATCCACTCTTCACTCTGAGAGAGTTAAATAAATACATTCTCACCAAGGTCATTGCAGAGCTTACATAGAAACCATCCTATATCCTGAAGATCCTGCAGTATGCAGTTTTAGGAAGCTTGTTTTTGTCTTTTCAGGGTCATTATGACCAAAGAATTTTGATGCTTGGTAGCTAATTTTCAAAGGCTACTTGGATTCTGTTACTGCGACCACACAGAGAGATCAGGAGGATGTACTTCCCTTGCCTATCTTTTCATTTCTATGTGTATATCTGGGCTCTGGAGAAGTGGACTTTGGACTTCTCTTCCCTGCTGTGCTCCGGGCTTGTGCATTTGAATTGAATGGTATAATAAGCTCTTGAAGGAGCGGGTGTGCTGGCAGCAGTTTGGAGTTTCCTGATGAAGCGTGCCACAACAGACACTGTAGGGGGGTGGATGACAGAGACCAGGCTTTCACAGAAAGGCAACAGGCTGTCCCAGAGACAATTGGGAACAATGTGCACTCTTCAGAGCAGTGCCCTGTTCCTGGCTTACCAAGGCAGGGAAGGTGGCCCAGGAGCCATATTGGCATTTGCTAAGGAAAAAAAAATGGGGGATGGCTTAATTATATGAACATAAATGTTTTGTTTTAATAAAAATCTTGACCAAATAACTGCCCAGCCAACTCCAGGGAGCCAGCGTGGCATGCGCCAAATGTCGAAAGGGCTTTTCTTCCCCTGGCAGTTCAACATTTGTGTGTAGAAGCTAGAAATATTTTACTTATGGCTGAGATATTCCCTCCCTGGATTTCTTCTAGAGTAAACTTTTTCTGGAAAGGACTACGGAGTAAATATGTCAAGCTTTGCGGGCTATATAATCCTTGTTGCAGCTACTCAACTCTGCTGTTATTGCATGACATATGCCATTGACAATATATAAACAAGTGAATATGGCTGGGTTCCAATACACCTTTATTTACCAAAACAGGTGGCTGTGGAATTTTGCCCAGGGGCTATAGTTTGCCAACCCTTGCTCCAGAGGCCCTTGCATGCTCACAGCCAAGTTCTGTTTGTCTTTGTGGGATTTGTCTACATGTAACTGTCTCTGCGAGACACTTAGTCATTTTCACTGTGCAGACGTTAAAATTTAAACCACTGATAGTGATTAAAAAAAATAAAAAAAAAGTCTTATGGTCTGTTTTCTTGCCTCTTAGGTGAGTGGCACCAAATTACTTAAAAATCTTTGAACTTGTGTTTGCAGTACTTAATAGTAATTCATGTTGTTTATGAAGTGAGAAATTGGTATATAAAAATAAGCTGATTTGATCATTTGGTCGTTTACTAAGCTGCATACACAGTGATGCATCTTAGTGATGCAGACTTCTGCACAGTGATGCAGAAGATGGCACAGGCCATCTTCTTGACTAACCATTGTATACCTAACTCCTAGTCATAGGTGCACAGTAAATGTTTGTTCAATGAATTAAGGAATGGAACACGCAGATACTATAGCCTAATATCTGAGAGTATCTATTTTGGAAACAAATTACTGTGGTACACTTGCAGTGTACAAAACGCGGTGTCCTCTTACATGATACCTTGGATCAGCATTCAGGCAGCGCATCCTTGCATTGTGTCCTGGTGTTGCAGATTTGCTCTGCTCTGTTGACACAGTCTTCCCGATCCCCTTGGTGTGAGAGTTGCTGATTGAATCACAAAGGACATCTGTGCTTGTGCAGGAGCAAAGCTAACAGGTCCCCACAGATTGGATTCTACTCATTTGTGTTCTGAGCACTGCCCTTCTAGCCTATTCTCAGTGAAAATGAAAGGAAACTTTCATGCACGTCCATGTGAAGAGACCACCGAACAGGCTTTGTGTGAGCAATAAAGCTTTTAATCACCTGGGTGCAGGCGGGTTGAGTCTGAAAAGAGAGTCAGCGAAGGGAGATAGGGGTGGAGCCGTTTTATAGGATTTGGGTAGGTAAAGGAAAATTACAGTCAAAGGGGGTTTGTTATCTGGTGGGCAGGAGTGGGGGGTCGCAAGGTGCTCAGTGGGGGAGCTTTTTGAGCCAGGATGAGCCAGGAAAAGGACTTTCACAAGGTAATGTCATCACTTAAGGCAAGGACCGGCCATTTTCACTTCTTTTGTGGTGGAATGTCATCAGTTAAGGTGGGGCAGGGCATATTCACTTCTTTTGTGATTCTTCAGTTACTTCAGGCCATCTGGGCGTATACGTGCAAGTCAAGGGGATGCGATGGCTTGGCTTGGGCTCAGAGGCCTGACAGAAACCATTAAAATAAAATTCAGAAACCATCAGCAACCCAGTTTCTCAACTTGCCTTCAGTAAATAAATATCATTGTCATAAATCAGTAGTTTTTCTTGAGGTATATCCAGCATAAAATAGCATTCATATTCATAGGGAATGTATTCATATGGAGCAAAAAAGGAGCAATTCTTGATGAAGCTTTGTTATCCCCAATCCAATGCAGCCAGGTTAACTTAATTTGAGAAGCTGATCATAATGGGTAACTATTTTCAATTAGGGCAGTACCCTAATATCAGAAATCTTTATCTGCTCAGCAGGCAAGAAAATCAATGATTAAATTTTCCACCCTATTTCTGCTGGTAGGTGGATGTTCCTCTCTAGATTTCTTGATGCTTTATTTATCCTTGAACTTTCTTTCTGTTGCCTTGAATTTTATATGTCTCATACAAACAGCATAAAGTTGGAATTTTAAAAATTTTAATCTGACTTTATCTTATAACTTCAGCTTTTATTTTACTATTTTGTAATGATGGATATTCACATGCATAGATTTAAATCTACCATCTTCTTTTGTGCTTTGTGTTTCTTTCAATGATTCCATGTTCCTTGTCTATTTTTTTGGTTGTTGTCTTATATTTTTTGGCGGGGCAGGGGGAAAGGGCGCAGAGGAAAGCTGGGCTTGCCAAGGCAGGGACTTTTCTGCTTCCATCTATCTTGTGCATCTACTGCCAATGATGACTGGGTATGGGTGTGACACATTTCCAGGGCTATCTGACTTGGCAGGTTTCTCTCCCTTTAGTGGTTACCATAAAAAATCAAACATGAATTGTTAGCTATCAAAATCTAAAGTTAATCAATATTTTTATCCTTCTCCCATGGAATAAGAAAAATATTTAAACTCCATAAAATTACTGTATATGCTGTTATTGTTATCGTGTATTTTAATTTGTCTCACAAGATAAGATGAATTTTGCTTGATACGGTCAGTGTTGGTTTGGAGTTACCCAAATATATTTTGTATTTTCTTTGAACTTCTTTTCTTCATGCATCTTAAGAATTTCTTCTGGCATCTTTCTTCTTTTTTTTTAACCTGGTTTATATATATGCTTTAGAATTTCATTTCAAGTGCCTCTGTTGGTGGTCAACTATTTCTATTTTAATTTGCCTTAAAAATGTATTTATTTTGCTTTTTATTCTTAAAAGGTATTTTTGTTGATTATATTATTCTAGGTTGGCAATTATTTTCTCTTAGCTCATTAAGGGTATAATTCCACTGTCTTGTAACTTCCGTTGTTGCTGAGAAGTCCGCTTTAAGTCTCATAATTCTTTTCAAGATAATATCTTTTTTACTCTGGGTACTTTAAAAATATATACATTTCTAGATATGTATTTCATTTCTAATTTTTGTGTTTTCTTTTCATTTATACTCTTTGTTCTTTGGTAATTTGGACTTCTTGAAGCTGTATAATAATGTATTTTATCAGAGTAAAATATTATCAGATCTTACGTCTTCAAGTATTGCCTCTCTTCAATACTCTTTAGTAAATGTAGGTTAGATACTCTCACTGGAGTCTCTATATCTTTTACCCTCTCTTCTGTATTTACCAACATCTCTGTGCTCCACTCTGGATAATTTATTCTGCTTCATTTTCCAGTTCAATAATTCTTTCTTCAGCTCTGCTTGATTTTCTGTTAAAGGTGTCCATTGGGTTTTTTAATTAGTTTTTATATTTTTATTTATATAATTCCTATTTGCTTCCTTTTCAACTCTGCTCCATTACTTTTTTTTTTTTTTTTTTTTTTTTTTTTTTGGAGATGGAGTCTCGCTCTGTTGCCCAGGCTGGAGTGCAGTGGTGCGATTTTGGCTCACTGCAAGCTCTGCCTCCCAGGTTCATGCCATTCTCCTGCCTCAGCCTCCCGAGTAGCTGGGACTACAGGCGCCTGCCACCACGCCCAGCTAATTTTTTTGTATTTTTAGTAGAGACGGGGTTTCACCATGTTAGCCAGGATGGTCTCAATCTCCTGACCTCGTGATCCACCCACCTCAGCCTCCCAAAGTGCTGGGATTACAGGTGTGAGCCACCGCGCCTGGCCCTCCATTACTTTTTGTACTTTCCTGTTCTTTGTAGATTTAAGGTGATGTTTTTGTTTGTTTCCACTTGTTCAGTTGTTTTCACACAGAAGGCTGTCACAAATAAACTTCTTATTACTGGAAACTGAATGCCCTTGTTTATGCATTCCTTTTTTCTTTCTGGAAGACAGCATCCTAAGGTCCTTGATTTTATCAGCTTAATTACAGACCACTTACAATTATAAATGACTTCTTTTAAGAGACCAAGTGCTTTCTTATGGTGGGATTCCTCTGCAAATTGACACCATTCCCTGCCCTCACTACAGAGTAGAATATTGGGGTCAAGAAACCATCAGTAATAATTGAGTACGCACCCATGCTGCAATGAGAGGACAAAAGGAGGGAGCCCAGTGCCTTGGCAGAGGATGTCAGGGAAGACTATGGGGGAGCGATGGATGGAGAATGAGGGAGATCATCCAGTAGACCATGTCTCAAAAGAAGGAGGAAAAACAAGGTCCTGAAAGTGCTTATATTTCATTAGGGAGGTGGAGAAAAAAGGGACAAAAAAGTGACTGAGAAGTAATAATTAACAATCAGAAAGACACTAGAGTTCATCCTGGGAGCCACGGAGGGACAAGTTTCAAACTTGAGAAGATGAAGACTGCAGCAGGCAGTTTGGTAGTCATTAGTGATCTTTGTGTCATTAGTGATTAGGAGGTAGAAGTCAGGACTCTGGAGTCAGGGGTAGTGACAAAATGTAGGGTTTGTAGATTTAGGGATGGAATCATGGGATAGCACCTTGAGGAGATTGCAGTAGGTGTTGGCAAACTGTGGCCTGCAAGCCAGATCTAGCCCACTACCTGTTTTGCAAAGTGGGGAATAGAAAGGAAAAGGCTGATGGTCACAGTGGAAAAGTGGCTAATTGATGAGGCTAGCTCTCAAGGAGATGAGATCTGGAAAGCTGGTGGAACAATCAACTTTCAAGGGGTTAGGACTTGCTCTGAATCAACAGATAGGAGGAATGAGCAAATGGATAAATCTACCAAAACTTTGAATTTTGAGAGGGAGCTCAAGATCAAAGTTTTAGAGATCATTTTCTTTTTGTAATGTAAATATCCAGAAAGTTGGAAAACTCTAACCCTTTGAAAGGGTAAGTCTTTGTGAGGTTTTTTCCCCATTTCATTCATTTCATTCATCTTAATAACCAACTTCTTTAAATTTCTTGGGGGATGGATAGTTTCATTTTTATTGTATGAATCTGGTACCTGACTTGTGCTTTCCACTATTTTTAATTTCTCTTTTTTCCTCTCAATGGAGCTGACTGCCCCACCCCCATGAATTTTTCTAAAATTTCTCAGTCTTCAAGAGTTAAAATGTAACTTCTCTAAAATTTAATGTTATGTGTGTAATGTAATGTAAATTTGTTAAGCTAGAAAATGGAAATTGTGACCAAGGAATAAAAGTTGTCTATAAACATTGTATCAGTAAGTGATGTTAAAACTGTTCTAGGTTTCAAATTTGGTGAATATTTCTGGAATTCAGGGCAAAACACAAGACATTGAAGCTTATATAGTTCTCATTATCAGAAAACTGAAAGTGTTTGTTCAATCAACTAATTACTGATTACCTTCTATCAATTAGGCATGGAGAAATGTGTAAATCTAAGACACTTTTAAAAAGTCGTTCAGAGTGAAGAGAGAGGAAACAACTGAGTCAGTTTCACTACAGGTAATAAGGGCAGTGATATAAGAGAACTCAGGGTAACTTGGAATCACAAAGATGGTCATTCAAGCCAGTTTGGAGTTATGAAGCGGGCTTCCTGAAGGAAGTGGGCCTAAATTGTCTGAAAGCTGTGGCTTGCAAGCTTTAGGTTTCCCAAGAATCACCTGGAGATCCCAGAGCTGGAACTGACTTACAAAATCGGTTTTGGGAGTGAGACTGAGGATTCTGTGCAGGTGGTCTGGTGGTCGTGGACCCTATACTGAGCAACTGGGCTTTAAAGGATGCATAAAAATTATTCAGTGGTAATTGAGATAATATCCCATTGAGATGCTCAGAACATAGAAATCTCAATTTCAAATGAGTCTGTAGTTGCTTTGGGAAAATCTGAGGTTATGAACATTGAGTGCTTATGGTTTATGTATGTTTTTATGACTTTTTTTTAACTTGGTAATAGACCTGTTAGACCTCTGTGTCTCTTTCTCCCTCCTGAATGTGTCACTAGTCCACTTAAGAGACAAGTGACTAGAGGACAGCTTGATGAAAGAGGGACTCTAATTAGTGACACAGCTAACACTGTGAAAGTGGAGGCATCTGCTACAGTTGCTAAATATAATTGCTAGAGAAAAGTTTATAAATATTCATTTAAATGTATTTCTCAAAGGCTCATGTTTGGAACCACAGCTGCTGGGTTGCCTAAAGAAACATAAATGTGCCACAATTAATGCATTCTTAAAGAAAGAAAAAAATGCTTTATCTTTAATGTGCAGGCATTTGAGTAAACACCATGGATCAGCAATTTCCGTAGCTACCATTTTGCATGTCATATTTATTAGATGGTGTTACTACTTATACTTTAGAAATTCGGTAGTTTCTCTGATTATGGCTTTCTAGATTTAACAGTTATAAATTTAACTTGTGCCGAGTGACTAATATACTATTTAATGTCTTGTGTGATTAAGTTTTGAGTTTCCTTGCCAGAAAATTTGGCTAAAGACTATTAAAATGAATTTCATTTTCCTTTCAAACAGAAATCTGGAAACCCCATTTCAAAATTCCAAATTTTTCTTTTCATAAAAATAGTATTGGGTTAATCTTCCATTTTGTTCTCTTGAGATTAGTGTAGTAATAATTATTCACTGACCACTTGTACTGCAGTATGTGTCCAAATGTGAATGAAAGGACACATTCCTGTGTCAGTCTCATGTAATCTCATATATTGAATTTGGTGGGTTTGCAGGAAGAGACATAGCAAAGAACAGAGGCAGCCTGGGAAAGCCCCCTGGTGATGTTGGCGGGTATGTAGGTGCCTGAGAATAAGAAGGAGAAACGTGGATAAAAAAATATGCAGATTTTCAAGGATAAAGTAGGCAAGACACATCAATGACCTCATTACCAGAGGCTAGAACAAGGCACAGAGCAGACTGCAAAATGAACAGATGAGAATGAGAACTATGCAGCAACAAACAAAATGTTGTCATGGGAGCTTGATACTCATGCAAGATTTGGCCAAAGATTTGTGCCTGTGGAGGACCTAAATCTAAAGGAGTGGTTCTCAACTGGGGTTGATTTCTGTCCCTCAGGGAATATTTGGCAATGTCTAAAGACATTTTTGGTTGTGGTTCTCAACAGGGGGTAGGGGTTATGGAACTGGCATCTAGTGGGCAAAGGCCAGGCATGCTACTAAATGTCTTACATTGCACTGCACAGTCCCATAATAAAGAATTATCTAGCCCAAAATATCAGTTATGCTGATGGTGAGAAACCCCTCTCTTTAGCCAAGAGGCTAACCTGAGACAAAGATATTATTCAATGTAAGCATAGACCTCAAATGATACCTCTCAGGTGTTATTTACTAAACTGGGTGAATTGTTATAATGTGTGTCCATTTCCAGATTTTTATTTATTTATTTTTTTTGAGACAGTCTCGTTCTGTTGCCCAGGCTGGAGTTCAGTGGCACGATCTCAGCTCACCACAAACTCCACCTCCTGGGTTCAAGCTATTCTCCTGCCTCAGCCTCCCGAGTAGCTGGGATTACAGGTGCATGCCACCACGCACAGCTAATTTTTGTGTTTTTTTTTTTAGTAGAGACGAGGTTTCACCATGTTGGCCAGGCTGGTCTTGAACTCCTGATCTCAGGTGATCCACCCGCCTCGGCCTCCCAAAGTGCCGGGATTACAGGCGTGAGCTGCCGTGCCCAGCCCATTTCCAGATTTTTTAAAAAGCAACAGCTTAGGTGGTAATTAAAAATATTCTCAACCATTGTGTGTTTGAAGATATAACCATCATAGCTTTTATTAAATTCAACTGAAAACTTGCTGATATTATTTATTTTGTATCGAACATGACCAGTTTTGTTGATACTTTTCACATTTCCCTTTTCTTATTATTTTGCATTCACTTCTGAAATGTATTCCATCACAAGGGTATCCAGGTAAATCCACTACTAGGTGTGCTTTCTTTTAGCATTACAAAGAGTACCATTAAAAAAACAAAACAAAACCCAGAGTTGTTTTACTTTTTTTTTTTTTAAAGCTCAGAGTTCTATGGTGTTCTTGTCTTTTACATTACAAAGGTTGGTTTAAAGCCAGGCACATAGCAGTTAGGATGCACTGATCACACTTTCTGGTTTAGAAGCAAAAATCTTTTACAGTTATGGTGATCATTATTGAAAATGGCATGTACAATTTAGCATTTTTAGTGTTAGTAAAATCGTTAAAATTTATATCCAGTGAAAAATGTTTAGTTCAGAATTAATGAACTTCCTATTGCCATTTTAAGATCTGAATGCTGAAGCCATTTGAATTTTAAGGTCTCTCACGGCTGCATAAATTGGATTTCAAGTAAATGGCAAAGACATGTATGCAGTCTTGTCAGCATTAAGAAACAGATTTCCTTTATTCTGTTTTGCTCTGATAAGAACGTAGAGGAAAGGATAGTCTCTTCAATAAATGGTCCTGGGGAAACTGGATATTCATATGCAGAAGAGTGAAACTAGACTGTCTATCTCTCACCATATACAAAATCAAATCAAAATGAATTAAAGACTTAAATTTAAGACCTAAAACTATAAAACTACTAGAAGAAAACATTCAGGAAATGCCTCCAAACATTGGACTGGGCAAAGATTTTTTGAATAAGGCCTCAAAAGCGCAGACAGCCAACATAAAAATTGACAAATGGGATTACATCAAGCTAAAAAGCTTCTGCACAACAAAGGAAGCAATCAACAAAGTAAAGAGACAGCCCACGGAATGGGAGAAAATATTTGCAAATTATTCATCCAGCAAGGGATTAACAACTAGAATATACAAGGAAGTCAAACAACTAAATAGCAAAAAAAAAAAAAAAAAACAAAAAAAACAAAAACCCAAGTAATCTGATTAAAAACTGAATAAAAATCTGAATAGACATTTCTCAAAAGAAGACATACAACTGGCCAACAAGTATATGAAAAAATGCTCAGCATCACTTATTATCAAGGAAATGCAAATCAAAAATACGATGAGATATCATCTCACCCCAGTTAGAATGGCTATTATCAAAAGACGGAAAATAACAAATGCTGGAGAGAATGTGGAGAAAGGGGAACACTAATATGCTGTTGGTGGGAATGTACGGTCACTGTGGAAAACAGGATGGAGGTTCCTCAATAAGATAAAAATAGAACTACCATATGATCCAACAATCCCACTGCTGGGTATTTATTTAAAAGAAAGGAAATCAGCATATCAAGGAGATATCTGCACTCTCATGTTTATTGCAGCACTACTTACAATAGTCAAGATATGGATCAACCTAAGTGCCCATCAGTGGATGAATGGATAAAGTAAATATAGTATATATACTCAATGGAGTATTATTCAGCCATATAAAAAGAATGAAATCTTGTCATTTGCAGCAATGCAAATGGAATTGTAGGACATTATGTTAAGTGAAATAAGCTAGACACAGAAAGACAAATAATACATTTTCTCATTCATATGTGGGAGCTGACCAGCTGAGGCAGCTCACATCTATAATCCCAGCACTTTGGGAGGCTAAGATGGGAGAATCGCTTGAATTCAGAAGCTCAAGACCAGCCTAGGCAACACAGTGAGACACTGTCTCTACAAAAAATGAAAAATTAGCCGAGTGTGGTGGTGCATGCCTGTGGTCCTAGCTACTTGGGAGGCTGAGATCGGAGGATTGCTTCACTCGGGAAGTCAAGGCTACAGTAAGCCATGATCCTTCTACTACACTCCAGCCTGGGTGACAGAGCAAGACTCTGTCTCAAAACAAACAAACAAGCAAACAAACAAAACATATGTGGAAGCTAAGAAAATTGACCTCATGGAGGTAGAGAGTAGAATGGTGGTTACCAGAGGCTGGGAAGGGTAGGAGATGGAGATGAAGACGAGTTAGTTAGTGGATACAAAAATACAGTTAGGTAGAATGAATAAGTTCCAGTGTTTGATAGTGCAATAGGGTGTCTATAGTTAACAATAATTTATTGTATATTTGCAAATAGCTAAAAGAAAAGATTTGGAATGTTCCCAACACAGAGAAATGATAAATGTTGCAGGCAAAAAATATTTTAATTACCCAGATTCGATCATTATAAATGCACAGCTTTATGTATCCATAAAAATTAAAAAGAAAAAATAATTAAAAAAAAAACATAGGGGAAAGCACCGGGAATTTTTAGATGAAATGACGACAATTTCAAAGGTATAAGTTTTTTGTCACTTTTGATTGTCTTTTTTGGAAAAATCAGAGTTGTTTGGGATGAGAACACAATTCTGTTCAGTTAGCTTTCCAAATATTGATGTAAGTTTCCCCAAAGCCTACACTGTGTCCCTTGTCCCTTCATTGACACATTGTCTATGGTTGCTTTCAGGCTGCAAAGACAGAGTTGAATAGTTGCCACAGAGACCCGATGGCCTGAAAAGCTGAAAGTATTTACTGCCTGAGCCTTTATAGATAAAGACTGCCAACCCTTGGTCTAGATTAGTAATGCCACCGTGGAAAAGAGTTGTTCTTCCCTGTCTTGCATGCAGGCAGTATTTTTCAGAATGCATTATAGTACTTGTTCTCATACGCAGCTGCATTTTGCAATTATCTGGAAAGTTTTAGAAAGTCCTAATGCCTGGACCCACCCCCAGGGATTCTGATGTAATTAGTATAGAGGAGGCCCTGGACACCAGGATGTTTAAAAACGACCCAGGTGGTTCCCATGTGTAGCCAACTTTGAGAACCATTGCCTTATGTTGCTACACACTCCGGTAAGGGAAGATAGTTTCTCCCCACAGGCTGGATCTGCCCCCAAGTAGCATCGCGAGTATCATTCTTACCTGCAAGTTCCAGTGACATAATGCTTGAGGCAGGCTGTCCCCAGACTTAGTGGAAAGAGGACAGGCTTGGGAATAGCAGCCCATCTTCAAACCTTAAGTTTCTTTAAACTTCCTCAGGAATGTAGCAAGAAATGAGACTACCACTGTAAAATGCATTGAGTCTCCAGACTTAGATGAATGTAAAACCCAAGGGCTTCTATTGTCTATGGTTTCAGTGCTTTCCTTGGCTCTCTGGTGCCTATTTTTATCACTGAACAATAAAAATAAAATCTATTGGCAATGTTTCTCTTAGTTATCTTCCATTCAAATGTCAAGGGAAGATGATCTGAAGTTCTGGAAGTATGGCCATGGTCGATTTCTTTTTCTGCATGGTTTAGGAACTAAGGATTATTTCAGTAATAATCCTATTTCTGAAAACCTGCCACATCATGTTACTTTGCAGCTCTGTGCGTGGCTGTCATTGTAAACACTGTTTAGAGAACCTTTATCAGCATTTATAAAGCATTTAGTATAATTTGCTGTGAAACCACTGGTGTTTTTTTAGCTTAATAGAGTCAGCACATATGGAGTATTTGGAAGATAGCAGTTTACATCCTATAAAATGACTTTTGAGTCTAAAGCACTTTTATCTCAGCCATTTAAAATGATTGATTAGTTAATTTACACTGCCAGGTACTGTTCTCATTTTACAAATGAGGGAAATGAGGCAAAAAGAGGACAGGGGACTTCTTCAAGGCCACGCAGCAAGGTAGGGGCAATTGAAAACTGGAACTCCCCAGGCTGAGCTCTCCTATCTAATATTTCCCTCTGGTGCAGGAGAGTAAAAATGCAAGTCTCTAAACCCCAGCAGTCTACATCCTGAATGCAAAGCACCCCCAGCAGATGCTTATAGTAAAACACATGACCGAATCGCTGCTCCTTGCTTGAGGAAAACTTCTGCAAACTTTATTATTATATTTTGCTTGAAATGGTGTAAACACAAATAGATCCATTGAGAAACAGACATTTTGCTTTTTAAAATTAAACTGGGACTCCAGGTAGGTAGCATCATCCATAGAACAGTTAGGAGTTCATTTCACCAGTGTTCTAAAGGGGCAGGTGATAATCAGCATATGCTTTCTTAATGGCATGGTTTAGCATGTGGTTATGTTGTTTATTTAATTCAGAAGTCTTTTAAAAGCGATACTGTAAAATGTGACTAGCCAGAAGACAAGGAAAACAGGAATGTTCCCAACTTAATCAACTGTACCTGGAAAGAATAACTAAAAACTGAAAAAAAAATCCTTATTAGGAGTTTATTAAAATTTTTAATTTGCAGCCTAAGTACCAACAGAGAAACTTTGTCCTGTACAGTGTAATCAGATTTAATATTCATGACACTGACCCCAAGGCAAAGCTAGACTCAGTTATCAAACAAGATTCACTTTTCTCTATATACTTTCTAAGGCAGCAGAATACATTTTTTAAATTGTAGAAAATATTCCATAATCATGGCTAAGCCAGATCTACTCATCAAAAATTTCAGCTAATTGAGTTTATTGCTTTGACACTTTAAATATAAGGAGACTTGGCTTGAGATAACAAATGTATCCAGCAATGTATGTCCTGGAGAACAAATTTTTGTAAAATTATACCTTTTGCTCACTTATTGGGTGGCTAAGAGTTTTCATAGCAGAGTCATACCTGATAAAGAAGTGGATTGTCTCATTTATAAATTATAAACCTAGTGGGTAGACGTATACAGATGGTCCCCAACTTATGATATTTTGACTTAGGATTTTTTGACTTTACTGTGGTGGGAAAGTGATATGCATTCAATTACCCACACAATCATTTTATTTTTTACTTTCAGTACAATATTCAATAAATTACATGAGATATTCAACACCTTACTATAAAATAGGCTTTATGTTAGATGATGTTGCCCAACTGTAGGCTAATGTAAGTGTTGTGAGCACATTTAAAGTAGGCTAAGCTAAGCTATGATGTTCAGTAGGTTAGATGTACCGAATGCATTTTCGACTTAAGATATTTACAACTTACAATGCGTTTATTGGGATCTAACCTCATTGTAAGTCTAAGAGTGTCTGTACATTTATGTTAATTAAGATTTTATCATTACCTGATCTCTGTCCTCATGAAGCTTACAAGTTGGGGGAGTTTAGTGACAAGCAGGAACCAACTAAGTAAGTCCAGGTGTGGTTAATGCTATAAAGAAGCATCAGACAGACCTTAGGAAGCAGCATATCTGCTGGGCTCACTCTTCACACTTGTATAAATTCAATCAGTGAGGAAACTGTGAACTCAGATGGATTGACACCATCTGTTACTCAAGGCACAGCACGTTCACATCAGTTCCCTTTGCCCCCTAAGTTCTGCAGGGTGATGTGGAAGGGGGCCTGGGTAGATGCTGTGCAGTCAGTGGGTTTGTGTCAGAGCTGAGAAACACTGAGTTGAGAAAACTCCCAGTTGTATATGGGGTCTGCTAGCAAACTTGCCCATCTTCCCCTCCAGAGAGAGATCTCATTATTAACTTGGAATATAAGCAGATCTTCTCTGGGGATTGGAAGGAGAATGAAAAGGGAGGAATCTCTGCCTTCTCTATCCTGGTCAGGAAACAAATCTGTGACCCAGGACTATACTATCTCTAGCTTCCAAGGCCATTTGCTATTGAAACATCCTTGTACAAAGCTATCAGTACTCTTCACTCAGAGAACATGCAGAAACATCTGAATTATCTCCCAACAAGGAAATAAGTGATGTGATACAAGGTAATTGAAGGATGTCAGGGGAATGAGAAGCTGACCCCAGAGTGGATATATGGAGAGGGGCAACTGGTCCTAGGAAGAACTGGGAAAGGGTGTTTCCAGAGGCAACAACATGAGGTGGATGATGTGCTTGGTGTGTTCAAGGGATGCCAAGAAGAGCAGCATGGCAGGAGCTGCATGGGCAAGCAGAAAGGTAGCTGGGGCAAATTTGGGAGGGTACAGGAGCCAGGTCATTCAGGGCCTTGTAGGTCGTAGTTTGAGTTGGGAGTTCATCAGAAGAGTGATGGGAAACCTGTGCTGCTCTGTAAGGCATGAGTGACCTGTATTTTCAAATTACAGCTCCAAACCATGTAGTGGGTAAGTCAGTCAATTTTGCTGGTCATACGTAGCATTTCATTTTTAAATAATGAGATAGAATAAGACAGAAGATATCAGTGCCTTTTATGTAGTGGAATGCCTTATATAAATATTGTTTCATGAAACTTTCATTTATTATCAAATTTCAATATTAACTTTTATTAATTAACATTAGTTATATATTATATAATTAATTAGAATTGATGTTAATTAATATTGACATTTTTCCCATGTTGACATCTCTTCTAAAGTCAAGATGGGTCTCACAATCAATAGTATCTAAAGTTTGATGAACTATGCTATGAACGTTTTATATGTGCATGTGTGAAGTGTATTGCTATGTGGTATTTATTTCTGAGTATGGGTCACAGTCACTATTTTACCTTCAAAGGCCTAGTTATGGTAGCAAGGTTGGGGCAGCCTGGGGAAAGTGGAATACCACCTAGAATTGGATGCCCCCATTCTGGGTGGGGTAATTGAGAGAAGATATAAGTAGCCTTGGGCTCTGGAAGCAAATAGAGTTGTTTCACTGGCCAACTATACCAGACAAGTGTGATCAAGCCATCAGAGTCAGACATTGACAATCAGATGTAATGGGGCTGGAAGAATACCCTGTGAACAGAGGGAATCCAGGATCTGACAAGGCTTTTGGGCTCTTCATAGCAGCATGCCTGATTGGTTAAACCAGCAGGAGTGAAGCCTCAGCCTTTAGTGGCATATGGTGCCAGGATGGTTACTAAGATGAGGTCTTTGGCATAAAGAACCAGGCTCAAGTCCCCTCACAAAGGATGGAGCAGCCAGGCTGTGGCACTAGGGAGCCAGCCTCAGGATGAAGAAACTGCTCTTTACTGGGGTCACCTCCTTAACCACTTCTCAACCAGGCCCAACATGTTGTTTGCCTACTGCTTCCTCTTTTTGTTGAACTCTTAGTTACCTCTATAGAGGAGCCATTTTTTAAAGATATGCTCAGGAAGAGAGCCCACCTGACTCTGCTTTGGGTGTCTAAGGTGAGGGGACTGGGTCTCTGGGACCAAATGGAAGTCAAGCTAAGGCCTTTCTAGCAAAGAGGGCAACTGGAGTCCCTGAGTGTTGGGTTGGGTTTACGTGAATCCTATGTGTATAAATCTGAGTATAATCCCTCTTAGAGCAGGTCTGAGCCTTTGGGTTAGAGCAGGATCGGTTGCTATAAGTAAGAGGAGGATGCTGTGTTTGAATCCTGGTGTGGCTTACACCATCTCACCTCTTGAGAGGATGAAATGACTGATGAGTGTATAAACCACCATGAGGAGGTTGTGTCAACAAATATAAGGAAGACATAAGAATCTGTGTGCCATGGCTTTGAAATAAAGCACTGTACTTCTTTCCCTCTCCAAGGTCTCTCTGATGAAACCCTATCTTCTTTACTCCATCGCAGACAGAAAGAGGGAACAAACACTATCTTTTAAGTATTGAACCTAGGCTGCAACTCCAGTCTAGCTAACTTCATCTTTTTAGCTTGATAATGATGTGTAGTTCAAGTTATGTAACCTTTTTCCAAGGAACTGAATTTAGTCATAACATCATTTGCCAACACGCACTCTAAAATATGCTCTTATTGTCAGTAGATTATGACTAAAATTAATCAAATCACTGAAGTCTGTCCATGACCAGTAAATTATCATGTAATAGTTAGTTCTTTACCTAATTCTTTGTTCAAACCATAGCTTCTGCCCTTCTTTGTGGGCTTTACAATATCAAAAGGCATTTCTTGAGCTTGACAAATTGACACATTTGGCTTGTTTATTAATTGTTTTCAAGGATAACAAAATTTTTAACATTATTTTAATGCATTATGGACAGTTTCTGCCAGTCAACTGAAGTGCAATTTGAAAATAAACATGCTACAGATAATTTTTTCTGATTTTCTTGTTATTTTGGCTTATCTATAACAAATTTCATGCCTTATGTTCTCAAATATCAAGTGCCTAGATTCTTTCACTTAGATTTTAATTGACATGAAACTACATTCATAAATATGTATGTTGATACATCCAAATGAATTACCTTTTCTTTAGTCAATATATTTAGGAAGTAATTACTATTACTAATATATTTTCTAATTAGGTAAGATAATGGGTGTGGATTTTTAAAAATGTATAATAGACTTCTACTGAGCAAAAGCTGGTATTTCATGGTCTTTTAATATCTGTGTACAAGAACAGTTCTACCAATTCAATAAAATTCTGTGAAGACAAAAAACAATTTTGTTTGATGCTTTGTCAAAGCTATAAACTCTTAGTGTAATCTCCATTGGGTTTATTTTTATTTCTGTGATGTTTCCCTCACCCAAAATACAAATTAAAATGTGCCAAAGAGGAAAGTATTTTAAATGAACCCAACCTGTTTTCCTTTATTCTTGAAAAATATTATTTGTTATACAATAATATATGAAACTTTCCTATACTATTTTTAATTTTTTTGTATTAGACTCATGTGTAATACATCTTTTAAAAAGTAATGTTGAATGAATACTGAAAACGTAGAGTCTAAATTTTCCAACTCTTTGGGATTGGAATGTATCTAAGCTGAATAACTCAATTTCACTTTGAGGCAGTTTTAACATTGAAGGGAATGCTGACAAGCCTGTGGCACAGAAAGCCAAAAAAATTTGCCATCTGGCCTTTCACAGAAAATGTAATCCAACTGCATTATTCAAATTATTTGGTGTTTGTTGTATTCATGGAAAGTAGTCTTTAAGATTGAAAGTTTGGCATTACTGCACTGAAATGGGGCACTTGAAGTTATTGCATTTTCAGGATATACTGTCTCTGTCACAATGACTGAACTCTGCCGTATAGCATGAAAGCAGCCAAGGACAATATGGAAACAAATGAGTGTGGCTGTGTGCCAATAAAACTTTATTTATAAAAACAGGATCAGGCTGGATTTGGCTCACCAGTAACTTGCCAACCCCTTCAAACCTTTGTTATTCAAAGAATAATCTATGTGCTAGAAATATCAGCATTCCCTGAAGCTCTAAAATGCAGACCCTCAGGCCCCACCTCAGACATACTGAAGTAGAATCTACATTTTAACAGGATTCCCAGGAGATTCATATGAGCCTTAAAGTTAGAGGATCATTGCCCTAAACTACTCTTCAAGGTGAAGTAACGGGTTACTCCTAGGAAGATGTGTGAAATGAATAAGTATGTTGACTGGGGCTTAAGACTAGGTTTAGCAGGTGAAGAGCACGCTGTTTCACTGTGGACTTCTAAATGCTAGAATATGGAGACCTTTATCTGGCCCACCAATAATTTTCACTTCCTACTCTAGGTCTTCTCAGATGGTCTGTTTCATTTCTTTAGAGGAGAATGTCCTCATTTCTTGCCCTGGAAATTACTGGCTATGGGCACTTCTACATGAGGGAATGGGTGGGATAAGTTATTTAATATACAGGTGTGTAAGTATTCCTCCTATTTTTTTTATCCATGCTAATGCTACTCAGTTTTGTATTTGGCATTTTTAAGTCTCAAGCTTGTTGACATTCTTCAAATCAGATCAACTGCCCCATCTATTTTAGATCCCTCTGGTGATATTTAAGCTTCCTGGACTGTGCAGAGAGACTCAATGATGGGCCACTGAGGAGTTGGACCACAACAGAGTTTCTTGGCCTCAGCATTATTGGCATTTGGGGCTAGATAATTCTTTGTTGTTAGGTGCAGTCCTGTGCATTGTAAGGTATGTAACAGGATTTCTGGCTTCTCCTCATTCAATGCCAATAGAATCCCCCACCCCCAGTTGTGATGGCCACACATGTCTCCACATATTGCCAAATGTACACAGGGGGATAAAACTGCCCCTGGCTGAGAGCCACCAAGTCCTAGGGGTGCTGAGAAATCTGTGCCTCTCAGGTGTTGTCAGGGCAGCTACAGGCCCAGGACATGGGCGACCAGCCTCAAGCATTCCCTCTGTTCTTTCAGTGAGGCATAATAATATTAATTTTTGCTGGATGCAGTGGCTCACACCTTTAATCTCAGTGCTTTGGGAGGCCAAGGTTTTCTTGAGCCCAGGAGTTTGAGACCAGCCTGGGCAACATAGTGAGACCTCATCTCTACAAAAAAATTAAAAATTAGCCAGGCTTGGTGGTGTGCGCCTGTAGTAGCTACTCAGGAGGCTGAGGCAGGAGGATCCCTTGAGCCCAGGAGTTTGAGGCTACAGTGAATTACGATCGCACCACTGCACTCCAGCCTGAAAGACAGAGTAAGACCCTGCATCAAAAAAAAATTAATTTCCATCTGAGTCACAAAATGAGAAATTTAGGAAACAAAGTCAAAGTCACAACTTCTCCAGGACCTGCAGCTCCATCAGCTCTTCATCATCCCATTACTCCCTCTCTGAGCTGCTGACACATCCTCTATCTGTTCTCTCTGTCCATTATCAGTTCTGATTCCATTTTCTTCTTTATTGTCATTTAAAATAATATCTCATGGGAAAAACATGAATATGTATTGTCTGTCTGGCATTTTGAACTGAAATCTTCACCATAATGTCCTCTAAAGTAAAATGCTAGAGATTGGGAAACAAACTGAAGTTTATAGTTTAGAAATCTTTCACATTAGAATTTTGTTATTGCCGTGTTTTAATTGTTTGGTACATGTAACATTTTAGAAAATTATTACCAAGGGACTTAATTTCTGTAGCTGATCCTATAACTGGCTCATCCCAAGTCAGAGTTGGTAATATGACTGTTCTTTGTTAGGAAGAGAGCTGGCATTTGCTGAGTTTGTTTGAGTAATAATGGCCCTCAAAAATATTTCCAATCTGATCAAACCTAATTCATTTACTCTTGTAAAAAGAGTCACTTTATATTATACAGCAATTAAAATATTAATTTTTCAAATATTGAACTTTATTTTCCATTTGGTTATTTACTGAATTTGTGGTATGCAAATTTGTAGTTTATTCAATTGACTCTAGTAACAGTTGCCAGAGGGAATAAGTCTGGGTCAGCCAGGGAACTGGCTCTGTAATCTACCTCCTGAGATGAAAGTACTGCATAGCAGATCTGATTTACAGTTTCATTCAGATAGTTCATCATTTTTCAGAGAGAAAAAAAAAAAAACGATTACATCTAGCTCAGTGCTCCTGCTAGTACACACTGTGCCTTTGTGAGGATTATAGATTATTTACAAAAGTGGCCCCATTTCTTCATCTTTGCCTTTGTCCATGTTTCTTGCACTGTGACTTTTTGGCTCCTCCCATCAATAGTTGGAGTCTACTTCTCTTCCCCTTGAATCTGGGGTAGCCATTTGCCTTGCTTTGGCCAATGGAATGCAGGAACAGTGATGACATGCCTTCTCTGAGCCTAGTCCTTAAGAAATATTTTTGAGGGCCATCATTACTCAAACAAACTCAGCAAATGCCAGCTCTCTTCCTCACAAAGAACAGTCATATTACCAACTCTGACTTGGGATGAGCCAGTTATAGGATCAGCTACAGAAAATAAGTCCCTGGGTAATAATTTTCTAAAATGTTACATGTACCAAACAATTAAAACTAGGCAATAACAAAATTCTAATGTGAAAGATTTCTAAACTATAAAATTCAATTTGTTGTTCAATCTGTTGTCTTTGTCTTGGAATATTGTGCAGCCCTCATGAGATTAAGCCAGGGCTAGATTGCTGGAAGATGACAGATGACAGATCACATGGGAGAGAAGAGCCATCCCAGCTGAGGCCACACTAGACCACTAAGTCCTAGCTAACCAAGCATTTGACTGCAGTTGTGTGAGTGAATTGCCAACCTGCAGAGTTGTGAGCTTAGTAAAGATAGATAATAGTTGATGTTTTAAGCCACTAAATTTGGGGATGATTTGTCATATGACAAAAAGTAACTAAGACAGTGAAAATTGGAAAAAGGCACTGCTTTGGGTGGATGAATTATATAATGGCACCTCTTATTCTGATGCAGACCTTTCTAGAGTACACATTGTTACTATCTCCCTCAGGTATCCTAATGCAGGCTACAGAATTCAGAATCGGAAACAATAGCCATGAAATCTAGAGTCAGGTTGCTGCCCTCCACCCTAGGCACAGCCACTTAGAAGCTGTGTGATCTTCAGGAGGGAACCTCATCCCTGAAAGCCGGTATAGGGCTTATACAGTTCAGGTATTAGAAAGGACTCACTAGATACCACAGAGTGTACTGTAGGTGCCAAGGGAGAGCTTTCCATTTGGCCCTCTGAAGGTTTGCTGAAAAATCAACTTGCAAAAGGCAGATTAATTGGAGAAAAGGCATACTAATTTACTTAATGTGTACACATGGAAGCCTTCAGAACAAAGACCCAGAGATACTGAGGAAATTGTCCATTTTTGTGCTTAGATTCAACAAAGGATGGACAGGAATATAGAAACATGGTTGGACAAATAGAGTATGATCTAGTGCTAATGGACTGAGTGGGGAAATCCAGGAAGGCCTTTCTGTCTAGATTCTTCTTGGCATCTCTAAGCAGCCTTCCTTCCTTCTGGGTGTGGGGCAGAACCCTCTCTGGAATGGGGGGCCTTAGGACCTGCAGCCAAACAAGGTAGGTCAGAGAATTTCTTTATGGCCAGTTTCCACACAAAAAAGCAGAGGAAAAGTTATAATAGTATTTTCAGGTTTTATGGCTGGCTCTGTGGCAAAGGGGCTCTGGTTTGTATGGCATGCCTTGGGGAAGAGGGATGCTAGTTTGTATGACTAGCCTCAGGGGAAAATGGGACTGAGAGACAAGAGAGCAGCAGCAGGTCAGAGAAAAACCTTTTCTTCTGAGGCCCTCAGTTTGGGGTATTGCTTTCTGAACCCCCAACAATACGCATGTGAAGCTTTTGTTTAAGGAGAAAAAGGATATGGTGCAGTAAGAGAAAGTAAATGTGGGCAACATCAGGAGTCAGAGAGACTTTCCAACAACCCAGAGCCCTTTCTTCGTTTCAGCACATAGGGCCAGGCTGAGTCATTGGCTTGAACATCAGGATCTGTGTGCCCAATCTTGGCTTGGGGAGAGTTCAGAGAAGCTTTCAATGCAAGGGTGCTCCTGAATCTCTTTCGTTATAATCAAGCTAGGCAAACCAGTTAAGGCAGTGCAAACCTGCAGTAAAGTAACTTATTAGGTGGGTTGCCAGGACAGTTTCTAACCAAAAAAAAAAAAAAAAACAACAACAACAACTTAAATCTCACTGCCCCTATCTTGGCCAACAGTCAAAAAGCAGACCTCCGGCACTTTCAGAGATAAAGAAAGCTTTTTCCACCCCAGCTGTGAATCAGTTCTATCTACACAGCCTTATTTTCCTTATTTGTAAAATGAGGATAATTATACACCTTTTTACAGGATTCTGTGGGGTTTATATGAGGTGATTCATGCAGAATACTTAACACAAGTACCTGGAACTTAGTAAATATTCAAAAAATCTTCTGTTACTAATTAAATAAAGAGTACTCAACAAGGAGTCAGCAGCCAGATTTGAACCATGTGACTTTGGACACAGCACTTCAGCTATCTGGGCCTCAGTTTTCTTATATTAAATTAGGGAAGTAATGATTAAGTTACCATATCCCGTGATAATGTCATGATCATCTTTAATGCCCCCAAAGCCAAGTAAGAGCACCCTTTTATAGTTAGTTCATGCAAGTTAGCATCTAGTAGGTGAAAATGCTAGAAAAAATTACTTTTCTTTATTCCTAATTCCAAGAGGGTAGTGCATAAATTCTGTGGACAATCTAGTAAGCAATTTTCCAAAGTAGGTTGCCTGAAGGCTCTAGGTTTAGAAAAAGCCATCAAGAAGAGGTTTGAGAAACTTTGGCATTGAAAGTCTGGGCATCAGAGAATAATTCTTTTAGGACCACTTTGGTGGTGGGGACGCACTGGATTCATGAACCATTGGTAGCCATGGAGTTTTCCCTAGTGGTCGGTGGACTGCTAGAGACCTTAGGCTGGGATGTTACTTGCTAGACACCCAAGGAAGAAGTGAGTGAGAAACTTTGTTTGCCGCAGTGCCCTTCTTAACTGATGCTTGGTTTCACCTCTGAAACAATATTGACACCCTCGTGATGCTCCCTGATGCCTTAATCCCCCTCATTCTGCCCAAGGTATACCCTCTTGCTACCTGTATTCACCCTCTGTGCATCCACACTCGCTAGGGCTAGACACTGAGTGAATGTGTAGCTATTCCCTGCAGAAGGAGCTCATGGCTAGGAGCAGAACTAATGATTTACAGCAGGGATTAGCAAATATTTTTTGTAAAGGGCCAGATAGTAACTATTTTAGACTTTACAAGCCATACAGTTTCTGTCACAACTACTCAACTCTGCCATTGGTTATAGCACCACAGCAGCCACAGACCACATGTCAATTAATGGGCATGTCTGCATTCCAGTAGAATTTTATTTAGAAAGTGGGGGCAGCTGGTTTTGGCCCTCAAGCTACAGTTTCCTGACCCCTGGTTTGGCAGAAATAAAATACATATATTGTTAAGGGCTGTGCAACAGAGTGTTTTCGGGATTTCGTTTTTTTTTTTTTTTTAACATGGAAGGAAAATCTTGTCCATTTTGAAAGTGATATAACATTATAAAGACATTAAGGTTAATCCTCAGAGTGGTATCATGTCGACATATTTCAGAAAATAACAATAGTAGTCCAGCAAATAACTCCTCCAGGTACTGAAGGTTATATTTGTTCTAGGTGGAAAGCTGGTAAGCCTCTCAAAATGAGAATGTTGGTAACAAATAAAAGTTCACATCTGAATTAGATCTCTGACACAGAGAACAAAAGGCATTTTGAAACTTGAATACCTATAGAAGCCCCGTGAAGTGCAAGGCTACTTGAGTTAGAAGCAACAATGAAACTCATCTCACTTAGTTATATGAAACGAATCATATATATATATAATATAATATATATATTATATTACATATAAATTATATAAATTATATATTTATATAATATATAAATATATAAATTATATATTTATATAATATATAAATATATAATATATAATTTATATATAGTATATAAATATATAATTTATATATTTATATACTATATATAAATTATATATTATATATTTATATACTGTATATAAATTATATATATTTATATACTATATATAAATTATATATATTTATATACTATATATAAATTATATATATTTATATACTATATATAAATTATATATATTTATATACTATATATAAATATATATATTTATATACTATATATAAATTATATATATTTATATACTATATATAAATTATATATATTTATATACTATATATAAATTATATATATTTATATACTATATATAAATTATATATATTTATATACTATATATAAATTATATGTAATATATAATTTATATTATATATAATTTATATTATATATAATTTATATTATATATAATTTATATTTTATATATTATATATAATTTATATTTTATATATAATTTATATTTTACATATATATAATTTATATTTTATATATATATATATATAGAGAGAGAGAGAGAGAGAGAGAGAGAGAGAGAGAGAATTTGGCCATGGACTGAAGGTAATAAATACCATTTAACAAATGTAATGTTTCAACATTGAAAATGAAGAAAAGGCCGGAAAAAACCTGGAATAGTTGACATTTTGATATTTAAAACTTTTATTGGGGAAAAGTTTAATGCTTCATGCTGCAATTTGATTTTCCTGGTTTCCAAAGCAGTCAAAATACAGAAACTGTAGCCTCATTAAATCTAAAGAAATAAGCGAGTTGATCAAGTGTGCTCATTGGGTACATAATAGATAGATGAAATGCAAATACTTACTGGAAAATATGATTAAATGCATGGTGTTTTCCAAGTCGTTTTAACGTTTATGTCCAAATTAATTTTATTTTAGGAATCAGGTAGATAAATTGTAATTTACTGCTTTTCACCCAAACTTGAATTGGAACTAGTATTAAAACTTATGATCTTTGGTTCATGGGTTAATTGAGAAACCTGAAAGGAGTTTTTTCTGGCAATTTTGAAAAATAGAATTTTTAAATCACTTAGCAACGTAATTTAACGTTTTTAAAGTAAAAATAAAAGCCACTAATAACCCCTCTATATTGTTTATTCTTTCTTCTTAAAGACTTCACTCTTAAAATACTGCATCATTAAGCAAGGTGCCCTTGTAGTCTGAAAGCAACATATGGACAGAGTAAATATAATCCCGATTAAGCTCCCTGTTTTATATGGAATGGCAGTAGAGCCAGACGTTTTAAATACCTGCAACTTGTCAACTCCTAATTTGTGGTTTCCCATCGTACTAAGGCACTATGGTATATTTTTCCTAACTACAGATGTTTGCCATTTTTAACCATAATAAATATACCAAAAGTTTTTCAAGCATTATATTATCTACCTCATTTAAAGATAAACATCTGTTTGCTTTAAAATTGGAATAAAGTCTATGAATCATAGAATAAGTGACACATTTTATAGGCCATATGCACAAACTCTAGAAATGGGCTAATTTTCAAAATTTATTATGGACAGGCAATTATGTGCTTGAAATTTTGCAAGCCTATATGATTCATTACCTAAGCCACATTGAGGATTTTTGCATTTAAAATGTTTTTTTTTAAGAAGGCAGTCACTTGGGCATATTTATTTTTTGAACTCAGTTACTAGAGGTATGGCCAAGATGAAAGGCAACTGATATTGGCCTAAGTTCATGAAGCAGAAATTATGATCCTCAGAAAAGGTAGCTTTAGACATAAGGATGCTGACAAAATGAATCTTCATTCCTTAAAGTTAGCCAGGAAAAGAAATGTTTCAGAGGATACAACTCAGGTTCTGAAAATTAAAATCTGAGCTACAAATGGGGAAAATTTTACTTTATAATTTCTGCAAAATTTGAGTTTACCTTTTATGACTCTGTGTGGTCTATGACATGGAGCAGAAAAAACTTGTAAACATAAGTTTTTTGACAAAAGATTAGAATCATGATCTTCCCTTGCTATTGTTTAACAAGCCAACCAACCAGTTTGTTTAGAGGTGAAATTACATTATGATTGGGGAATCTTTCTGACATTCACATAATTTATATAAAAAGCATACACGCTCCTGGCTGGAAGAAACATATTCAGGTATGTAGCTTTTTGTTTGGTGGCTATCTCCAAATTGTTTTAATTTTTGCCAGAAGACTATACTAATGTCCACTTTCAAGAATATAGGTGCATCTTGTAGAGATTAGAAACAGGTTTCCCTAGGTCTTTAGATAACAGGCTTTTCTGATGTGTGTAAGGTGCAATGAAAATCTGTGGTTCTGCATTATCCTTTCCCATTAAAAGATCCTTTTTCTGTACTGTGCAGTCATATACTTTTATTGGGAGATTATGGAAAGGGCCTTCACCTCTTGTACCCTGTAAAACACAAAATATTACTATAGTATCACTATCTGCCTTACAGTGGAAAGTAAGTTTGACAGTAAGCTTTATCCTCACTTTTGGTCATATTTTCTTCTTTCAGGGAAGGAACCAGTTTTGCATTAAAATTGTTTAAATGTATGAGGTAATGAGAGTCAACCTAGTTATTTAATTTGCATGCAAATGGAATTGCCCCCAGCCTTCCTTTTCTTTCTTTCTCGGATTCGTGTCAGGGCCAGGCCATCTATCTGGTGCTGGAAATCATCTCTACCTCAATAACCTGCCTCAATGGTGGTGCAGTGTTCCCTAATATGGGCACTGCCAAGTCAAGTGCAATGACAAAACTTACGTTATGCAAACTTATTCTAAGTGTATACTTTATGTAAAGGTGCACATTCTTGGGAGATAAGGCAAGTTTCTGCATCTTCTAAGTTACTAAGCCTCTCTCTGTTCCTCTGCATAAATAGGTGTGGTATTTGCAGAACCCTCTTCATTGGTGAAAAAAAAAAAAAGCCAACTTATGTATAGGCAGGTAGCTAGAAGAGGTGTTTTGGCCCTTGTGGTTATTAACTTTGAGTTCTAATTCTTTCCGTTAAATTTGACAAATCTTTATTGTGCACCTGTTATGTGCCCACTGTACTGTGAGAATGGATGAGACATAGGACCTGCCCCAAGGAGCTCACAGGCTGCAAGGAGAAAAAGACATAAAGACAGCTCTAGTACATCTCAGACAATTACTATTACTTTCCTGTGAAAATGCATCTTTTAATAAATGCCAGGTATTGTTCTGAGCTCTTGATATACGTTATCTCATTGCATCCTCTCAATAACACTATGCGGATTATTATCCTATTGTACAGAGATACAATTGAAGTTAACTAACTTTTTGAAAGTCAGGGTTCCATGCCTACTTCATTGGTACCTAACTCAAGGAGTTGTTGGTTTCACATTTTCCTGGGGAAAGCACTGCATTTCATTCAGAGCTCTGTATTAGGATATGCATCCTTCTTTTTTTCTTTCTTTCTTTCTTTTTTTTTTTTAAAGCAAGGTCTCACTTTGTCACCTAGGCTAGAGTGCAGTGGTGCAATCACAGCAGCCTCGACCGCCCAGGCTCAAGTGATCCTTGCACCTCAGCCACCGGATTAGCTGGGACTACAGGCATGCACCACCATACCCAGCTAATTTTTAAACTTTTTTGTTGAGACGAGGTCTTGCTATGTTGCCCAGACTGGTCTCGAACTCCTGTACTCAAGCCATCCTCCTGCCTCAGCCTCCCACAGTGCTGGGATTACAGGCGTGAGCCACTGTGCCTGGCCTAAGATGCACATCCTTCTTAACTTGACATTTTAAAAAAGCTTTCTTAGTTTTATATAATCGTTTCTTTGAAAATAACACATTGCCTCCTACCCAACACAAGGAATGTATTATAAGCCTCCTTCCCCTTGGACTCTGCGTCTAGCCTACTCCCATTTTCCAGGGCCATTTCTCTCCCCACTGAGATGCTTTCACTATCTACTCTCTTTTACAAATTCCAGGGCACTTAAACCTCTGTTTCCACCAGGAGACTGAGTATACTAGTTACCTGCTCCTGCAGGGCACATTTTGTCTTCTCTTTCTCTCAGCCTCTCTATTGCATTAGCCCTGAAGCCTGGTTTTGCATAATCACAAATTTCATTTATGCCTTTCCCCAAGCAAAGGTATGGTCCTCTTGCAAGGAGGAACTGCTATCCGCTTAGAGTAATTAGCTTCCTTTGCAGCCAGCTTTGACAATATCATTTATTTCGCCTCAATCACCTTACTTATGACTCTAATTTGCACAGAAGCATTGACTGCACCTTTTCAAAGGAATCAATGGAGTTGCTTTAATGCCCATTCTTGGTGACTGAGTCTTTGCCTGGTTGAAGTTCTAAATGCAAAACTTTTATTTCCCTGTGTGTGATTCACTTTTAGAAAATAACTTTTCTAATTTCCAAGATTTTTTTTTTTTGGTCAAAAGGCAGAAAACATGGCAGAGACCAAATGAGGGCCATTTGAAGTGGTTTTCTCTAAGTTCAAAGAGATACCATAAGGACTTGCTTTCTTTAGATCTTGCTTTAGCTCCCTCTGAGGTAGCCAGTAGGATGCAGAATATATATCTCTGTCCAATTTCAACTGGACAGTTGTTGGAGCTCTGTAAGTTCTTTGTATCTGGCAGTTGGCATAGCTACTTGTGGAGACCTAAGTGTCAGCATTAGCAATGGCCTTGCCAAACCTCATCTTGGTAGCCCTGGGCTGGAAGGCTTATTTCTCTTTGGGTCACTCCTCAAGTTATAATGATGTATGGGATTCAGAGAGCTGAATGTTGCCTTAACTGTCCTAGACAACCCCTTCCAAGAAAAAGATGCATTTTCTGAGTAGAGTGGGAGAGACACATCTTTTCTTAAATAGAGGCCTAGAGTAGTACCTGGTACACTGCTGATTCATGTATGGAGCCACATCATTAAGCTCACAGACACTGTACAGGGAACCATAACATCTCACACTGGCAGGCTTATCTTGGGAGAAAGGCCAACGGACCTTTCTCCATAACATCTATTATGGACTTTTAAAAACTAACTATGTTTTTGATGTAGCCAAACAAACTAATCCCATGCTGAGCCTGAAAGGTCACACCGCTGGTTCAGGAAAAACGTCCAACTTCAAAGCAAAGCTTTTCTGTTTAGCTGCAAGGATAGGAAAAGGGGATTCGAAAAGACAAGCAGTGTGTGTGTCGGCTCAAAGCTTTTGATGAAGAAGAGCAATGGAGTGAACCAAGAAAAGTGATCTGGCAGAGTAGCAGGTTTGAATATGATAATATTAGGGGAGTATGCTGGCAGGGCTTGAGTGGGACTGAACACTGCAAAATGGTGTACTTCTGTGTGTGTTAGGAGGAAGTAAGTGGGCAATGTAGAAAAAGTTGAGTTTTGAGAGGTCAGGATGTATAGAATAAAGGAATGAAAATCTGTAGACACTTTGACCAACAAGGAAGCAATTATAGCAATTCAAACACAACCCCAAATTATCATTAAATCCATGCAGTATACACTCCTGGCCTCATGATTAATGCCAAAATTAAAGATGATCTTTTCGTAGGCAAGTGTTCATTAAGAGACTTTTCTGTTTATTCATTAGCTCAATATTTTTTAATTGCAAAAATTAAGTAAAAAAATATCATTACTGTCATTGTTCCGGAATATTGGGCTATATAGAACGTTAATTGAGGATCCAGAGAGAAATCATATGTACCTGATTAGGAAAACTATGATTAGGATTTATAAAGAATGCACACATATTCCAGGACTATACTGTGTAATATTTTAAGTGTCTGGTTTATGAAAGTTATTTGGAATATAGGATTGAGGTAATGAAGTATACTTTTATGAACTATCTAGATCAAGTAAGATAAGGAAATGGTCAGGGGCTGTTATTTTCCTTATTAGGTGTTCTAATAACCAAATATGCCTTTGAGCTTAATGACTGCAGAGGTGCTTTGCGACAGTGATTTATACTCTCCACTTAGGATGGGTTGTGAGGTCAACTGTGGCTTTGCAGAATAAACCTTGAGGAAGATTGACCATTCAAAAAAAGGCAGTTGGTGAAAATAGTTTTTTATATGGTTAGATTGTTTTACTGTTAGTTTTTGATGTTACGTTCTAGCTTCATAAAATAATATTATTTCATTCGGCATTTAGTTTGATTTGACTTAGTAACAAAGAAAAAGGGGCATGTATACTTGTCTCAGTCCATTTAAGCTGCTATAACAAATTACCTTAACTTATAAACAATAGAAATGTATTGCTTACAGTTCTGAAGACTGGGAAATCCAAGATTAAAGTGCCAACAGACTGGGTGTCTGGTGAGGGGTCCCTCTGCTTCAAAGATAGTGCCTTCCTATTGCACTCTTACATGGTGGAATGGGGGGAACACTGTGTCTTCACATGGTGGAGTATGAAGGGGAGCTTCCTTCAACCTCTTTTATTAGGGTGCTAATCCCATTTATGAGGGTGGACCCTCATGACTTAATCACTTTCCAAAGGCCCCACATCTTAATATCACACAAGGGGGATTAGGTTTCAATAGGAGTTTTGGAGGGACACACTCAGGCCACAGCAGTGCCCATGTGCAGAAGTGTGCCTAGATGTAGATCTGTGTCCTAGACAGTATATAGCCCTGTGGAAAAGGCAGATGAAAGCAGCTTGAAAGGAGACTTATAACATCATCTGCATTTCCCCACTATGATTTATAAACTGAAAATAATCATTCAACCATCCATTATTCAGTAAACACTGATGGAGCAGCCATTATAGGCATTGATTGAGCACCTATGTGTCAATCAGTGTGTTCGGTGTAATGCAAATACAAATATGGATGAAACAGTCTCTTGTCTGAAAGAATTTACACACTATTTGGGGATACAGATACAGACATGATTTAAAAAGTACAAATTGATAGGTACTTAAGTGGATATAAAATATTTTAGAAATGTAGGGATCGTTGCCTAGTGTTGCCCAAGTTAAGCCATTAGAAGGGAAGACACAGCTGTCAAATACGTACTACCTGGAGGAGCTTTGGCCAAACAGTTGGTGCAGTATTTAAGTTTTACAACAACCATCAAGTAGCATCATTATTGCCTTTTTATAAATAAGGAAACAGAGGTTTCCAGAGGTGAAGCAACTTGCACCAGGGCAAATGTCCACATGGGTAGAGCCAGGATTTCTATCTCAGTCCACTTCACTCCAGAGCCCACCTTGCCTGTGTTCCATGTTGGATTTTGAAGGGTAAGTGGGAATTCACCAGTTAGTGCGTAGAGGAAAGGAAATTTTGGCCTGAGAACAGAGCATGTAGAAAGGTCCTAAAATGTCAAAAAGTTTTTGAGTTTGGGTTAAAGCATTTTAAGAGAAGGACAGCAGGAGGGAAGGAGCTTGAGGGTGGGGAGATTGTCAGTAAACAATTAAGGGCTGCAATCCAGGCCGAACATCCATCTGGGAGCAGAACATTTTAGTTTAGTCTTATTTTAGAGAGGCTCACTTCTAAGGATTTTTTTAATTCAACATGGTTAAAATGTAGACAAATTTAATTTATTGAACCCCAAATCATGTTTTTTGAATGTTCCAAGGCATTTTTCTCATATCAGGACAGGATGCATATGATCATTTATAGATACCAGGCTTCTGTGTATGAACCATAGTTTGAATACATGAAATTTGTTTTTGTTTGTTTCTTTGTTCTTGCCTTTATGCCTTGATGTTTTACATCATTGTGTATTCTTTGCTTTTTACATCTTTAACCCCACTGATTACACTCTCATTAGTCCTGGCTAACCTATGTCAAACCACTGTCCATGTTCAGGTACACAATTTGCCAGTTCATTAATTTCAGGCATATTTCATTCTTTCAGCATTCCTGGGAAAGTATGAAGTAAGAGATCAGGCATAGTCTGACCAAATTCTTGCTTATATACCACAGCATCATTGGAAAAAGTTTAATGAATTTTTTTTTTTTTTTGAGATGGAATCTCCCTCTATTGCCCAGGCTGTAGTGCAGTGGTGCAATTGCGGCTCACTGCAACCTCCGCCTCCTGAGTTCAAGAGATTCTCCTGCCTCAGCCTCCCAAGTAGCTGGGACTACAGGCACATGCCACCATGCCTGGCTAATTTTTACATTTTTAGTAGAGACAGGGTTTCACCATATTGGCCAGGCTGGTCTCGATCTCCTGACCTCATGATCCGCCCACCTCGGCCTCCCAAAGGGCTGGGATTACAGGCGTAAGCCACTGCACCTGGCCAATGGTATTTCTTAATAAACAAATTTGGGTAGCAATCAAGCCACTCAATGGTAAATGGGATTTTCCCTCTACTCATTCTAAGAGTTGATTCGAACCTCTCCTGAGAATTGTTCTTCCTCTCCTGAGAATTGTTCTTCCTGATAGACTGCAGTTTCACAGTACTTCTGTGCTATCTGCAACAGGCTTCCCATTAGTGGCACTCAAGGACTGGGTTCTCAGATTGCCAAGTATTCCTTAGGCTCATTACAACCATGTTACACCAATACAGTGTTGATGGTATCATAAAAGTTAATAACCACTGCATAAATGTCAGTTTTTCCAGTGGAAGTGAAAACAACGTTTCAATACTTAGCATTTTTCAGACATGTTTAATCATTTGCATGCACATTTAGTTATGTGTAAAATGGTCTATGGAGTATTGTCAAAGAATAAAGAAGAGAAAAACTGGCTTTATATGAGAGAAGAGAGAGAAAAACCAGCCTAGGAAGAGTGAATGTTGGTTCCTATTTTGGGGGAAACTGATTAGTTAGTTGGGAAGGAGGTCAAAGTAGGCAATTTGTCCTTTAGTAGGCCAACTAGGGTTATCAAAGAGAACCATCACAGTTCTGAAGGATCTCTGAAAACCTTGAGATCTTAGCTGAGAAGTACATGTAACAAGTTGTCTCTTTGTGAGGTCGGCCACTGTCCCCTACCTTAGTAAGGCAAGGTCTGCACCATTTCTCTCTTCAGAATGCTCACATTTTAAAGATAAAAAAAATTTATTTTTATGTAGTCTGTGGACCTTCATTTTAGGTTATTTTATTTGTTAGGGTTTTGATTTTGACATCAACATTGATTTTCAATGCGCTCCAAACTTTCCTTACCTTTGTTAGTTGCTCCACGTTTTACAAATGTTCATCTGTGCAACTAATGGTCTACCTAAATGATCTGTTTCAATGACGTGACTTTTCAGTTCTTTGCCTCCCCTTGACTGCACTCAAGGTAGATGGCATCCCAGTCATGTCAGTTGAACTATTCAGCACGTTCTACTGATAGCATCCTGGAGTGAGGACTGGGAGTCTCTTTACTTGACTCACTCTAAATTTCAGGAAAATTACAAACTTCACTTTATTTATAAACTTCAGGCCTCCAGTTCTCAGCTTAGTTTAGTTTAGTGAGTTTTTGTTTTCTTTTTGTTTTCAAGTCAGTTTTTAAATCTCTAAAATGACTGAGTTTGAGGCCATGATGTTTCAAGTTATTTTAGCCTTTAATTCTGGAGCTAGGACCATTCTTCATAAAAACTTTTCTCCCAAAGCATTCCCCTTTACCTTCAAGGCATGCAATAATATTTCAGAATAGTGTCATTTTAGGAAATATATCAAAAAAATTAATCAGAAAGCAATGATGCATAGGAAGACAGCTTAATGAAATATTGTCCTACCTTGAACCATTTTTTTTTTCTTCATGGGTAAGTTACTGATTCTATTAGAACTCAAATTGTGATTGCTTTCTAATTCATGGGCACTTTTGCATCTTGATTACTGACTCTAAAGGAAAGATGAAATTTGTTTTCCCAAACTATTGTTATTGTTGCCATTGTTATTGTTATTAACATACACCATTTACTGAGTGTTTGTTATTTTTCAGGCACTCTGCTGTTTTATGAGACAGGCATTAGTGTCCCCACTTACAGTTAAGGAAACTGAGGCACAGAGCAGTTCAGTGGCATGAGGTCACACAGCTGGTAAGTGACAGATCCAAGATTTGAACTCTGACTCTAAACCTTGAGCTCTTAATATTCTATTACATTTGATTTTTGCTGGTTGACTATTGTTATGACTCTTCCACAAATTTCTATATTATTTTATGTCTCCCAACAAAATGTATGAACAACCTGTGATTCAAGGAACTTTAAAAAAAAAGTCCCTTTTCAGATATTTTAATGGCTCTTGAAATTAAAATTCAAAAAGCTCTGGATCACCATAGTTAATCAGAACTAGAAGCTCTTATAGAATTGCTTTCTGCTTAATTCTGTAGGGGAAAAAGGCTAAATGGAAAGAAAGTAATTTATTGCCAAAATACTGATTTCTGCCTCTGAATTTTGGCAAATCTCCTATATCTTTTAGAATTGATATTCAGTAGAAGAGATCGGATTTGTGAACCTGAGCCATATATTTGCTATGCTCTAACTACTAAAGCAGATGGGTTGACTGATGTTTATTCGTTCAACAAACATTTAGTTTTTGGTGATGCTTACTTGGAGCTAGCTACAATACAAGACACTGTAAAAGGAATAAAATAACAGTTGTCTCTAGGGTTCCATAATCTAAAAGAGGAAGGCATATCTGAAAGCAAATAGGTATATTTCTATAAGCAATTGCTAGTACTTATTGAATATTTCTCTGAGCCAGGTGATGTTCAAAGCTCTGTACACATAGTGTACATAGTTGGGCAATCAAGACCCTATAAAAAAAGGTGCTGTTTTAATCCTCCTTAAGAAATTGAGGCATGAAGAGGTTAAGTGACTTTCCCAGGGTAACAACTATCAGTGAAAGAGCAGGAAATTCAAATACAGAGAGCATGACCTGGAACCGGTGCCCTTGATGGGGTCACGGGTGGGTGTGGTCTATTCTAGCTGAGAAGAGGACATTGGAGCTTGGTTATGAATGACAAGCTCACACTGGGAAGGCCATCCCAAGCTAAGGAAATATTTGGAAAAATAACAGAGGCAGGAAAGTAGAAAGCAAATGTTTGTGGAGCAGTGTCAGATCAACCTGGTAGGAATGACATGTGTATGACATAATGTGGTTAAAGGAGTTAAGGGTCACTTTATAGAGGGCTGTAAAGACCAAACTGAGAAAATTAATTCATAATTCATTTAGCGGATCTTGATGTCTCACTAGCCATGTGTCCATTTTATACATATCAATTCATTTATTCCTCATGATGAGGTGATGTGTCATATAACCATTCCCGTTTCACAGATTGGGAAACCAAGTATACAAAGAGATTAACTTGCCCAACATCACATAGCCAGTAAGAGGTAGAGCTGGGATTCAAATGAGGAAGCCTGGTTTCCGAGGCCATAAGTATAACTGTGATGATGCCTTACTACTTAGAAGTGGAATGATGTGATCAGAGTTCAAAACCCATGAGTGAGGACCCATAAACGGGAAAGGAAGGAAAAGAAAGACAAGTGACTTGGGGAGAAGAGACCAGCTGAGGTCACTGTGGCACTCCACTGGAGAGACAGTCAATTGACACCAGGATGGTAGCAGTGAAAAGGAGAAAGATGAATGAGGTAGGGATGGGATTTGGAAGTAGGAGCTCAGAGTTCAAATTCTGACCCTGTCCATTACTGGTTACTGAGTGACCTTGGACTGGTGGATTAGCCTCTGTGCTTTGATTTTCTAATTCACAAAGAGGGGAAATGCAGCAGAGCCCGGGTGAATGAATTCTATTTTGGCCCTGCTGATTGGGAGGCGTCAGCAGGCCATCCATCTGGCTGGGCCCAGCAGGTCAGTTAGAAATCTGGGTCTGGAGCTCAAGAAAGAGGTCAGGCCTATAAATGTACTTAGGAGTCACCTCTAGGGATGTAAGAGTTGAAATTGCTAAGAGGGATGTCTAGAGGGGAAGAGAAATGAAGAGAAGAGAGCTGATGAAAAACCACTCACCCCTCTTCCTGAGAACAGGTCAGGATTGATCAGGAGATTACTAGGAGCATATTCCATTTGTCTATATTCACTAGTTGATAGTTAATGTATTTTTTTAATATGTGAAACTGTCGCTGACCTCTTTTCTCATATCAGCGTTTTTTACCTGCACACGATTTATCATGAGCTTGAGGTTGTGAGCACTGATGACACTTATTTATTGGTCTCCACATTTGCCGTTGCTTTGGAGAAAATCGCTACAGCAGCATGACCTCAACAGCAGCCTCATATTACTAAGTTCATGAACAAAACCTGAAAGTAGGTTTTCCCTTCCGTATTTATGTCCCAAAGTCATCATTTTCTTTTCTAAGCATCATCATATGTTGCCAGAGAAATTATGAAGCTGTTATTTGGTGTTTTATTAATGTATGCATTCCCTTAATTTAATTTGGAATTGGAAAAGGTACTGTGTGACTAAAGTTGTTTGGAAGAGCAGTTGCCCCAAATGGGCTTTGAATTGGCTTCTGTTAGTGCCTGTTTTGTTTTTCACTCTCAAGTCCCTTAGTACACATCACTGGTGTCTATCTAGACTACCTGCTTTTGCCTAAGGCTCACCTCAGCAGGCTGCACCATTCAAAAAATAAAAGCAAAGCACACAAACACAACACCAGGAAGCCTTGCAAAATCAATGTAGGTCTTCGTTGAAGGTCTTGAGGTCTTCGGTGTGAATGTATGTGTGTGAGATATGGGGGTCATCACATCTCACTGCAAAACTTTCCCCTAATTATCATTCAACTTTCTCTGTTTTCCAAATCCTACTCCCTCCAGTACTGCTCAAATTCCATTTCTTCTCTTCTCTTCTTTCTCTCAGCCACCAGACCCTCCTCCACTTTTTAAAATCTTTTGATATTAAATTAGACCTCTTATCTGTCTCCCCACTCGCATCCCCATTTGCAGTCCTTGTCAAAACCAACCCGTTTTCTTTATTATTCACCATCATTAGGAAGTCAGAGAGGATGAATTTTAATGCTTTGACCCTGTCAGGAAAATGTTGATTTTATAATACTAATTATTAAAATAGTACTGAGCCCCATTCAATAAATCATATACAGCAGATTCCTAACCAAAGAGCATTTATCTTTTTGTACTTTAGTGAGATTTCATTGACCTTTGCAGACGAGTTGTGTTGACTTTCTTTGGAGTCTGTTCCTGGCTTTTCGTTGTTGTTTTTGCAGCCTTCAGTAGATGGCAAGTGCTGAATTCCAAGTGTATGGAGATCTCCCGTGGTCCACCATAGTGGGGAGGGGGGATAAATCTAACTCTGAAATTCTCCTTTACCCATCCTTGCACCCCCATCTAAGCACACACAAAGCAGGAAAAAAATCGTAATCAAACTCCTTCAAGCTTTTTGTTTGTTTGTTCAAAGATAAAAGTTAAACCTGGTAAAAAATGAGTACAAGAAATTCCAGGCCTCATCCCAATCAGGCATTCAGTGGGTAGATGGATAATGGATGGAAAGATGGATGGATTGATGGATGAATGAATGAATGGATGGATGGATGGATGAACAGACAGACAAATGAAAGGATGGATGGATGGATGGATGGATGGATGGATGGATGGATGGATGGATAGACGGATGAATGAGTAGATGGGTGGGTGGGTGGATGGATGGATGGATAGATGGCTGAGTGGATGGATGGGTGGGTGCGTAGACTGTGTAAAAGGAGGCAGTCCCCTTCCTCCTGTAATGTGTGATGGTGAGAGAGATGGGTGAGTGCTCACAGCCTGGTTATGGATGTGTGTGACCTTGCCTTTCAGATCTATTTTAGCATCAGTTTAAGAAGACACTTCCTTTTCTTCTAGCAATTGCACCTCTAACCCTTTTTCTAGCAAATTCAGAAAGGCTGAGTAGCTTTCCCAATAGCCCAGGTGGTACTGGGCTTCTACCCAGAGAAACATGGATAGAACTGTCAACCAGGGCTAATGATGGTGAGCGCTTGGAGAATTGGGGAACCTTTGCAATTCCTCATGTTGCTGATTGTTATTACCCATTGCCAATTCCCCAATGGATCAGTCTATATTTTGTGATATGAACACATGATTTGTGGATACTGGGAGACTGGGAGGGATGGTAGCAAATCTAATTTGTCACTAATTGAGCCAATGTAGTTCAGTCCTGTTAATTCTGTACTTTATTGAACTCTAAATCTATTCACATCTCATAAAACATGATTAATCTCTCTAGCTCTTTAAAATACAACAATATATGGCGTGCTTAAGGCTTAGGAATTTGACAAAGAGCCCAAGAATAACTTTTTCTCTGAATTCATGAAAAGCATTGGTTAAGCTACTTTATGAACAAGAAATCTGTCATGAAAAAGAAAAGAAATCTTCTTTACAAACAGTAAAGCTTAAGAGAAATACTCTTAGGATTTCAGATGTAATTTTGCCTTTGAAATACCTTTTGTATGAGAATTTTAAAATCTCTAGTTTTTTTTTTTTTTAAGTATATTGGAAGGGTAAATACTAAATAAAGATTAATGTAATTGTCTTAAACTACCCAAAAGTTTGAAGCCAGTTGTAGAAAAAAACAAACTAGTAAGCAAAGATATGGTATGTTGTTGGGATGGCAAGCTGATGGTTAATAGGAAATTATCATGAATGAAATAGCATTATGATTCACCAGGGAATAAGTGGAAAGGTTTCTTGGGATGATAGTGTTTTGCAGGAAAAAAAAAAAATAGGTTGCATTGGGATTCTGTAAATAAAGGAGAGGAAGGCAGAGTCCAATCTGAAATTGTTATATTGGGGGATTGGGAATGTATTATAGACAAGGCTCTGAGCATAGTGGGCTTAGAAAGAGTCCTGGGTTGAAGTTCAAACCTTCTCAGTCATTCCTGCTGAAACCTTGGCAAACTTATATAATATCTTGGCTTACATTGCCATATATGTAAAACTGGCAAAATAATACCTACTCCAGAGAACCGCTGCGTAGATTATTAATAATGATGTAAGTATATTCCCTCCCTTTTTGTCCAGCATACCTTTTGTACATACGCCACTGCTTTTAGCACCCCTTACAAATAATTTGGAGTCTGCCTCCTAGATTTGCCAAAAATGGAGCATACTTTTTTATTCTTCAGTCACCTTCTTGATTTGCCCCTCTATTTGTTGAGGGAGGGTACCAATTACAATTTTTAGTGATTCAAATGGATGCTTTCATTATTTCCCAAAATAATACGATAATAATATCCCCTTCTCTTAAAAAAGTCATCTTAAATCTTAAAAGACATTTTTACTAATTCATACCAGTAGAATTGGCATTTACAAATAGGATATGAAATTATGTGGAATCTATTATCCACTCTTCTGAGACAAGTAGTTAACATGAGTAATATTTTTCATTGCCACAAAAGTGGTTGTATAATTCTCTTTTTGTGCACTTAATTGGGGTAGGTTGTGATAATATAGTGATTCATCCTGGTTGGGAATGTTGTGTTTAATTATATAATCTGATTGAAGAAAAGCTCCTTTCTTCAGACTGGGCACAGGAATGCAGGCTAGATAAATTTCATATTCTTTCTAGTATATGTCTTTAATATTTTATATATTTAATATTTTCCATGGCCATTTGTTTTAAGAATTCTGGCACTGTTTATCATCTTATAATATCCAGAAGTTTTATTTTTTATGTTTTTATTTTTTTGAGACAGGATCTTGCTCTGTCACCCAGGCTGGAGTGCAGTGGCGTGACCATAGCTCACTGCAGCCTTAAACTCCTGTGCTCAAGTGATCCTTCTGCCTCAGCCTCTCAAGTAGCTAGGTCTACAGGTGCACACCACCATGCTGGGCTAATTTTTTTTTTTAGTAGTGACAAGGTCTCATTCTGTTGCCCAGACTGGTATCGAACTCCTGGCTTCAAATGTTTTTCCCACCTTGGCCCCCCAAAGGTCTGGGATTACAGGCGTGAGCCACAATGCCTGACCTTGAATTTTTAAAAGTACCTTATAATATTGATATAAAAATTCACCCCAGAATTAGTTTAATTATACATGTGAAAACATAGGTGATAATTTTTGAGAAGAAATATTAACAAATAGTAAATAGTAATAAGTAAACTTTTTACTCATTCTAATTATTTCATAGAAGTGTCACAATATTGAATTTTGGTCTGTCATCTAAGGTAGTATCAGTTCATTTAAATTATTATTTAAATTGTTCATCACAGTAGAAGTCATTATTTTTAAATATTACAGTGAAATGTGCTTAGTTTTATTTTTTAATTTTCAGTTTTTCTAAATGTTGTGTTGTATTATTATATACATACAGATATTTTATATTTCATTATTATTGCAAATTTTTCCAAGCAGAATGATGTAATTTAAAATAATACCATCAATTTTCATTTGAAGCAGTATTTCATATGTAAACATATATTTGATATCCACATATTGGACTTGTTTTTTCCTGCTGAGGAAATCTAATTTATGAACAGTTGTTTAGTGGGAACACTCAAAGTATTAAGGATAGATTTCACTAGATTAAATTCATGAGGGCTGATAACATAACTTATTTCTATATCATCACTTACAAACAGTTACAAACCCTTACACTGAGCGGTCAGCAACTTATTTTAACAACAAACCAAGGTTGGAAATGAAACTGTAGATTTTACACTGATGAAGCTTTTGTTGCAATCAGCTGATGACCCTATTTAGATGTTCAGCATTCTCCATCCACTGAAGTCAACCTCTGAGCTTACTTAGGCCATAAGTAAAGGAAACTCTCAGAGAAGCATTCACTCACTGTCATATTTCTATGAGTGAGAGGGAAGCAGAGGATGAGGCTGCTTTGTGATTTCATTTCTCATGCTAGAAGAGAGAGAAGAAATGGGGGCTCCCTGGGAATTCCAACCGTGCCCAAAGGTAAAATACACAGGAGGACCCAGGTAATTTCTTATCACCTGAAGTAAGAACTGAAGACACTTGTCCTGGGTCTCCCACTTCCCAATAAGCAAATGCTGAAGGAAATGCTTCCAGGAAAAAAAAAAAAAAAAAAAAGTGGACCTTGACTAAGCCTTCACTGTCCAGAAGACCTGGAAAAAAAGAGGCATTTTAAAAACACGCTTTGACCATAAACTAATTGAAACCAAATGAAAGTAAAGAATTAATTTGTCTGTAGGCTAAGGCTGGTCTTACTTTATGGAACCCAAAACTTCTGTAAATTGAATAATGGAGAAATTTGCTTAAAGATGTCAGAGTTATGATGTTCCCCTCATAAAGTAATGGGAAACAGCAACAACAACAAAAAAAATGCAAAGCAAAAACTCCATGTTTAATGAAACCAAGGAAGCAAGCTATAAAAGTTTGCCAAACTAACATCCGAAGCTACCAACCTCGATATGGAATTGTCACAATGATATTTAGCCTAAACACAGGGGGACTGGAAGAAAAGGGAGAGCTCCATAAATGGGGGAGGCAGATGGGAAACGCCCAGCAAGTGGGCCTGAAAGAGTAGGCTTTGGGTGTGGGTGTCTCTGTCCCCCCTGGAGACCCATGGTGAGGTAAGGTTGAAGCAGGAGTCACTCAGACATGCAGTGTGTGCAGCAGGCCAGGCCAGCTGGTAGAGGGGCTGTGTGGAGGGGAGCAGTGGGTGGCAGTCAGCTATGCAGAAGTTTATCTCAGCCGAAAGGAAATAATTTTTAAAACACGGAATCTCCACAAACATGCACAGATCTCCCCCACAAACCATATGCAGACCTTCTATTTGCACTGAAGATGGTGAGGAGGATAAAGAATCCTATAAGTCCCGATGTGATCAAAAGCAAGTCACCTGGGGAGCGAGGGGGTCGGTTAGTAAGGCGCCCTCTGGAGTCCTCCATAGGATACTAAGCCTAGTCTTGAGTAGCCTAACAGCTATGGTGTTGTGGGAAAACAGCAGCGAAAGCCAAGACTCTTATGCTCAGCCAAATTGCCATTCAGTAGAAATGCAAAAAAGAGACATTTCTGAGCATGTAACTGAACATGACATTTATGACGTCTCTTGAAACAAAAACCTTGATTGTGAGATCTCTTCAACAAGAAATTAATATAGAAACTGAAATGAGTATTATGTCCGGTTCAATCAAAGGTCTAACCAATCATGTGAAGTAGGATTACAGAAGAGAATGCAAATATTGTATGTCTTCCTAATGGGTCATTAATAATTCAATAATTTATATAACATTATTAACAAAATTTCATGGCAGGAGAGGATGTGGGAGACATTTAGGGATGTGGATTTCCTCGTATTTCATAGTCAGGAGTAAAAAGATACTGCCTAAAATGAATATATGAAGCAATAGAGGCTTAAATTATATTATAAATGCAATGATGAAAAACCCAAAGATAACCAGTGGGGAACATAAAACATAATATAGCAAATTGAAATTGACAATGGAGCAGGAAGGGGAGTTAAGAGGAAGCTATGTGCATTGATTTCTCTTAGAGTTGATTGTTAATAGACCCTGTCTAAAATTAGTAACACATGAAACAGATGTTTGAACATATAATACACTAATAAAGGTAACTACTAGAAGACCAAAAAATTATTATATATAATTATCAGCAGCAAAACACAAAGAAAACAGATCATATAGCTGTATAATTTAAGTATGGAACAAGAAGGAGGGAGAAATATTTTCCTTTTGTTCCTTATTCCCTTTATCCTGTAGGATTTGATTTTTCAAGTTATTTTTTATACTATGGGCCTTTTAATTTTCATAATTTAAACACGAGAGAGCTTTTTTTTCTAATTTTCAAATTTTAGATTTCCTTTATGTTTGTATTGGTCTTAAGTGCAAAACTTCTGGCCTGTTTTCTTGGCCAGATTTCAGAAGATAAAGCACCAGATTCATTTGTGAGAATTGTTCATAGGGGTCTAACATCTGCTTCAGTCATTGTGACCTCATCTTTATTGAAAAGGAAAGTTGTTTTGGAACTACAATAGTGGGCTGAGATAAACTGTCTCATAGTCTCATATTTAATTAAATTTTCAAAATGTTTTTGATTAAAACTACCCGGATATGAACTGAATGTCGAAACAGGTTAGACATTTCAAATTGACTTTGTAATAAGTTAAAAACAGGTCAAGAGACAGGAAATGAAAACTGGAGGTGAGCAAGGAAAATCTCAGAGTAGAAAAAGGTTCATGGAAAGTTGTTTTAGAATGAGTGTTTTTAAATCTATTGATTAAACCCTTGAAAGAAGGTACATAATGACAGAGCAAGATGTGTGCAAAGTAGAGGATGGCAAGAAATAAGAAAACATTTGGAGAAGATGTGCTTGCCTATAATGTGTGATTATTGGCCGGGCACAGTGGCTCACGCCTGTAATCCCAACACTTTGGGAGGCCAAGGCGGGCAGATCACGAGGTCAGGAAATCGAGACCATCCTGGCCAACATGGTGAAACCCCGTCTCTACTAAAAATACAAAAATTAGCTGGGTGTGGTGGCGCGTGCCTGTAATCAGCTACTCGGGAGGCTGAGGTGGGAGAACAGCTTGAACCAGGGAGTTGGAGGTTGCAGTGAGCCAAGATCGCGCAACTGTACTCCAGCCTGGTGACAGAGTGAGACTCCACCTCACAAAAAAAAAAAAAAAGTGTGATTATGCTACAGTTCTTTCTAGAAAGCATTGCATAATGGAGATTCCCACTAAATTTGTAGATCTTGCTGCTATTTTGAAAGCCACCATTTCTGATGACTTACTTTATTGCACCATTGGCACAGCCCCCTGCCCCCCCATTAAAAATAGAGGAACACGTGACTTGGTTCTTTAGGCTTGAATTTCTCAGCAGCCTATAGATAAACAGTTCGCAGTCTTGGTGATTTCAGTCTTGGACATTTTTCTTTCAACTGGGGGACAACCTAGTGACAATCTCCATCATTTCAAAAAAATATGGAACATTTTAAAGTAAACTTTTTATTAAGGTGTAACACACAGAAAAATGGGCAAGTCGTAAGTGGACAACTCAAGGAATTTTCATAAAGTAAGCACACACTTGCTTGCAGTTACATCCTAGAACAAGACACATAGCATTACTAGCTCAAGTGAAGCCTGTCATGCCTCCTTGGCACCACTATCCAGCCAGGGCTGATGTCTATCCTGACTTCAAACATCACAGATTAGTGTTACCTTTTTCAAACTTTAATGGAATCATATAGCATGTATTCTTTTGTATTTAGTTTCTTTCACGCAACACTGTGTTTGTGAGTTTCATCAATGTAGTGGTATGTAGGTGTAGTTCACTTATTCTCAATGTTATAGAATTCTATTGAATGAATATATCACAAATTACTTAGTCATTAAATTGTCGATGGACATTTGAGTCATTTCCAATGATGACCTATTACAAATTGTGCTGACGTGAACATCCTACTACATGTCATTTGGTAAATATGTCTGTGTATTTGTGTTGGGTACATATCTAGGAGTGTCATTGTTGAGCCAAAAGGTATTTTTCATAGGCTCAGCTTTAGTATTGACTTCCAGTTTTCCCAAGTGTTAGCACCGATTCATTCTCTTACAGCAGTGTGTGAGAATTCCAATTGCATTTCCACCTCTCCTCAACACTTGCCATTATGGATCTTTTTCTTTAAAAAATTTAATGTCTTTAAAATTTTAATAGGAGGCTCTATTATAAACATCTATAAACCTTTTTAACAAATTGCTTGACTTTAAAGGAAAATCATTTTTTAAAAATCACAAAGTTTGTAAACCTACTGAGTTTTGCTTGTAAATATTAGCTGTTCTTTCTGTGTGTGACCAGTCAAAATATCTCGACTCACATGTTTTGCTTGATATTTCACTGAATTCAATTCAATCCAATGTGAACATCAAAGATACGTGGGATTATGAACTTCAAATTAACGTTAAAGAATGCTTTTAGGAACTCTACAGATTATTAAATTTTAACTTACTTTGTACCTATCTTTTAAATCTATTTCATCAGAAACTATTGATAGGAATGATTCACTTTTAGTTAATGTATCTTTTTCATTGTAGCCATTCTGATGAGTACACAGGGGTCTACTATTGTGGTTTTCAGTTGCATTTCCAAAGAGGGAACATTTTAACAGCAAAAGTAGAGTATAAATGAAGAAAAAGAGATAATCCTTTCCCAAAGAGAATAGTTTGGCAACTTTTGTTGACCTGCAAATTTTTATACACACATACATATCAAAAATATGAATGCTGGAAAATGACAACATAACATTTTCCTTTTACCATGTTACTTGGATCTTCGTTACTTTTTGACATGCCTGTGTTAGTTAGTTTGTGTCTTTGCTCCTGTTGTTATCTAGTTCAACATAAACTCAGGAAAGGGAGCCTGGGTATTCCTTTTGTTCTGGTATTTCCATTGTTATTACATTCATAATTGAAATTGGAATGAATAGGTATATACTGATTCTGTGAACCTAGAATGGAATATTCTGACCAGACTGAGAAAAGCCAGTCGATAGCTCATATGCCTGAGGCTCCCCGCAGGGCTAGGACGAGAGTGTGGGTTGGCTGGCTTTCAGGACCAGAGACAGGGACCTTTCCTGGGCATGTGCCTCTCTGCATGGACTCACAGGGAAGACTCTGAACCTACCTGGACCTACCAACATAGACAGAAATGTATCTCAGAGGAATGTTCTCACTGGTAGTATCTGTCATTGACCAGCACAAGTCCACAGAGCAGATTTTAGAAAGAACAGCTCGAGCCGATTCTAGAGGCTGTGCTATATCACTCAAACACTTTCTCTGCATGGATTGGCCCATCTTAGCTCCCACTGAACAAACCCTTTGGCAATCCATTATTACCCACCTACTAAACATTCTTCCCAAAAGCGTGACTTCTGCCTTGTGGAAGGCTAGAAACTCATCTCACTGGACTCGCTAGCTGAAGCTCAAAGTATTTGAGTTGCTCATCAGAAAGTTGTTCAAGGACAAATTTACCATGAATTATCAACCCTTAAGCTTCAGAGCTTTTCACTTGCAAAGACCTTTTGTAATACCCTGTATCTAATGTAATTTTGCATTCGTAATTTTGTGTTCATGCTCTTAAAGAGGTCTCGCTTAAAATTGTATAAACTTCAGGTCCCAGCAAACCTGGATAAGCACCTGGCTTCTGATGTCTAACATCTTATTTGACTGATTTTATTTATTTGTTTATTTGTCTTTGAAAGAGAATTTAGAAATTGTATAGACGACTAACAATTCTTTGTGACAGAACATTACAATTAGTTGTGAAGTGTGTTTTGATTAATGAGAATAGTGGCCACTATTCACTGAGTGCTCATTTTGCCCTAGGTACAAGTTTCAACAGGATTTCCTTAAACATTCATGACACTCCTAGGAGAAAGACACGACTACTGTATTATCCTTACTTTTCACAAGAGGGAAGTGAGCCTCAGAGGAGTTAAAGAAACGTGCCAGGATCATATTTCTAGAAAGTAATAAAGCCAAGGCACTTTGCTTTTGCTAATAATGACCTACTAAAATGTTTAAATGATTTTCTATCTCAAACCTGCTTAAAACATAACCTAGTACAAATTTACTAGCATCCCCAATATTAAATTTTCAACTGTCTAGTAGGTATGTTCTCTGTTGGGAAATAATTTGTCTAACGCAAGTTCATCTCATTCATGACATGTTATCTCATTCATGACATGTTAAAAAAGACAGTCTATTCCCATGTGAATATCAGTCATTTTCAGTGGAGGAAAAATATTAAGAATACCTGAGCTGGAATACCTGTCTGCCATTGTTTCAGAGGGTATGGGAATGGCTACTCATGCTCAGGAGTGGGAGATTGGCTCGCAGCTTGATGCAGCATCAATGCCATACTCTGCCCCCAACTCAGCAGACCTCAGAGGCAACCTACAAATCTTCAGACTTATTAAAGAACTGGCTACACAAAAGCCTGAACAAAGCTGAGTTCATTTTCATGGTTTCATGGTTTCACTTTTTTCCCGACTTTATTCAGTCTCACAAACATTTTCCAGCATCGGATAATATAATCTTGAGCTTTGGATTCAGGCCAAGACGTCATTCCTTTGCTATTTAATGAAAACCTTTCCTAACTTTTTAGACCCAAGTAAGACACTGCTCCTGACAGTATAGGTCTTTTGAAAATTTAGTTCACTGTGATTATTTTTTTCAAGTAGCTGTATAATCATTAATATAAATCATTCTGTTGAAGAACACATTAAAGGAGGTGAAATAATGCTGTATAGAACTATAAAATCTATCCACTAATGTCAAGTGACAGAATAAGATGTCATTGCCTTTCTTCTCCCCACTGAAGGAACAGGGATTAAAATGTAGCGCAATTAAAGACGTTTGGGGAGAATATTAGCAAATCTCACTTTACTGTGTGAATTTCTACGTATCATGGGCTTCTAAGTTTGGTTTTTCCTTGATTTAATCTACATAAATGAAAAAGCCATTTGGAAAACTTATAGTATGGATAGCATGGCATTTTTCCTCTAAGGGAGAGGTAATGGGATGGTTTTTCCTTCCTGGTATTTCAGTATCTACTTAGCACATTATAAGCATGCTTTCTGCATTGAGGTTTATGTCTATACTTGTAGTACTAGTGAGATGCTACCTTTTTTTTTTTTATATAAGATCTTACTCTGTTGCCCAGGCTGGAGTGCAGTGACATGATCACAGCTCACGGCAGCCTCGACCTCCTGGGCTCAAGTGATCTTCCCACCTCAGCCTCCTGAATAGCTGGGACTACAGGCGTGTGCCACCACTAAGCCTGGCTAATGTTTTGTAATTTTTTGTAGAGACAGGTTTCACCATGTTGCCCAGGCTGGTCTTGAACTCCTGGGCTCAAGCAATCCTCCTGCCTTGGCCTCCAAAAATGCTGGAATTTCAGGTATGAACCACTGTGCCTGGCCAAGATATGACTTTAAATATGCCTGAAGCACTTCCACGTTCTGTAGTTCTCAAAGTGGCTGCAAAGTTTTAATGAAAGTGTAGTAAATGACAAATGTTATTATATTAGGTGCCTGAGGAAAGTGGGATAAATGAGTGAATTTTCTTCCTCCAGAATGAGAGATTTTTCAAGATGAGTGTGAGTAGGTGAATTATATGGCTCTTCCTCTCCAGCTTTCTTTTGGAATGAGGTTTTAGTTTTTTTCTATGAGGGAGGAATTTGCAACTTTCATATTACTTCTTTGCTCCTAATGTATCAGATAGTGTAGGGGCCAAGGAGAAACCTTCTCCTTCACCCTCTGAAGATTCACTGGAAATCGACTCACAAAAGGAGAAATAATATTCAAGTTGATTAATGCCCACATGAGAAGGAACGTCAAAGTGATTGCCCCACTCTGCCCTGAGGTGCAGAAGCACATATACCATCTTGAGGTTACAGAAAGACTGGGGACGTGGATTTTGGAAAAACAGGTTATGGGAGGGGAGAAGAGGCCCGGCTAGCAAAGAGGATCTTATTGTGTAGATGAAATCTCATAGGTAGCAGCCCTCAGAGAGAAGAGATGGTGAATGTTTCTTTCAGATCTTTAAGGAGTCAGAGTGTTAATCTTCCTCACATTCGGAAAACGAAGGGCCTCAGAGAAAGCCTGGGTGCATCAGTGCAGATTTCTTCTACAGAGCAAATCTCTCCTACAAAAGCCAGCTTTGCGGGGCTGCTTCTGTCTGCTGGCTCTCTGAACAGCCATCTCCAAATATGTCAAAGAAATATATTTTGGGGTGAAATATTTTTATTTTCTTCAGTAGCAAAATCAAAGCCACTATTTAAAAAGGGTGGCATTAGGGAAAGATTCTTGGCATCAGAGTCATTTTATATTTGAGTATGAGCTACATACTTGGAATGGACTGAATGTTTGTGTCTCTAAAATTCCTATATTGAATCCTCATCCTGAAGTGATGGTATTAGGAGGTGGGGCCATTAGGAGGTAACTAGGTCATAAGGGTGGAACCCTTGTGATGGGATTAGAGCCCTCATTAAAAGGGACTCCAGGGAGCAATCTCTTTTTGTCATGTGAGGACACGTGTGACTATAACAAAAACCACTCAATTGTATACTTTAAAAAGGTAAACTTCATGCTTTTTGAATTACATCTCAATAAAGCTGCTTTTAAAAAATACATGTAACCTTGTAAAATCTATGCATTTTATGGGCACATGTTCCTTTAATACATAAATGCCATTGTGCTATTAAAAAAAGCATAGCCACAGTTTGCTGGTGGCTACTGTATTGAACAGCACCAATTTAGAACATTTCCATTATCTCAGTAGGTTCTGTCTGACAAGGCTGCCCAAGAGAGAAGATACTCTATAGATAGTAGGTTCTCAGAATATTCTTCCCCGCTTCTCACTATTATTCCCTTTTAACCTTACTTCCAAGCATGTACATTTGTTGAAATGATTGTTTTGAAATCATCTATAAGACTTGTTTCAACTCTAATAAAATTCTTCCAGAAAGCTCTAGGGGAAAGATATTTCTTTTACCTAACATCCATTTCTCCAATCCTGGCTATTCTTATTTTAAAATTTTTCCTTGGAAGTATTGGATATTTCATACTTGGGGTATTGATGTTGGAGGCATCTAATCTCATCCCAGTAAATAAGTAGATACCTTTTCTAGTAGTAGACTTAGAACACTGTATGTCATTGGCACAAATTATTAATATTTTCATTGGGAGAATTAGCTACTAAAGATTTTAAATTCCTTAACTATACTCAAAGGGCAAAAGAAGTGACAACTAACATATATTGGAATATGGTCTGTGTGCCAGGCCTTGCTAAGAACTCTATATTTAGTGACTCATTTAATCCTCAGAACTCTATGAGGTAGGTACTACTATCCTCATCTTGCAGATAAGTGTATAACTGGAATATAATGTTTAGCCTCTGTAATCTGAACCCAACTGTGTGCAAATCAGATGGGAATTCACTTTACCCAAATCCATGACAACAAGACCTGGCATTGAATAGAATCCATCATTGGCCACAGCAAACCTAATGAAACTGTAGATCATACAACTTCCTGGGTGACTACATGTCCTGGCAATTTACTCAGGTCTTTCTCTTTCTCTGAATTGGGAGCATAGAATGAAAACAAGTTGTGAGCAACCTGAACCCCACAGGCCACATGTGAGGCACATTTAACCTGCTTTATGCCTTTGGGGCTTTGCTCCTTGATTATTTTAAACAACTTTATTAAGGTATAATTTATGTACCATGCACTCATTTAAATATATAAGTCAATGATTTTTAGTAAATTTACCGAGTTGTGCAAGCATCACCATAATCACATTAAGATCCCTTTTGCTCATTTTCAGTTCATTCCTGTTCCCATCTCTATTCCCTGGCAACCGCTACTCTACTTTCTGCCTCTATAGATGTACCTCTCTGAACACTTCGTCTAGATGAAATCATACAAGACATGCTCTTTCGTGATTGCCTTCTTTCATTTAGCATAATGTTTTCAAGATTCATCCATGCTATAACATGTATCAGCACTTCATTCCTTTTTACTGCTGAATTGTATTTCCTTAAATGGATATCCCACAATTTGTTGATCAGTTCTCCAGTTTATGAGCGTGTGGGTTGTTATCACATTTTGGCTATTAGGAATAATGCTGCTATGATTTTTTTTTAACTTTCTACTGCTTTCTCAGATTATGCAATATACACACAACTTCTCATTTTTGTCTCTGCCCCCACCCCTCCTAGGTATAGACAAGGAATAAATTAAGACCCCAAGGCCAGTAGATATGTCTCCTATCTGGGGCAAATTATTTGTAAGTCCTTATCCAGGGCTCTTGGATGCTTAAGTTAAAGGGCTTATGTATTTGGAGAAGTGACTGTCTTATCTTGTATATCTATTTGGTGATAGAGGAAATATGGTGGTTCCCATGTTGGTGGCTTCGTGTCTCCAAACTGCAGGATTGCACAGTAAATCCTCCTATATTGCCAGCTTTGTGACTTGCCATTTACTTGGACTTTACAATTGTGCATAAAGACCCCCCAAAATCTCAGTTCTTAAGGTGTTTTTTACCCTTCCGTTTTAAATCCCTTCCTTCAGTAAGTAATTTTACAGTTTGGTCCCTGGAAGTCTCTGAGAAAAGTCATTACTTACCATGATTTAAATTTGAAGAGAAAAACATTGTGACACCCAGGGAAGGAGAATTCAATTCTAGTTCTCTAAGCGGAAAAGGGATGGCTTCAAAAATTCAGTGCTGGATGTCTGTAAGAACAAGTGGGGGAACCTCTACTACAAGTGTTCAGAATGGAGCTATCCCTTGCTCGGTTCCTTATCATTTGATTTATGCCTCACTCAGTGTGTCAGTCCTAATGATTTTTCACTGGCTTTCCAAATAGACATTACTTCTATAACCGCAACAACAGTGTAAAATATGCTGCAAAGTTTGCCCTGAAGGGAAGCACTGTCTTTTTTTTTATATATTTAAACAAGGGTACAGAATGCTGGAAGCTATCATCAATGCTAGATGGAGAGAATGCAATATCTCTTTCCATGATGCTGCAAATGTCATTGCTGGTAGGTCTATTAATAGCCCAGAGTGATTTTTGACCTTGGATTTATTAAATTAAAGAAGCTATAAAAATAGAGATGAATAGAATGAACTAACTGATGGAAATCCAGGGCATAGTCCCCATTTAACTATTTTCCCTTATGGATATTTAGCATATTATGTGGGGGTGGGAGTACAGAAATATACATAAAATTAATGTTTTCTGTATAACTCCTTTCAGAATGTAAATATTACTCTCAACTTAATCTGATTGAAAATAAGAAATCTTGTCAAGTTCACATACTCTCATTTTCTGCCATGTTGTTTGTTTTCAAGGAACCACTGCTGTGTTCTTAACAAAGTATCATCATTCTTTTTTTGTTTTCTTTTTTCTTTTTTTTTTTTTGAAATGGAGTCTTGCTCTGTTGCCCAGGCTGGAGTATAGTGGCGCAGTCTTGGCTCACTGCAACCTCTGCCTCCCAGGTTTGAGCGATTCTCCTGCCTCAGCCTCCCGAGTGTAGCTGGGATTACAGGCATGCGTCACCATGCCCAGCTAATTTTTATATTTTTAGTAGAGATGGAGTTTCACTATGTTGGTCAGGCTGGTCTTGAACTCCCGACCTCATGATCCACCCGCCTTGGGCTCCCAAAGTGCTGGGATTACAGGCGTGAGCCACCGTGCCTGGCCACAAAGTTCCATCATTCTTTTGGAAAGCAGGGCATCCGGGGAGGGAGCGGTTTTCCTCTTTCCTTTCTCACACTTATGCAGTTGGTTATAGTTCATCTATTGGAGGACAAGGTTGGGGACCCTCGGTGTCTCATGTGTGACATCAAAATCTCTACCTCATTTGGTGATGACCACAATAGACATTTAAGGCCATCCCTGGGACTTGACTGAGCCTGTGAATCACGCTTGATGGAGCTGCCCCTTCTGAGATTTTGAGTTAATGCTACTTTTCTATTTTTAATAGCATTCTTTGATTGTTCAAAGTTTGCTTTTGCTTTTATGTTTGTTTCCCTGGTAGGCTTATCAAGTTGAATGTTACAAACATAGTGGTTCAGGTACATACTGTACATACTGCACTATACCTTGATCATTAAAGGAATTTGATATTTTAGGTTATGGACCCAATTAAATGATACCAGCCATGTATGTCTCAGTGTGAATAAGTTCATTTTGATTCTATCCTGAATCTGGTTGGGATTAGGAGGCATTGAGACCAAACTCTGGTAATTATAAAATTTTGCAAAAGATTGGCCCACTTAGTGAGTTGAGCTTGAAAATATATAGTTCACTGGGAACATATGGGGATGCCTTAGTTGAGGGCAACCATCCATATATGTACATTGGCAAGCCTGATGTTTTCAGCCTCGTTTTTTTTATATCAAAACTAAACATGTAGGGGGAAAAAAGATGAAAAAAAGATTGCTGTGTCATTTCCCTTTTACTCAAATTCCAATTATGAACAAGTCTGAGTCACTATTGGTTAACAGTCTTCTGAGATGTTAAGAGTAGTCATGCAGGCCAACTGATACAAATTCCTTCTTATCTTCCCACAAACTTAACAGGTACTAAAATCTCATCATGCTCTGGGTAATTCCTGACATTTCCTTACTAGTTACAAACTAATTGATTGCCAAACTCTGAGTCCATGCTACATGTTCCTCCATAGAGACGGCAACCAAATCTTTGGGAAACTATTTCAAGAAATGAGTGTATTTGACAATTATTTGGTGTTCAAACAATGTAGTTTTCTGAGAGTTATGCTTCTGCTTTATGGTTTATTTATTTTCTAGTCACTTGGGAGAAACTCAGAGACATCTGTAGCTTCTTGTATTCTATGGCTTTTTTTTGCTAAAATCTCAAGCCATGAAAAGAAAAAAAAAAAAAAAAACGGTAAGTATTTTGAACCCTGCAGACCTAAAGGAAGCTCTGAGGCTTTGGAAAATGATCACAGAAGTCACCCAATTTTGTTCTCATTTTGTCAGCTCACAGTCATTAGAGAAGATGAAATTTCTCTGAAAAAACAATGAGTCAATGCAGTGTAATTGTTGAGTTTAATGGCCTTATCTTACAAAATAATGCAAACTGGTTATTTCTTGAACTATGTCAGACTGTGCAATCCTGACATTGCACTTTTCTGAATCTAGCATTTAAGGTACATTTCAAAGAATACTTCTGTTTGGTTAAGAGATGGCTTTTACAAATAGCCAGAACAATGAAATTTCAGTTGGAATATTAAGGAAACCTCTGTAGGACTGCATAAGCAATAAAATTGTCAAGGGGAATAATGGGTTTGCCAACTCTGGAAAGGTTCCAGGCTCAACTTGACATCACCTCTCTGTGATAATTTAGAAACCACAGGAGCAGGCTTGCTTTAATGCAGAAGAGCAGGTGGATGAGCCACTGGGCTTTGCTGGGAATGCCAGTCCTGTCTTTCCATTCCCTAAGATTTGATTGGTTAGCTTTTTCTGCTCACAGGGAAAAAGTTAGATGCAACTTGCTAGATGCAGTTTGAACCCAGTGATTTTCAAATATTTTGAGAAAATGACACGTTTTTGCATTATTTTTTGTGTATTTTGGTCTTTGGATATATATTTGAATATATATTTCAGAGTATATTAGGGCTTCTGTAACAAACTGGGAGGCTTAAAACAACAGAAAGATATTCTCTCACAGTTCTGGAGGTCAGAGGTCCCAAACCAAGGTGTTCTCATGATTATGCTCCTTCTGAAGGCTCTAGGGAAGCATCTTTCCTTGTCTCTAGTAGCTCCAGGCATTTCTTGGCTTATGGCAGCATCACTCCAATCTCTGCCTGTGTCTTCACATGGTCTCCTGTGTGTTTCTTCTTTTTGGCCTACTATACCTTATCCTCTTTTTCTCATTGGATTTAGGGCCCAGCCAGGTAATCTAAGATTCAACCCATTACAGACAGCAAAGGGGACTCCATTAAATCAGTAGGTAGTAGAAATATGTCCCTTTTTTTCTTCTAGCTTATATAGGCAATCTTAATCTTCTCTGGGTCTTTGGAAATATTAGGAGGGAAAGTCTGTCATCTAGAAACTTTCTTTATCCTACCCAATAGTAACTGACGATTCTTTTTTTTTTTTAGTTTTTATTTTTTTATTTTATTCTTTTTATTATACTTTAAGTTCTAGGGTACATGTGCACAACGTGCAGGTTTGTTACATATGTATACGTGTGCCATGTTGGTGTGCTGCACCCATTAACTCGTCCTTTACATTAGGTATATCTCCTAATGTTATCCCTCCCCCCTCCTCCCACTCCATGACAGGCCCCGGTGTGTGATGTTCCCCACCCTGTGTCCAAGTGTTCTCATTGTTCAATTCCCACCTATGAGTGAGAACATGTGGTGTTTGGTTTTCTGTCCTTGTGATAGTTTGCGAGAATGATGGTTTCCAGCTTCATCCATGTCCCTACAAAGGACATGAACTCATCATTTTTTATGGCTGCATAGTATTCCATGGTGTATATGTGTCACATTTTCTTAACCCAGTCTATCGTTGTTGGACATTTGGGTTGGTTCCAAGTCTTTGCTATTGTGAATAGTGCCGCAATAAACATACGTGTGCATGTGTCTTTATAGCAGCATGATTTATAATCCTTTGGGTATATACCCAGTAATGGGATGGCTGGGTCAAATGGTATTTCTAGTTCTCGATCCTTGACGAATCGCCACACTGTCTTCCACAATGGTTGAACTAGTTTACAGTCCCACCAACAGTGTAAAAGTGTTCCTGTTTCTCCACATCCTCTCCAGCACCTGTTGTTTCCTGACTTTTGAATGATCGCCATTCTAACTGGTGTGAGATGGTATCTCATTGTGGTTTTGATTTGTATTTCTCTGATGGCCAGTGATGATGAGCATTTTTTCATGTGTCTGTTGGCTGCATAAATGTCTTCTTTTGAGAAGTGTCTGTTCGTATCCCTCGCCCACTTTTTGATGGAGTTGTTTGATTTTTTCTTGTAAATTTGTTTAAGTTCTTTGTAGATTCTGGATATTAGCCCTTTGTCAGATGGGTAGAATGTAAAAATTTTCTCCCATTCTGTAGGTTGCCTGTTCACTCTGATGGTAGTTTCTTTTGCTGTGCAGAAGCTCTTTAGTTTAATTAGATCCCATTTGTCAATTTTGGCTTTTGTTGCCATTGAGCAACTGGTGATTCTAAATTACATTACTACCAGGATATTTTGCTCTTTGAAAATACTTGCCTCATGGGTGATACTTTTTCAAGGCCCATATGTCAAGTATTAGCTAAATGTTTGCATTTCTCTTTGAGTCCTGGGACAGACAGGCAGGGCTCACAGGGCATGGAATTTAGCAGTGGTTACATCTCAAGACTGTATAAGTCCCAAGAGATCAGCTACTAGCTGACACGCTAAGGAGAGGGATGTCAGAAAATTCTCAGCAGCAGTGGAGGAAAGCGGAAGAGGAGTGGTACCCAGATGAAGAGTGAATAAAATCCCCCTAAGCCACCATCAGAGACCAGGCCAGCCACTCTTCATTTCCATGGCCCATACTGCCAGGGCTTTGATGGGTACATAGTATTCCACAAGTTACAGTGCCAACCAAATACAGTTGCAGGTACCTATCATTAATGTTATTTGGCACATTAAACAACTCAGACACCCTACCTTTGAGTCACCGTTTATTCCATTGTTGTGGCGTGTGTGCATTGTAAAGAAGAACTTGACAGCCTCTTTAGGGAGTGCGGTGACAAGTTGCCAACATGACAGCCAGGAAGTGGCATCTTGCAAATAAAGAAGCAGGTGATGGCCCTAGTGTTAGCACCATGTGGTTAGAAACAGGAGAGTACATTAGGTGATGGAGAGCACTTAGGAATGAGGTCAGCTTTTCTAAGTTTCATTCAAACAACATCTATTGCAAGTTCATTACAACCCATAAGAAACTTCATTTGCTGTTTAGAATCTATGAGGTGTCAGAAACTTATGTTTCCATATCAAGGAAAAAATGAAATCTCCATTTTTTCTCAAGATAGATGAGGAATCAGATCCTCCACCCCCAAGCCCTACCCCACTGCCACACACACACACATACACTTCTAAAATATAGTGTATTCATAAAAAGTGTGAGGTATAGTAAGGCCAACAGATCAGGAGATGACTGCCACTGAAGAGACAGTTTGTTACAGTTCCCAAGAGGAGGGGGTCTATTACACCATGGTGGGGCATGTGGGAAAGCACCAGCATAGGTCAAGAGGCGGAAGGAGAAGGGTGCAACTGTGTACAAGAGTCTTTACTTGTGGTTTTCATGGGAAGGAACAGGTAAGGCAGGATGATCAGGCTTGGGAGTGGCCAGTTTCAGTCATTTCGGCCTGCTCTGGGGCAAAGCAGGTGTCCTTGGTTTTCTGGCTCCTGGCCCTGGGGTGATTAGGGCAGGTGGATGGTGGCCTGGAGTATGAGAGCTCCATAAAGGAGGTGGTTGGGCTGTGGGCTGTGTATTGGTTGGTTTGTATTTGAAAACTGTGCCCTCTGGAGGAAGAAGACTCCTGAAGAGAGATAGAGATGGTGAGGGAGGCAGGAGTCCAGGCAAGGTGACTCAGGCATAACATCCTATTATCTAAAGCAAGATGTGTCAGGTAGATGTTAAAGCACCAAGATTATATAGAAGCTAGAAACATGGTAAATATGCACCCCGTCATGTGCGCCCCCCGCCCTACCACCAACAAAGCCATAGAGACTGATTTGTTGAGATTCAAATAGCTTCCCCTGGTTGGAGACTACTTGAAGTCCTGAAATTCTCATTGGTTGGTTGATTCCTTTCTTTCTTTACTTATTCCTCAAAGTCTAATGCACATCAGCCAGGAAAGTTATACCTAGGGGTAGGCTTCCAGCTCCTGACCTCACCTCTACGTGTCCTGGCCTAGAGGCCCATTGCGTTCAGCTGGTGTTCTGCTGAGACATGGCCCTTAATTTGATTCTGTATCTTTGTAAACAGCCCATTTGAGAACACATCTGGGGCTTCCTTCCTGGAAACCAAGCTCAAGGGGGTAGATGGGAAGCAGAAACCTGAAACTGGTGGTGAACATGAACCTACTTTGCAGTATGAAGGATCCTTTGCCTTTCTTTTCCACTTCTTGATGCCAGGATGTTTGGAGAGGGTGGGAGAAGGGAACCTAAAATTTGAAGCAGAAGATCTGAGTTCCAATCAGAGACTTGCACCTCCCTTCTGTGGGACCTTGGGCCGGATACACCTCTCAGCCCAGGCCTTACAGCTCTAAAACATGGGTAATTCCTGCTAGAGGGGTCGATTAGATGGTTTGAGAAAAGGCTTTGCAGATAAGATAGAGCTCTATCAGTGCCTTTCTTGATTGTGGTTCCTGGCCACATGGGTATAGGGACAGGCAGTTTTGAAGTAGTGAGCTTATCATCAGCACCCTTGGCTTCAGTTTTGTGGCTCCTATTCCTACCTCACACTGTTCTTTTCACCAAGTGCTGGGGCCTTCCCACTGTCCCTCTGTTGTCTGAGCCTGTCTTTTTGAGGTCAGACCTCTTTCCATACTCCCACGATTTCATGGCCTATAATATGTCCTCCTTCTCCTTCATCTCTTTGGATTCACTTGCCTCTACCCATTCCATTAGGGCCATTCCAGGTAGAAGGGCACCTGTCCTGCCACCAGGGCAGGGGCAGGGGGCAACCAAGGGAGGAGAGGGCTGGAAGTTTTTATTTTCTGTGTCTTGTCTCAAGTTTTCCACCTTATTTCTGCCTTCTGTCCTACCATCTTCTTTATTTTATTTTCTACTGTATTTTCTGCTCCCTGTAAGTCATTCCTGTGTTCTTTTATTTGTTCATTTATTCATTCAATAATTCCATTCACTAGGCTCTGTGCTCAGCACTGGAGAGAGATGAATAAGCGTTGCCCTCAAGGGTTCAGATTGGCAACAAACAACTGAATAATTAATGCCCTAAAAATGTGTTTTGCCTTATGATAGGGGTTGGGATAGAGTTGGAGAAACTTGAGGCAGGAAGCTGCTGAGTTGGCCTTGGGGTTCAGGGAACATCAGCAGAAGTAAGACTTCAGCTGGGTCTGTCTGCAGTACACAAAAGGGTTTGCCAGGCCAAGAAAGTGCGAGGTCATTTCAATGAAGGCAAAGAATATGGTCAGCCTTACAAAGGGATGTATCAGGAGTTTACTGTTGGTGGACATAGAGGATGGGACCTCGGGGCCATAGGAAGCTGATGAGAAAGGTGAGGCTGAATGATGATGAACCTCCTTGCCATCAGGAAATTGAAATGCATCCTGGAGGCTGTAGGCAACCAGTGGGATTGAACAGGGGAGTGAGAAAATTAGACAGGATCATATTAGCAAAACATAACTCTGATGGCAGTGCAGAGGGTGGACTGGAGGCACAGAGACTAGTTTCAGAGTCTAGGTGGGAGTTTGCAGCAGTTGTCCAGAATAGAGATGAAAATCACATAAATAAACCAAGGCATTAGCAATTTTCATGCATTTATTCATTTATCAGAAATGATGCAGACACTGTGTATGAGCACACCCACCCAGTGTCCCCATGGGCCAGACTATGCCAGCTCAGGAAATCTGATATCTCACAAGAGTGATCCAGTCCTTGCTCTGATGGATATACAGTCTCTTAGGAGAGAGGCATTGGATCCAGTGACACACGGCCAAGTGGCATGTGCATTGAAATAAATCTGCATGGGGCTGTGGGGCATTGAGCAGGGGCTTTGAGCCAGTGCCACTTGAGCCGAAAGTTGAATGGGGCTGAGTGTATAGTAGCTAAGTCTTGAGGTGGCTGAAGCACAGAGGACCAGGGTAGAGGGGTACCAACCCAGCAGGGTCCACTCTGTTCTGCTGCTTCTCTCTCTGGGTGGGCTGCTGCCTGCGGTGATGGCCAGGGCAGGGAATATCATCAAAAACCAGGCAGGCACACAGACTCTGCACTTCAGGCCAGCTCCTTGGGGGCATCAGGAGACCAAGCCTTTGCTTTTCCTGGTCCGTGGCTTGTACTTGCCTGGGAGCAGGTGAAACAGCAGAGACATATACAACCTTGCTTTTCCATTCACATACCTGCCTAGACTTAGTGGGGGAAGAACAGGATGACTAGAAGTTCTCAAACATGAAGGCTCGGTTTTCTGTAAACTCCAAACTGCCCCTCCCCTGCCTTTTTGCCCTTTCTAAATACAGATGAGGTTTCTATCCAGCTGGACCACCTCTGGGTGGGCAGTACTGCCCCTTCCCGATCCCATTCCGGCCTGCACATATAGCACTGCAGCATTGCCTACCCCAGGGGCACCCTTCACATTTCATGCTAATGAAGGTTGACTCCTGGAATCATGGCTACATTGCACATAGCACCTTCTTGAGTTGCGCAATGAACCATCCTTAGTGGCTGCCCTAATTGCCGATTTCCACTTTGACAAGGATTTATGGATGCCAGTGTGCAGAGAGGAGATTGGAGGGCGTGGGATTCGAGTGGAGATGTAAGGAGTCCAGTTACGGGGCCGCTGCACTCGTTGGAGAGGAGTCGATGGTGCTTGGGGCAGCAGAAGTGTCGGATGGTGGCAATAACCATGAGGGAAAGGAGATGCTTCGAGGTCCTTTCAGGATGTAAAACTGATGGACCTGGTCAGGGATTAGACATGGAAGGTGAAGGAGATGATGTCAAGGCAGAACCTTAAGTCAGGAGATGTTAGGAGCTAGTGAAGAGTTTTGTGGAAGGGATTTATCATGTTACTTAAAAAGGAAATAAGAGAATAAATAGGCTGAATGTACTTTCATCTTCATGTAAAACAAAATAAAAACTCTTCTTAGGAGGCTTGCATACCTGACTATACCTGTCTATCCTCATCACTGACACCCACTAATCAGATCTCTATCTAGGCTTAGGTCCCTGTTCTCTTTCTCACCCATCCTCCTGCATGACCTTAGCATCTGTGGAGATGATGCCTCTAATGCAATGACCATACATTGCCAATCCATTGCAGAAGCCCTCTCTTTCTGGTACATCCCAGAGCTTGGCTTTTCCCCTGGGAGACAGGAGAGTGTGGTGGTGAAGAGCTGGCCCCCTGGAGTAGACTGCCTGGGCTTGAGCAAGTGACTACATCTCTCTGCCTCAGTTTCCTTCCCACAACACTCAGAGGCAAGTGCTAAAGGAGATGAAATATATAAACCAGTGACACTGCAGCCCAAAGCTTTGGTCTGTACCATTTCAGGTAGCTGGAGATAAGTGTACAACAGCTGACGTTACCAGGAGGAAGAAAGAGACTGAATATAATGTACCACCAAAGTTAGAAAAAACAACTAGTATAAATTATTTGTGCTGTATTCTTTCCAGTAAAGTGAGGCCCAGTGCTAAATTAAGAAGGGAATACAGAAATAAAAAGAATGGTTGGCAGATTACTACCTGGCGAGGGAACATGTTTTACATCTTCTGCTCTGTGCTATTTTTTTTTTTTTCAAGTCAAGTCAATAGATTCAAAACATTTAAACATGACCTATTATCTAAAAACAACATGGCTGGGTGCAGTGGCTCACGCCTGTAATCCTAGCACTTTGGGAGGCTGAGGTGGGCAGATCACTTGAGTTCAGGAGTTCAAGACCAACCTGCCCAGTATGGTGAAACCCCATCTCTATTAAAAATACAAAAATTAGCTGGGCCTGGCGGCGGGCGCCTGTAGTCCCAGCTACTCCAGAGGCTGAGGCATGAGAATCGCTTGAACCTGGGAGGTGGATGTTGCAGTGAGCCGAAGTTGCACCACTGTACTCCAGCCTGGGAAACAGAGCGAGACTCTGTCTCAACAAAAACAAAAACAAACAAAAACCCATGATATGTAATAAAAGCTATAAGTTAACACCAAACTTACAAAAAGCATATAATAAATTCAGAACTAATTTAAACAGTTTCTGCCTGTCCTCCTTTCCTTCCCCTTTCCTCTGCCCCGCCCTTCGTCTTTACCCCACTTCATCTTTAGCTACTCTCTCTCTCTCTTCATCAGTAGCCCCCAGAAAACAGAACTTCGTAACATTGTATCATTTGCATTCTCTGATCTGGGGACTCTTTTCCCTTTCAAGGGGCAGTCTGCTGTATGTAAGGGCATTTTTTAAATTAAATAATCTTAAACTTTTATTTTAATTTTTTAAAATTAAAATAAACTCAGTTTTTTTTTTTTCATTTTGAGAATTCTTTAATAGTTTATGACACCACGCAAGTAACTGGAGTCATGCTGGTCTGTCTCCAAACAAGATTTAAGAAATCCTGTGTTAGAGCGTGGGTTATATCATTTAACTAACGCGGGCCTCCTTTTTGTCTGAATTGATTTCAAATTAAATGCAATACATGTATATTTGAGACTTGAGCTGGATACTGTTTCAACATTGGAGACACAAAAAACAAAACTTCTGAATAGAAGATGTGTAGTTTAGAATGGGAAATAGATTCAAATGCATAATTATACAATGTAAGAAGTGTTATAGGTCTATATAAAATACCAAGGTGGCCAATAACCATGCCTGTGGCATTCTGGGAAGACTTCATGGAGGAAGAAGTGTTGTTTAATCTGGTTCTTGAAACGTAAGTAGGAATTCAATAGTTGGAGAGAAAATGGCAGAGTCTCATAGTCAGTGGAAACTGCTGTTATAAAGAAGGGTCCTGAAGTACAAGATGCATGATAGAGTCAAGGAACATATGATGTGAGTGTGACTAGAGATCAGTAAGGAAGGCTGAGGCCAAGTTCAGACAAACAGGCCTAGTTCCTATGCCAAAGAGTTTGGACTTAGTCACTAGTAGTAATCTAAATCATCCATTCAGAGTAGTGACTTTCCTCCTCTATTATATAGAAATATGTATAATATATATATTTTACGTTTCATACGTATATATGCTTTTTGCCTCCTCTCCAATACTTAATGGCTCTGGTTTTTTTATTGGACTGAACTTTTGCATGTGAGCTTTCTAGTGTTGAGCAAATGCTCTTTCATTTATCATAATTTTCCAATTTTTTAAGAAAAATCTTTTCTGCTCAGTAACAAACACAATTCACAAAGAAAGAGAATGTCCACAGGGAATTTGCTTCCAATTGGTCACTTCATTTAAAGTTTTTGAACTGGGGCCGGGTGTAGTGGCTCACACCTGTAACCCCAGCACTTTGGGAGGCCGAGGCAGGAGGATCACTTCAACCCAGGAGTTTGAGACCAGGCTGGGCAACCCAGTGAGACCCCATCTCCACAAAAATAAATAAACAAGAAACAAATATAAAATTTTTGAACTGGGAAAGCAGATGAAGAAATGTAACAAAAAGCAAAAGCCCCATCAATTGGGAGTTATTCTAGCTATTTCACCCAGGAGGCTCACGTCATTACTGTCAGGGAAATGCACTGTCCCTCTGTGCTTGGCCTTGACCATATGGAGGAGAAAAGCTTGCTGGGGGACAAGAGAACAAACCCAAAGGCAATGCTTCCTAGAGCTGCCTGTAGCCCCAGGGCAGTGTCTCTCTCCAAGATTCAGCCTTCCTGCTGCAAAAATCTGCTCACGTGCAAAAGGCAGGGGTTTGGCAGATGCTTACAAAATGTTACAAGTGTTCCAAAGATAAAAGTATTACGTGAGAAGAAGGAAGGATTCTGGTGAACCCTGGCCTGTAGTTGTAATTCTCAAAGTTTTAGTCAGTGCGACAGCTGGCCTTTGTAAAAACTGCTAGAACCCAAACTTTCTTCCTTAAACATGTTTTAAATATTTGCTTCTCAACTGCTTGTCTTCAGGGACTTTATCATTAAGAATATTTGGAACCCAGAAAGCATCTGTGTCTTCAGTGAGATATAAAAATAGACCCAGTCTACTATGCTGTCCAGGGAATCTTATTTTATTAACAAGCAAGTGATATAGTAGTATCATTGCCAAGGGGAAATTTCTCTCTCCTGATTAAGTGTGCTTCCTGTTATTGGATAGGGAATGCAGAAATAGATTGCTTCCCTTTTTGCCTTGACTACCAGGAAACCTGTAGTTTTATTTAACATTAAATTGCTGTACACTAGCTATCTTCAGCCTAGGTTTTCTTAGGAAATTATATCACCCCCTTCTCTATTTGAACTTTGTATACTTGTTTTAATGGTTTTGTAGTATCTGTATTTCTTAGTATAAATTATCCAAATGACATTTACGTTTCCCCAAAAAATCACAATAGGAATTGGCTACCCATATGGCGTAGCCTGTTGTGTATGTATCTCCTGACCTGACCATAGCCCAGCCAGTTTATCTGGTCACCATTAAGTCTGAGAATTATGGTGGCCCAAGATACTTGAGAGGTGGGTAGAATGACAAGAAGAGAAGAAAAAGCATGGGGAGTAGAGGGGGAATGTCCCTCATTAACCCTTATTTTCTAAACTGATTTACTTGTGGCTTAAAAAACTGAGCACGAAATTCCTACATGAAGAGTTTCTTTTGGTTTCATTTTAATATGAGTATTTCAAAGATTCCTTTGCCTTCAACTTGTTAGAATGTCATGACAGTAACGATTGCAATCATTTAAGAAGTCTTTATTATGCTACAGGCAACCTCCAGATCTGCACAATGGTAGTTTCTGGGGAGATTAAATGTGCTACAGTATGCTAAATACTTAGCACAGTGGCTGACACATGAGATTAATAAATATGCCTATGATGATGGTAAAGAATAAATATGAATAGAGTGGCCACATATAGCAAATAAAAATACAGGACGCACAGTTCGATTTGAATTTCAGATAAACAGCAAACAATGTAAGTTTAGTGTAAGTATGGACCCTGCAATACTGGGGACATAACTTATACTAAAAACTATTATCCCATGCAACATTTGGGACATACTTATTCTAAAAATTATTATCCCATGCAATGGTTAAGATATAACTATACCAAAAAAATTGTTTCTCTGAAATTCATGTTTAACTGGGCATTTTGTGCTTTATCAAGCAACTCTAAATGTGAATACATGTAGAATGGTAGCTTCTGATAAGCACTGAGATACTTCCAGGAAACCAGCCCTGCTCCTCTGCAGAGAAGACTCACCCACTCATCATCTCCTGTGCTCATCCAGAAGTCTGGGCTCCATCAGTGTTTCTTGATTTGATTCAGATTTCCTGTCTCTATAGTCAATTTAATGTCAGCCACGGGCAGCTTCCCAGTGTTTGACATTCGCTAACTTTCAGAAGCTGCCGGAAACGTGTCAGCCTTACTCTGGTCTTTCCCAACCTTGGCTGAACAAAAGCATCGCCTGAGAATCTTAAAAATCCTGATACCCAGGTCACATTCCAGACCAGTTACATCAGAATCTCAGCAATGAGGCCAGGTATGGGTATTTTTAATGCTTTCCACGTTAGTTCCAGTGAATGCCTGGGATGAGAGCTGTAGCCTAGCCTTACAGGCCCTCTAAAGCCTTGGCTGAAGCAGTGATGCTGGCTCCTCCCAGGACCTGCTGGAATGTTCCTCCTTGTGTTCTGTTCTACTTTTCACCATCCCTACTAGCAGTATTTCCTCGTCTTCCAAAATAGCAGGGTCTGATTCCTGGTAATGGTGCTGAGACCAGGCGTGCTGGGTTCTCTGAGCAGAGTGTGTCGAGGCTATTGCCTTTTGCTATACAGGTTCTGTACATTGGGCCTCCAGGTTAATTGGGTTTCTAGAAGGATCCTAGGAAGATGACATGTCTTTTTCCTTTTTGTCACATGCTGACAGAGCTGGCCTCCCTTTCAACTGGGTTTGAGGTATTTCCTCAGAGGAGAGTGAGCTCTGAGTTGTAGAAGTGTCTGGGTGTGATTCAATCCAAGCAACAATCCTGAGGTACTGCAGGGCCGAACACCATCTTTCTGGGACTGGGTCCTCAGGACAAGCAAGGAGTTGATGGACCAAACCCTGGTTTCTAGTGCCACAATGGAGCCGAGAAGTCCTTTAGAACTTTGGGGGACAGCACCACTGACTTCTCTCCTCTTGCCGCCTCACCAGTTACAGGATAGTTTCCTTGTATTTTGGTCTTCATCAGGTACAAAGTTTAAAAACCTTGTATAGCTTAGCCCTTGATTTGTAAAGTCAAGTGCATAATCACAATATGCACAACCTAATGTTTTCACAAGGCAGGTTGATCACCCAGTTTGCTCTGTGTGTTCTCTCGATTGAAGTTCTAACCGACTTCTTAGTGGAAAGGAAATAATTCATTCTGCAGAGAGAATATTACATTTCGCATGCTTTAACCTGGGTGTTTAAAAATTCAAATTCTCCTATGACATTGCACTCCCTTTTTTGCATTTTAATTATTCTGGAGCTGTAAAGAGAGTTCAGGCACTAAGTAATAATCAGATGCTGAATGCCTAAACTCTACAGAGTGGTTGCTTTTAAAAACCTCAATCCCAGATAATAAATAGTGGGAGTTTATCAAGGCAAGTGGCATATACTTTTCCTGTGTTTTGATTCAGATGTGTAACAATTTCTACCTGCTGGTTTAAATTGGCCCAGAGAACACCTTTTGTGTTAAGCCCACTCACTGCTAGAAGGAACCAGCATCAATCTGACAATAGAATAATATTATCTCCCAACTAAACAAAGAAAGAAGCCAATAATCCAAAGCCCAAACTGTGCGGTCTCCTGCTATTTTTAGAACTTGAGGGGAAAAGAATCCTCTTTATTGTAAAAATGATCCAATTAAGTACGAAGTTAGCCACTGGGAAACACAGCGTTTTCTTTGCACACCATTTTGGAGACCAGCATTCCTTTTATTAAAGCAGAAAATGAAGCCCACAAAGCTGTCCGCTTTCCAAAGGCGGAACGGAGGGTTCCGGGTTCGCTTGGTTACCTGCATTGCAAATGTCAGCTGGCAGTTCTGGCAGGCTGCATCACCAGCTGCATGAAGTTGCAGAAGTAGCTTGACCTTATCATACTAAGATTACAGAAAACTTCCATCCTAACTCTGACTTAGCTCTCCCTGAATTTCCCCAAAGCCTTAAATTCAGTTTGCCTTTCCTTAGTTCTCCTGGATCTCCCAAATGAGAGCTCTGTAGATTTTCTGCAGGGAAATTATTCTAATTTAACAATAAAGTTGCTGTGCCTAAGTAGATTCATACTTTGAACAGGTTTAAGGAAAACAAAGCTGAGCATCTATAAATCTTTATGCAACTAGGAGCTGTTGATAAGTTTAGGAGTCAGGCTACCCATTCAAAAAGATATTATGTTACAGAATTTTAGACTCTAAATTTTGAGACTAGAGAGAAAGAGACTTTCTTTGAGCCCCAAATTAGAAAGCGTAACTTAAAATGGCAAATCATTTCCCCAAAGCCTATATGATCCATGCCAGAATTATCGATGCTGAGCTTGGACTAACTCCCTAGCCCCGCCAGGCCCCTCACTGCCTGGCCAGCTCTACTTGTTTCTCACTAGGGTGAGGCAAGTCAGCTGCTTGCCTGGGGAGCAAAACTTAAGGGGATGCCAAATACGCTGTAATCAAGATAAATAATATTGGAAGGCAGTCCTTTAAAAAACAAACGAATGCAAAAGAGTCCGAGATGAACAAAACCTTACTTGCCATTTTAAAGAAAGGCAGGATTCAAGAGGGCTAAGATTAGGGTGAGGGTAGGAAGGCAGGGCCATGCAAGCGCAGGGTCGGATCCCATCTTTATATAAAACTTTGGTGTTTTGACAGTTGATGGGTGGTGCTGTTTCTTGGGGGCCAGTATGCATCCAGCTGGCAGTTTGGGTAGTCAACATCACCTGTGCCTCCAAATAGAACAAACAGCTCTATCCTCCATCCCTAGCATATCACTTAGTTCTGCTTTGTTTCCCATTAGTTACCCATTCTCCCCCATTCTATGCTAAGCCCCTAAAACACAAGGATCTTGCCATACTTACCTCTGAATCCTCAGAACCTAGCAGAGTGTCTGGCTCTGGTTTGTGATATGCTTCCCTTTCTGTTTCATTGGTCTTAGAATCATCTTCCAGCCTCTGGCTGTCCAATCCCGACCTAGCGTCTTCTAGACTTGGCTTGTCCATTTGCAGTGACATCTGTAGCACTGGTAGGAATTACCATCTTCACAGGTGAACCTAATGAATGGAAACAGTCTGTAAAGCAGGATGGTTGGCTTGCAGATTATCCACCCTGACCACAGGCAGAGTTGACTTATTAGTTATCTATTGCTGTACAACAAATTCTACTAATTTAGTGACTTAAACAACTCAATTTATAATCACACAGTTTTTCTAAGTCAGAAGTATATGTCGTGACAGGGCTGGATTCTCTAAGGGTTTTACCAAGCTAAAATCAAGGTATCAAGCCAGGCTTGTGGGTCACCACTTCTAGAGCCTGGGTGCTCTTCCAGACTCAGTTTGTTGGCAGAATTCAGTTCCTTGCAGTTGCAGGACTGAGGTCCTGATACTCTTGACATGTGTCCCCTTCATCTGCAAGCCCACAGTGGTACACTGGATCCTTCTCATGCTTCCAGTCCCTCTGACTTCTTCTTCTGCGTTACTTTTCTGCCTTTAAGGGCTTGTGTGATCATTAATACATTGTAGCCATCCATATAATCTGGGATAATATCCCCATTTTAAGGTCAGCCGATCAATAAACTTCATTATGCCTAAAAGTCTCTTGCGATCCAACAACACCACAGACATGACACTAGAAGGTCAAGGTCATCGGGGGCCTAAGTTGTCCCCACCACAGCTGGCAATTCTGAAGGCATCCACATAAAGAAAGCGGATCATTTGCTGTTCCTGTTGGAATTTCAAGGCCCAGCCATCCGTAGTTGCTTCTCAGCTTTTCTTCCCAGCGTATTTGGGAAGATGGGAGGGAGTCAGCTGATTAGAATCACAGAGCTATTTCTGATGGGTCTGAAATCCCTCTTGTGGAATTCTTGTCTTTTTCTGGGACTTAGGCAGAAATATTTCTTTGAGAAATGGGGAAATGCATCCTGAATTCTAAGAACATGAGCCCCATCTGCTCAGGAGGTAGGATCTATCATTCATTCCTGTGTTCCTCGATGGTAGGGCCGAGCATGGCCCATGGGAGGCACTCTGGAAATGTTTACTGGAATAAATGAATGGATACATGAATTGATCCATCCTAAGCATCTTGTATTAGGAGTTTTTGAACTGATATTTATAGTCACCATTTCCTACCAGCTGTTTCCATATACCCCTGAATGCTGGGAGGCCTCATTCGATTGTCCAGGCTCCCTGTGAGCAATCATAATCATAAAAACCTTGCTTCCCTTCTGAGAAAGCTGGATGGAACATTTGCCTGAAAATTTTCCCTCCTAATCATTGGTGCTAACATATGCATCTGTTTCTCCTTCCCTATCACCACTCATGCTCCACAGGCTTATACTAATGGCTTCACATGTCTGTGCTATGATTAGAAACTGAATTTGTATACTTAGGTCTGGTGTTGAGCCCCAGAATCTACTAGATGTTATTTTTTAACCTGTCAATTTACCAACTATTTGTGAAATCTCCTAACCAGATTTCCCATTGACTCCTACGATGAGATTTACATAACTTGATATTTATTTCCACACTATCAATGTGTGCACGTGTGTGGGTGCACGTGCATGTGGACACACACACACACACACACTCATTCACCTGCACACACAGTTTCTTTATCCTTGGTTGGCAGATGTGAAAATTCTGACCATTTGTAAGATATTGGGTGAATTAGAATTTACCAATTATTATTTGGCTTATAACTCAGTCTCCTATGAGTTTGGTTAGTGTAACTTTCCAGAGATCTGCATAAGCCCTGGTTAAAGTGACCAAATAGAGTTTCTTGATCTGCAGAACTGAGCAGAACTCCTTAGACCTGAGTGATGACAGTCTGCATTTCCCAAAGAAATACTTCTGCCAAAGTTCCTGGGTACTTCCTCCCAATGGGGTGCTTGCTGCTCCCCTAGGGTCTCAGTCAACCTCAGTCATCTCACTCCCTGTAACAGAGGTCTCAGGAAAATGCTCCTGCTGTATCCAGATGCATGTTTTCCAAACTCACAGGTTGTGAAATAAGGTTAAGAAAAGGCCTTCCCAGGCCACACTGAGATTCTGCCCTGCATATCTAAACACGAAAGCACACAGGGCAACATATATAGCCATGCAAATTTAATCCCCAAACCAGGCTAGAAAGTTGGGGCAATTTTAAGGGGGACAAAAAATCAAAACAGTGTTGTCTTTGCAACTCAGTCAAATGTGAACTGTACGTGAGGGGAAAAATGTAAAATTAAATGTACCAGGAAAAATGTTTTCCTGCACTGCCGGTAACAGGTAATCAGATGGGATGTTGGCCATGGCCTGGTAGCTACACGTTATTATGCTATCACATACTTTGGACAGTGGCTTTCATTAAGGTTGTGTTTAGTGTTATGGAACAAAGATGAATCAAAGCCCCAGTGCCTGTTTTCCTGGATCCTTTCGAATGAAGGACTGCAGAGCCGTTACTTCTCAGCATAAAACTGACACACCACAATGCATCTGGTGGTCATTTTTCCCAGTCTTGAAAGTTGCTGATTGAAAAAGAGCAGCATGACATTCTGCTCACCCAACATCACCGTCACTCAGAATATCTCCCTGGGTGCAGATGAGAGCTCACAAAAGGTGCTTGTTTTAACAGACAATCACAACGTTTCAGGTGCGTGTGACTGGGTGGATGACATGTTGGCTAGAAGTCGCGATGCTCGCAGAAGTGCAGTGGGTGCTGGCAGTGAAATGTAAGCTAGCCCTGTAATAAAAGCTCCTGGGAATGCAGAGGATGCCTTGGCATTAGGCATTCTCCTCGTGTTTCACATAAATGCATCCTGTTCTCAGGAGCCGACGAGCAGTGCATTTGCACTGGCTCATTCAAATTGAATGTTGGTAAAAGGAGAGTCCTGTGCAAACAGAACAGTCTGGCATCTTTGAAGGCAGGAGCAAGGTTAAGCTATCGGTCGCGTTCTCTGCTGTTTATTAGATGTTATTTGCTGGCCTCAGTGCGCACCCAAGGTACGTTGCAAAGAGGCACCGATGGGGGCGACTGATGCTTGCAGGGCACCCATGCAATTTTGCCTGGGCTCTTTTGGTCAATAAAGTTCAAGGCTTCATTTGTGGTTTCACCTGTTGTCTTCAAGCCTGCCGGGGATAATGTTTTGCTGGAAGAGAAAACTCCTCTGGAGAGGAAATTGGTATTGTATTTTAGTCGTTGTTCTTCTTCTTGTTCAAGGCTACAGCTTTAACTTTGTCACAGCAAGAGTAAGGACAGCGAGCCTGTAGAGAGCTTTTCGCAATGTGCTTTTTCAATTAGTTTTAACGGGAGCGAAGCATCACCAGCAGCAGTGTTCGCTTGCTCTCTAGTCATGTGCTGTGAGGAATAAAGACTCTGTAGGGCAGTGAACCTGAACTTGGCCTATTCATCCATACTGCATTGAGTGATTGCATGGAGTGGAGTCAAATGCCACTTGGGGGTGAAGAGCACTCATCATCTTGCATTCCTGCTGGATATATTAGGAAGGACCCTTGACAGAATCCAGTAATTCAAAGGTAAACCATGAAGTGTGCGCTGTGTGTAGGAACATGTAAGCTGAGGGGAGATTGCACGGAGAAAGAGGGAGTTATATTTCACTTTTGGGGGAATGATGTATGTCTTAGATTTTCTTGGCCAATGGATCAGTAGAGAAAGGGAGAGATTTTCTCTTGCTGCTGACTTATTGGTCAGAAGTTACTTTTCCACATGATGATATATTTTCTTGGCCCCAAGTACTCAGAACTTTATTGTACTTCTGTCCCTGAAACAGGAGTGTTTTTAGTGAGAATCCTGGTGAAAAGCGAAGTTTTGACCACAGAAATGAATTAGTACATTCTTTGCTGCCTCTGTGTTCTTTTAGGTGAAATCTCATCTTAAGAATGCATTTGGTGTTTTGAAGTAGTGGTTCTAATTGTTTACTTTCCCAAAATCTGTAAGAAATGGCTTTCAGAGACACAAAAAACCCTGCAAAATGTGACTTTTGCCTTAGATTCCTTTCTAAAGATATATAGTTTACCACATTCCTTAGGGGGCAATCTTGAGGAGAGGGTGAAGCTCTAAGTTAAAACATGTCAACCACTTAATGAAATTTAGTACCATCTTTTGTAAATGATTTTTACATGTGTTTGTTAGGTTTAAATCAAGACTCTCTGAAGCAAGCAATATCTTTGGCAATATAAATTCCGTGCAAGTAATTGATGAATTTTGTGACTATAAACTTGTGCCTAGTAAATCTCTTGTCCACCTCTTTGAGCTCTTTTACATGCTGCATTAAAAATAGAAGGATAGGTTTTAATTAAACTAGGTATTGGATTTGCCCTCAGGGAGCTGAAGTGCAGTTATGTGGACATGTGAGTCCATGGTTTCCAATATACTTATCATATAAATTGCAATTTAAAAATAAATAAGTCTGCTGCTCTTTAGATCTTCAAGGTATTTTCTTTTATCACCCTGTACAACAGAATCTACTGAATATTTGTTTCAATGAATACTCAATTGAATAGACACATGATAATTTGTAATATGTTATAAATTTATATATAATATACATTTTATTGATATGCTGCCGTGTGTGTGTGTGTGTGTGTGTGTGTGTGTGTGTGTGTGTGTATCTTTCAGAGGGCTTTTTCAAATGTTAGATTGGGAGCAAGGCAATTTGTCAGCAGCAGAGTTAGTTAGCAAAACAGAATAAAGCATTCTTGGCATATAAATATTGGCTCTCAAAAAGAAGAGAGATGTTCAAGTATGCATCATTCAATGGTATTTCACTTGAGAAACAATGCTGGTGATTACTCAAGGATTCATTATGTCATGAGTGTAGATTGACACGTAGATTGAAGTTTCAGCACCAAAACCTGTGCATCTGATCTGAGAATGAGAAGCTGGGAATTGGGACAAAAATTTTGAGGAGAGAATGCAAAGTCTCCGGGGGAAATCAGTATTGGAAGTTTTAGCTTCTAATGGATTCCACTCTGGTACTAGGGCTCAACCGTATGGTAACTTGGTAGGAAAAATGATTTTGTTTGATGACACATTCTTCAATTGTTCTGAGCCTATAAAAGCGTATCTATCTTTTCCACTCCGTTTTGATTATTTAATGTTTTGTTTAAGGTACCAGTTAGGTTCTCCCAAGGAATAATTTTTTTGTGAGTTTTTCAAGGTATAAATATGCAGTTGATGGCAAAATGTCAAAGTAAAAAGCAAATACTTTATAAAATATGTTACTAGATTTTCAGAAATACAGCTTTGCAGAATGAGTACTGTGTTTAGAAAAGTGCAAGCTCAAAGGGCAAAGCAGAAGAGGACTCATACCAGTTTTTCCTCATTTTCATTTGAAATTGAAGTGTTATTATCTTCTTACCTTTAATTAGAGTATGTACAGCTGCATGACAGTAGAAAAGAGGGAAAATAAGCTGGGCCTTTGTTCCAGAATATTTCAGTTAACTTGGATGAGCAATTTAGTTTCTGTCATGGGAACTATTTTGCTTGAACTAAAGCAAGTATCTCTTCCACCCGTGAAAGGTGTCCAGAGCCCCACTGGGACTGCAAGTTGCTGCAATAATCATTTCTTTGAGGACCCGACCTTGCGTTGCCTGTTAAAACAGCTGGGAAGAGTTCTGTGATGCTGGAAGTCAGAAACGCCTGTGCTTGATTTATTTCCTAACATGATTGATCAAAGCAATTGTGATATCTTATATTATTTACAGAGCAGCCTTTTGTGAAGAGTCCGGAGTGGTTTTTGGACATTATCTAATTATCAGAATGGCACAGGGAAATAGAGAGCTCATAGTCTCTCCACTGTACGGTTGAGAGGACAGAGAGACAGGCAAAGCAATTTATCTGAGATGATTCAGAAAAATGTTCACATACAGCTAGAAAATGAGCCAAGGTGAGTTATATGGATGAGTCTGGGGGCTTCTGTCTCTAAAGCCCAGTTGGCTCTCAGGGTGCCCTCTAGAGTCCTCAGCCAAAGAGGAACATATTCTATATAAACTTTAAGGACTCCATCCCAACAATTTGTGGTTATAGGATTCCAGTGATCTGTCTGACGTCTGTGATGATCAACTGGAGTGAAAGCAATGAAAGACATGCCTGTGGGCTGCAAAAAACTGGGGTCACAGAATTATTAGTGAATGTCACTGGAGGTCTTCACAGCCAATACAGAAAGCAACAGGCCATATGATTTCCTCATGTTTAGACTTGAAAAATATTTGAACCCTATCCAGAGGCCTGTGAACTGTAGAGGAGAGAATCAGGATGCTTTCTCGTCCTTGATATACGAACTATGAAACTGTAAGGAAACATGCTTCCTTCAGTGTTTCAACTTTTATGTATTAAGGCAGGCCAAGTTTGCTCAAAGTTGATTAAAATTATTAGGAAATTAGGCAAAAGTGTTCTTATAACTCATGAAGTGTTATTCTCTTTACTTTATTAAAGTGTTTTTTTTGGGGAAGAAATTGTATCCTAGTTACAAGATAAGAATATGATTTCACGTACATACAGTTAGCAAATATATACCAAAGTAGTTGCATCTTAGCATCTTATTTAGATTCACATGCAGTTGGATGGCAAGCGGGACTTTCCAGAAGACCATTACAAATTGACACTGTTCTGGCTATGGTCAAATTATAAATGGACTGCTGACACGATAATCCAGAGGTAGAGTCTGAGCAGATGGATCCTAGAAGGAAGATCTGGAAAATGGAGTAACTATACCAGGGGATGAGAACAAATAATCCATAAGAAGGTCTTCACCCATGGCCTGGAACCCAATGGTGTGCTCATGTGCTGCCTCTGAATCTGAACAGGTGGGGAAGCATGCTCAGAGGAAGGCAACATAGAAACAGAGCCACAGGGGAGAGTGGACCAGGCTTGAGACTTTCAGAGGAGGAGGAAAGACCAAAGGACTGGGGAAGAGCAAGAAGACCTGGTGGAGAATGAAGGAGCCCAAAAAACCCCTACAGACACAGGTGCTGAGAGTCAGGGACAGAAACACAAAGTCTAGTGGTGAAGGCAGCTCTTTGCACCCAAGTAGAAAGGCTGATGTGAGATGAGAATTTCAGTGAGCAGAACATAAAACTCCCTAATTAGTCAGTTTTAAAGACTGCAAGGAAAGCAACAAGACATGCTTAGGAGAAATGGATAAGAGAGAAAGGACCCTCTTTTCCTGTGAACATGGGTAGCTGAGAAACATAGGGGTTAGGAAAAATGGGGTGACCCAGAAATAGAGGACAGAGATCCAAAGGATCGCCGGGCAGAGGGGTATGATACTGGCAGGGCTGGGAAGCAGAGAGGGCTCAGAGGAAATGCTGTGAGTGCCCACTGTGGATTGCATACTTGGGGATGCTGTGACCCAGAGAAGCTGGGGGCTTTTCTCACCTACACTTGGTGACTCTCCTAGCATAGCATAGCATAGCATAGCATAGCATAGCATAGCATAGCATAGCATAGCATAGAGCATAGCATAGCATAGCATAGCATAGCATAGCATAGCATAGCATAGCAAGCAATAATTGTTTGCTGAAAAAAAGCAAACTTCTGTGCTGGGTGTTGCTTACATATGATGGTCCATCCTCCTTTCTAGGGCAGTCCTCAGGACTACCGAGGAATGTGGGGAATGACTTGCCCAGCATCCCCAATTTTAAAATTGTGCCCACTGCCCAGCCCCAGCATCCCCTATCTATCATCTCTCAGCCTTGTCTTAATCAGAAGCACTCACCACCAGTTGACATACTATATGTGTTAATTGTTTGTTAAACATGAGAATGGAGGTTCCCTCCTGGTAGCAATTGTCTATCTTGTACACTGCTTTCTCCCCAGAGCCCAAAACAGGGCTGTAAACATAATAGGGACTCGGAAAACGTTTGTTGGATCAATGGCTTGCTCCTAATTCATCTTGTTTATAGCCCTTCTCTGGAACTTTTCCCATAGGGCTGGTATTACCTATATTCTGTGCTCTACCCCCTGCCCCAAACAGGGGCAGCAAATTATGTCGTACTAGTTTTTAAAAATGCTCAGTGAGTAGGATAGCTCCTTACATCTGTGGAGGTACCTAATAAATATTTACAAAGCTGAGATTATTTCAAAAAAACATAGGCATGATTTCCATCCTTAAAACTTAAAATGTTATAGTCAGACTCACTTAGAGCATAGCACATAGACAGAAAATTCCCTAATACTAGGAGAATATATTTAAACTAATTGTTCTCAAACAAGGGAGATTTTGCCACCTTCCCTCTCCCCTGGGGATACTTTGGAAACATCTGGAGACATTGTCACATCTGGTGGTGGGGGCAGGCAGTGCTACTGGCCTCTAGTGGCTGAAATCTAAGGATGCTGCTAAACCTCCTGCAGTGCGCAGGACCCCTCCCATCAGAGAAACATCTGGCTCCAAATCTCAATAATGCCAATGTTGAGAAACCCTGATTTAAAATAAAACCCTAATCACATTGTTTTATGACGATTTTTATTATTCATCTCTGTTTTCCATTGAATTCTGTGCTTCTGGGTGGCAGTGGTTTGTCTTACTCATGCCTGCGCCGCCTGAGTTCAGCACGACGCCTAGCATATATTAGGTTTTTAATAAATGAGGGCAAACTGATGAATGAATGAGTGTTAATGATGCCAGTAAAGGTGCTCCAGGCTCCTCTTTGAAACAACAGTATATTTAGAAACTGCATTTCTAATCAAACACTTGACGTGAAATAAATAATCAATAGGTTCAATGACAAGTTGCAGAAGCAGAGACACGGCAGCCACACATTCTTGTCTTTATTGAAGAAGTCTACGGAGCCTCGTGTCATGGAATATTAGCACTGAAGGGGACCCAAGAGGTCATTTAGTTCAACCCTTTTAAGTTACAGGTGAGACCACTAGAACCCAGGGAGATGAAAGGATTGGCCTAAGGTCTCACAGTTGGATGCCAGAACTGGAAGTAAAATTGTTTCTAACTCATCACCTTGGCATGCTTTCGTGGTGCTAAGCTGCCTCCATTATATCAGCCCCACAAAAATTGGCACAACAGATTGTTGTGATTACATGAGGTACCACCCCCAATGTAGCATTGAATGTAACACATACAAAGTATATCTTTATCGTATTGTAGAATTTGACCTCGAACTAATATGCTAGGCATTACCATCATTAATATAAAATTTAAGGCCGGGTATGGTGGCTCACACCTATAAACCCGGCACTCTGGGCGGCCAAGGTGGGTGGATCATTTGAGCCCAGGAGTTCAAGACCAGCCTGGCCAACATGGCGAAACCGTATCTCACCAAAAAAAATTCAAGAATTAGCCAGGCGTGATAGCCTGCACTTGCAGTCCCAGCTTCCTGGGAGGTTGAATTGGGAAGATCACTTGAGCCCAGGAGACTGAGGCTGCAGTGAACTGTGATCGCACCACTGACCTCCAACCTGAGCGACAGAGCAAGACCTTGTCTCAAAAGAAAAAAAAAAGACTTACAATAATGGAATGTTAGACCTGGATGAAGCCTTGGTAACTGTCTGGCAGACCGCTGTATCCCTGGACAAGGAGGAAAGAGATCAGGAGCTTTATCCAGAGTCATAGAAAGAGGTCACTGGATCTCTCTACTCTGTGCCCTTTTTCACAATGGGATGTTTTCCTAAAATTAGTTGCAAAGAGTATTACAGGAAAACAAGGTTATACCTTCAGATAAATTTAGAAAATGCAAGGGTAAACAAAAATAAGTAGGTATGTTTGCCAGAGGACATCCCAGAGTTTTACGTATATTGAGTACCACTCTAAGAAGGAGATGTAATGCATGGCTCCTCTAAAAGTTATTAATTAGGAAATAATTTATTAGATGCACCAGTGTTCCTCAGAATATAACTTGAAAAGAGGCTGTCCCACTTCTTCCAACCTATCTAATTGATAGAAATTAAGCAGCAGGCCTGCTTAGATTTCAGAGGGACTTTTAGGCAGACTTCGGATGGCTGATGTCTTTTTTTTCCCCCATATCTTTTGAGAAAGCTGTCCAGAGGAGTTTGATTCTTTATGTTCTGTTTCTCATGGTATGTTTCCCAATTGTAAGTCAAGGTTTCAGAGTTATTCCTGTGACAAGTCTTGCAGAAACAGGTATGGAAGCACAGTAAGGTGGAAAGACACTGGGCTAGAAGTCGGAGGGTGGTGCCTTGGCACATCAGCTAACATCTATTGGTTATCAGTGAAATTGGACATGACCTGAATGGCCTTAAGTGCAGAATTTCAGTGTAATCACATGACATTGTGGGGCTAGGCAGTTTAAAGAGCACACTAAGAAATTCTGTGTTTCCCATCGTGTCTATGCAACGGAACCTTAGAGCAGCTTGGTGTAGAGAGGGCAAGTCCCCTTCTGACCTGCTGCCTGTGATCCCACACTGCTGAGAATATAGATCTTATTCAGTAATACCAAGGGACAAGGTCAGTCCTTCAGTTACTCTGTATAATTGTCACAAGGTCAGTAATTAAGTGGACTTGAATTTATAATAAAATCATTCCCGAGTGGAAACGCCAATCAACAAAAGTTTACCCGTTACACATTGAGTCTTAAAGAGGGAACTGAACTACACCAAAAATTGCATATTTCACAAATATGTTTAAAACAAGAGGCTTTGGTGAATTTTAAGGAAAGTATATTAACATGTAATTAAAAACAATGAAAAAGGAGAATCAAAGAGTTTCTAAGAATAATTTAGATTGTCACTGAGCAAAATGGTAGATAAGAACCTGCACCTTAACCCACAAATAAAGCAGTCCAAAGAGAAAGAGGGAACCTTGTTTGAAAAAGCTGTTTGGAGGAGTTTAAGATAGTGCTTTGTTTTTCTCACAGTAAGTTTCCTCCTAATTGCAATCCAAGGCCTTTAAAATCATTCCTTTGACAGTCCTATCACACATTTGGAATGTGCACAAATAAGCAGAACTCTGCTTTTCAGGTGAGCTTTGAGATTACCCATCTCTTGCTTCTCTTCATTGAACTTGAAGATTTTCAAGTTTCCCAGGAGCAAAACCTTACTTAGGAAATCACATAAAGAACACCCCTATCTGCCTCATAATTGGAAACAAATCCCAGCCCTTCAGAGTGAAACCAGGTGTTCAGAGTTAAATCTCATAACATCTGGAAGGAGCTCAGTGCAGCTGAAATTTCCACCAAGTGAAATGACCCTCTCAAATGATGAGGTACAAAGCAACAACCTATTTCTGTGGAAAATTACATGATAGAGAAAAGCTTGGGAGAGTTGGCACCCAAATACAGACTAAATGGTTTATGCAGTGGGTGAACAGAGGAAAATTTATGAGCAGCCAAGGACGAAAGTATGTGGATGGATTGATTAGGAGGGACTTTTTCTAATTTTTGTGGTTCAGCCTTGAATTTGATAGATGAGATCCTCAAAGCATTCTGGGGTCTATCTAACCCTCTCAGAGTTTGTACGTCATAGCTGACTGCTTGTTGAATTGGTACACTCTTTACCTATTCAGTTTGCTTCCGGGAAATAAAAGAACCAGAATGAATTATCTGCTCCTCTGCTTGTTTTACCGTAGCCGACTTATCATCATCTTTGCATGAAAATGCCTTAGCAGTTCTTGTGTGTTTACCTAATATGTCACTGGCTACAAAGGGGCTGGCAGTGGATGATAGAAAAAAGAGGTGCAGCTTGAAGGACAAAGGCTTTTCATCAAGAGTAACAAGTGGCGATGATGATAAATATATAAAATGGCAAGAATTTGTCATCAGAAAAGGAGATTATTTTGTTATAAAGAGATCTAGCTAGCCTTATGGGGCGGGGTGGGGGCTAGGCAGAGAGGCTGACCCTAAAGAATCATTACGGACAATTTGTTTTTTGTTCTCATCCATATCAGAAGAAAAGCATTTGCTGAACAGTTAGTAGTTATACTAGAAAGAAATCAAAGTATGCAATTCTTGGCAAACAAAACATAAAGAGAAGCTTTTTTAAATTTTATTGAAGGCTATTTTTCTTTACTGTATTTAGTTTTAACTTTGTGTTCATTGGTTGCTCTATTCTTTTAACTACCGAGTTAAGAAATCTTAAAACAATAGGGAAGCCATCCTTTCTTTGTCTCTGAGTGAGATGAATGTCTAATGTTTAATGATATTAGGAAGCTTTTTAGTAACAAAATTTGCAAATGAAACCTTCATAAATATTTTTCACTGTTTTGGATCCCACAAACATTCTCAGGGCCACAGATATGTTAAACTTGCGTTAACACCATTTCACGCAGACCTGGTAATTAAAGGCTGTTTATTTCTATTTTACGGCATTAAACCTAAGCCTCTAAGAAATTCTAAGACAGATTAAATAATGTCAAAGCAACTGCCTGAAAGATGCTCAATGGAACACTAGTCTTATTGATTATAGAGTGAAATGAATCTCACTCAGAGGCAGAAGAAAAGTTATGTCGATGAACAAAGCTTTTTAATAAGGTGTCACGATTGAAGAGAGAGGTTGAAATCAGGTCAATAAGAAATGCATAATTCAAATGAATTCATCGTGGATCAACATCTTGCCGGAAATCCCTCTTGTAGATGAGATTTAATAAAAATTATGTTAATAATGCAACTTCTTAAATTGATATATGGGTATCATGTCAGGGACTGCTGTTTTTTGTTTGTTTTTTTTTTTCCTGTAAGTCTCTGAGGACTAGATGAGCAGGATGGTATATGATATAAGACAAATTCTGAAATCCTAAAATACTTTCTACCCCTTCTCTCCCCTTCCATTCTTTCTCAGGCATACAATAGATTTGTCTCGGTTGTGGTCTTAGCACATCTGAGAGCCAGCGTCCATGTCTGTGAGTGGTGTAATTGGCCATTGACCACCTCAGTTACCACTGTGGCAGCTCTTCCTTTGCTAGCCTTACCTCCAGGATATGGGAATCAATCTTAAAAAAAAAAAAAAAGTAGTATAGTTATATAGTAAAATACTGTACAGTGATGCCAAGAATGAACTACTGTCATACAGTATGGTGACAGAAGTCAGAATAATGAAAACTTCCGGGGAGAACTGGGTATTCACTGGGAAGGCATAAGAGGGAAACTTCTGGGTGCTGGATATGTTCTATATCTTGGCAAAAGTGTTAGTTACAAGGGTCTATACATATGTAAAAACTCACTGAGCTATACACTTATGATTTATGTACTTCATTGTATATACTAGATTTTAATTCAAAAGTTTTAAAAAATCAATTCAAATTTGTAGATGCAAGATATATTCTTAACAAAACTAAAAATAGGCTGGGTGCGGTGGCTCACGCCTGTAATCCCAGCACTTTGGGAGGCCAAAGCGGGCAGATCACGAGGTCAGGAGTTCGAGACCAGCCTGGCCAATATGGTGAAACCCTGTCTCTACTAAAAATACAAAAATTAGCTGGGCATGGTGGCGTGCACCTGTAGTCCCAGCTACTCGGGGAGCTGAGGCAGGAAAATTGCTTGAACCCAGGAGGTGGAGGTTGCAGTGAGCCAAGATCATGCCACTGCACTCCAGCCTGGGTGACAGTGAGACTCCATCTCAAAAAATTAAAAAAAAAAAAACTAAATAAAAATAAAATATCTATATGATATAGCAATCCCACCCCCACTTCTTTTGGTTATTTACCCAAAAGATCTTAAATCACTTTGTTGAAGAGATGCCTGCACTCCCATGTTCACTGCAGCACTATTCACAATAGCCAAGTTATGGAATCAACCTATGTGTCCATCAACGGATGAATGGATAAAGAAAATGTGATATATATATATATATATATATATATATATATACACACAATGGAGTACTATTCAGCCTTTAAAAAAGAAGAAAACCATGTCATTTTTGACAACATGGATGGAATGGGAGAACACTATGCTAAGTGAAATAAGCCAGGTACAGCAAGACAAATACCACATGTTGTCACTTACGTGTGGAATCTAAAACAATTGAATTCATGGAAGCAGAGTAGAATGGTGATTACAGGGGCTGAGGGGTGGGAGGAACAGGGAGATGTTAGTCAAAGGGTACAAATCTCAGACACGAGGAATAAGTTATTTTGTGAGATCTACTGCACAGTGTGGTGGATATAGCTAATAATAGTGTACTGTACATTTCAAAATTGCTGAGAGTGGCTGGGCGCGGTGGATCACGCCTGTAATCCCAGCACTTTGGGAGGCTGAGGTGGGCGGATCACCTCAGGTCAGGAGCTTGAGACCAGCCTGGCCAACATGGGGAAACCCTGTCTCTACTACAAATACGAAAAATTAGCCAGGCGTGATGGTGCATACCTGCGATCACAGCTACTTGGGAGGCTGTGGCAGGAGAATCACTTGAACCTGGGAGGTGGAAATTGCAGTGAGCTGAGATCTCACCACTGCACTCCAGCCTGGGTGACAGAAAGAGATCCATCTCAAAAAAAAAAACAAAACCAAACAACAACAACAACAACAAAATTTGCTGAGAGTAAATTTCAAATATTCAAATATTTAAGGTAATGGATATGTTAATTAGCTTGATTTAATTATTCCACATTGTATTCATAAATATAACACGTTATATCCCATAAATATATACAATTATAAATGGTCAATTTATGATTAAAAATGAAAAAGATACATTGTAGTGAATGTATAGAAGAGTTTACTTTTCAAACAAGAAAGGATCCCTGAATTGTAAATACTATTATTTTGTGTAATTAACAATGGTAGCAGAGACCCTTGCTAAATACTTAACATGTGCTGGGTACTATCCCGTATGTTTCCTCATTTATTTCTCAGGAAGCCTTGCAAGACAAACAATCGCATTTCCATCTTCTAAATTTCCACCAAGAATACTTTGTCTTTTGATGTTATGTAGCTAATAAGGTTGACTGTGCTGAGATTTAACCCTAGCTTCATCTGACTCCAGTTCCATTAGGGGATCTAACGAAATTGTGCCTGCAGTAGAAGGCAAATTGAAAATAGAGTCTGATGAATCACTAACTTTGCTTGTTGTAGTTTCTAATCTCTCCAGAATAGTTCTAATGCAGTTAACATGAATACCAGGCTGCAATGTTGAACTTCAGATTTGTGATGGAGGAATAAAGTCATGAAGGGAATCAAAAGTAGGTTCCCAAAACTTGCCACCATTGTGGTTTTATTTTCAGTCTGAGGAGAGAACTTGTCAATGGCATAAAAGAGAGAGTATGAATTTCAAAAAGAAAAGAAAAATTCTATGAAATATAAGTTAAATAATTTGTAAGTATTGCAGATATGAAGTTTTTCTGTTTACTTGGTCATGATCCCTTTTAACCAGCTCCAGTTTATACCAAATATTTGTTCGTGAGATGATCACTTTTCCTGTCAGCTCTTTGCCTTTAACAAAATATAAGATTTTTGCTCAGTGTGTAATAATCTGCATTACTTGTGCTCTCCAGAATGCCTGATGTACTTAGATGGTGCAACAAAACATTTTAACTTCACTGTGAGTCATTTTCTCCATCACCCTTGAATGGCAAAATAGTGGAATGAGACTGAGTTCTTAGTCACATTTGGGACCTTCTTATTGCAGAGAAGGCTAGAAATTGATGCCCCCAAAGACACAGTACTTTGTTTATGGCTATATTGCTCAAGAGTAATGACACAAAATCTGACATTACCTTATGATGTTTGTCACTTTTTTTCTGTACTGTGATGAGTCACTCCATCGATATGGCCAATTTTTAGGGTCCAGTAGCTAAGTCTTCTTTATCTTTCCGAAATCCTCTCCTAATTTTCTTTCTGCTCACAGAATTCTGATGTCAATGTAGTGGCTCAAGAGGTACTTTAAAATGTAATCAAGACAGTGTTGATGTAAATCATCTATTAAATTCATTCCCCCTTATGTCTCAACGACTTCACTGTTGTTCAGTAATCTCTGAGGTTTTCAGATCAACATGGCAGGTACTTCATAGAGTCAGTCCTTTGACATAGAAGGCCTTTAAAAGATGTACAATCCAAACCCCTTATCTTAGAGCTAAGGCCCTTTTAAACATAGGATCATAAACTTCTTACAGAACACTTATTAAGAGAAACATTTAGAATTCTTTTCGTAAGGAAAATACTCAAGAGAATAATATGCTTACTAAAGAGTCATTGCTTCCCACCCACCCCCATCTCCTTATTCATGTGATTGAAGATTGAAATGGGGAAGGGGAGAGGAGAATAACACAAATCAGACTCCTGACATTTAAGATGCTTTTGTTGTCAAGAAAGAAATAGCTTCTCCAGGGGCAATGTCCCAGGCAGAAGTTAATGCTACCTACAGACATCTGTGAAAAATGAGGCCACAGCATGATGCACTGCACTTTCAGAACTCATCGGCTTTCAGTGATGACTGTAAGCAAATTAGAAAAGGAGGCTTTCTGGTGATTATCTAGATTTGCTCACCCTCGCTGGGACATTAGTCTCTCAATACTGCTCCTTGTAGAATCACAGCATTTGAGAGGCAGGAGAGCCTTTAGAAGTCATTTGGTATCTGGTCCTCATTTTAGAAATGAGAAAACTGAGCTACAGAGAGGTGAAGTAACTGACTAGCTGGTGCAGAGCTCACTGGGAAGCCACGTGCTTTGACTTCTGCACCACGACTCTGTCCTCCCTGATGTCACTTTGCCATGTACTGAAAATATCTGGAGCTACCTAGGTGAGCTCCTCAGGGTTGAGGAGCTTCTGGATAGAGCAGGAACACAGTGGCCTCACCCACTGTCAAGATGCAAGACTAACATTTCTGGCTACAAGGAGTATTAACTTTAGGCTTGGTGAGTCCTGACCACTGCCTCTTATCCCAGTGTTCCAGCTGCATGAATGTCTCAAGTAAGGTCTTAGTAGACTTTGGGCCAGCTTTGTCAAATAAAACATTGTGCTGTGATGGAATCCTGTGCTAATAGCTACCTGTAGCTGTTGAGTGCTTGAAATCAATAGAGCTGTGCAACTGATGAACTAAAGTTTTAATTTTATTTATTTATTTATTTTTTGAGAAAGAGTCTCGTTCTGTCGCCCAGGCTGCAGTGCAGTGGTGCAATCTTGGCTCACTGCAACCTCTGCCCCCACTCCCCGAGGTTCAAGCAATTCTCCTGCCTCAGCCTCCTGAGTAGCTAGGACTACAGGCGAGCACCACCATGCCTGGCTAATTTTTGTATTTTGGGTAGAAACGGGGTTTCACCATGTTGGCCAGGTTGGTCTCGAATTCCTGACCTCAAGCAATCTGCCTGCCTCGACCTCCCAAAGTGCTGGGATTACTGGCGTGAGCCACCGCACCCAGTCAATTTTATTTAATCTTAATTTAAATCTAGGCTGGGTGCGGTGGCTCACGCCTGTAATCCCAGCACTTTGGGAGGCTGAGGTGGGCAGATCACCTGAGTTCAGGAGTTCGAGACCAGCCTGGCCAACATGGTGAAACCCCGTCTCTACAAAAACAATACAAAAATTAGCCCGGCGTGGCGGTGCTTGCCTGTAGTCCGGACTACTTGGGAGGCTGAGGCAGGAGAATCACTTGAACTCAGGAGGAAGAGGTTGCCATGAGCCGAGATCATGCCACTGCACCCCAGCCTGGGCGACAGAGTGAGACTTCGTCTCAAAAAAGAAAAAAGGAGCCACATGTGACTAATGGCTACCATCTTTGACAGACCTTCCTTCCTTCCTTCCTTCCTATGTCTGTGAATTTTCAACTCAGGTCTAAGTGTCTGCATTATTTTCTTTCTGCTTCCCATATCCTAGAGATAAGACCATCCTATTTAATCTAAACTAAGTTTAGGTACAGTAAAAATATTTTAAATTATTTTTGATTCCACTTCAGTGTACACTTACTTCATTTTTGAAAGTAACAAACTTAGTGAGCCAAGATCGCGCCACTGCACTCCACCCTGGGTGACAAGAGCAAAACTCCGTCTCAAGGAAAAATAAAAATAAAAAAAGAAAGAAAGTTACAAACTTAGGAGTTCATGGATAAGAAGGGAACAAGTTGCATCAATGGATTTGAAGGGCAGGGACTGCAAATCCAGTTTAGAAATGTTGGAACTTCTTCTTTGTGTCTTCTACCTCTATCCTTCTGTGCTTTGATTTCTCCGCTTCTTAAGAATAAAGTACTACTAGTAGAATTGCCAGATTCAACAAATAAAAATACAGGATGACTTGCATGTTTGTATGAAATTCAAATTTAACTGGGTGTTCTATATTTTATCTGGCAACCTTATTAATCCATTCTACCCCTTTTTAATTCTTTCTGTTACTTCAGGGAGAAAGAAAAAACAGAAAAAAAAATTCTTAGACATATTTTCATCATCTTTTGTCTTTTATTTCTATTTTCCTAATAGAATTTTCGTGACCACAGAGGTAATTTTTTAAAAGATGATACATTATTAATCTAAATTAAGATAGGCTTGGCTTATCTTGCCCTCTGGGTTGGAAAACAATTAAGTTGGTATTGAACTGAAGTGTAAAGAACTGTAAATTTCTAAAGAGTCATTATATTCCACTAATGTCCTTTCTAAATGGGTTATTTGTACAGAAGCCCCATTTTTAAATAACCAAATCATTGATCTGTTTTTAAAGCAAGAGCAGTTTTGTTGTTGCTGCTGCTTTTGGAACAAATATACCTGGATTTTCAGGAAAATGACTGAAGACATTGTCTTTTGACCAATGTCTGTCTCCAAAAAAATTGGGAATTTGTACATATTTTTTTCTCAAGTAATCCATTTGTCAAGATAGCATTTCACCTGTGAAGGAATACAAGGTAATAAAATATTTCTCTTCAGATCTACTCAGATGCATTTTTAAAAATAAGAGCTTTTAGAGAAAATCTTAGACGCTTGACTACTTATGAAAGATAGAAACCTGTAGGCATTCTGTAAAACTTGAAGTTTTACAAATCACCATATATGTGTGATAATAAGTTATATAAGTTATCACCATATATGGTGATAATGTTATCATCATATAAACCATATGGTGATATAAGTTATCACCATATATGTGTGATAATAAGTTATATAAGTTATGTGTGATATAAGTTATATAAATCACCATATATGTGTGATAATAGGAATAGGCAATAGTGTTGACATCAATATGGAAATGTCATGACTTATTTTGCTATCACTGAGTGACAGCTGTCACAATTAAAAGAAACAACATTTTAAAGGGGAAATAATCACAGTGGAATCCTAGAATTTCAGGGTTAGAAGGGACCATATATCTCTGTGCTGAAGCTGAGAGATGGTGAAATGAAGGAATTGAAGTTAGTATTTATAAGATGATGAAACAGAATGGTGGCTCCTTTTCAAGGCCAAATGAAATTTGTTTTGGCCTTCACCCTGTAATCTTTTTTTCCCCTCTCATGAAGTTTTCAGTTCTTATTCAGGTAGTCTTTTAATTGCATTTCCAGACAAAATTTTAAAATATAGTTCCTAATACATTTTTTAAAAGGTCTTAGCTGCTATTTCCTGGCCTTTTTGATACGTGAAGAATTATGCTGCAGACAAACACTGGGTGTTAGTGATGATAATTCTCTCCCTGTCTTTCTCATTTGTCTATATATCCATTTGTTCTTTCCTCCTTTTCTCCCTTCCTTCACCCGCCTCCCTCCCTTCTCTTTTTTTCTTCCTTCCTTCTTACTTCCTCTGGCATGGCAGTGAAAAAAGTCATTTGTTTTATCGATAAAGTATAACATAGAACAGCCTAGAAGAGTTGCAATGCATTTGTTGTTTTTAATCCCCATATTTGGATTTGTGTTCTGACTGAACATGCTGATCTGCAACAGATATGGAGTATAGAGTACCTGTTTATAAAGATTCAGGGGACGGGGTAGGTAATGTTGCTCACGGGACTTGCATTTGGGTCACAAATGCTGACCGACATAAAGATGACTGAGACTTTCAGGCAGGCCACGTGCTCCCAGCGTGTACTTGGTTGGCATTTCCAGGACTCAGAAAAGCCTGAATCCAGCTTGCCACATCTGAAGCATGAAATTTCCGACTTATCTGGCTGTGTTGACAAATTTAACTATCAGACATCTGTTGGTGTAGGTGTTGGGCACTGACCAATAACAATTATAGCCTCCAACTGCTTGTATGAGGCATAATGTAGAATTGGTTAAGCTCTGTTCACAAACACACCAGCAGATTACAGTCCCAGGAGGCTTCTCTGGGGCACTGGGGAATTGTGAACTGTAAGGCAGCTAGGCCTCTAACAAAACCCTTCCAACAGGGCTGCCTTAGCTTGGAGAATGAAAAGAAATCTTGTTGAAGATATGAAAGCCATTAAGTTGGTACCTTACATGTTTTTTGTTTTTTACCTGCAAAGATGGTGATATGAACTATTTTAAGGAGCAAAGTTTTCACAAAATTAATGGGCAATTTACTTCCAGTTACTCATCTAATAAAGGATGAATTTGATAATTTTTACATTATATGGATGTTATTAATAGGAGTTTCATTCACAATACCTGGAAAATATAAAATTTTCATCTATTCTCTCTTATTTTGACATAATTTCTCTTGAGAGTTATTTGGGGCTCTAGAGCCCTTTCTTTGACTTGCTTTGCCTGTTATTTGGCTACATATTTTACTAAATATCTACACTAAACTTAATATTGGTTTAAACCTGGAGCAGTGATGACTGTGCTTTGGAAGAATACAATTTTTTTAACTTTTATTTGCGTTTATTATTGTATGCTAAATATATTCCCATGCTGTAAATTTTTGTTTCTTGAGTTTCTTCTAGGGTGTTTTCTTTTTTTCTGTGGAATCAGTAAAGGTCATCTGGATGTGGCAGGAAGAGCTCATGTATGGTTCATCTGACTGTGAGCTCCATAAATCCAGTGGCACGTCTTGGGTTCTTTGTTCACCTGAATGTGCTCAATGACCAGAGAATCTACATCTAAACCCTCAAGTTCGATGCTATTCTCTGCATTTTTAAGCATGTGCAGCAAAAATTCAGCACCTTTTTTAGGCCAGCTTGGTAGCTTTCCATATATGCATCCCCTTGATGGCCCGGGCAATTTCACAGATGTTCTTAATGTGAACACAAATATTTGAACCTCTTGATTTGCACGGCTTTGTGGTATTTTCTGGGTCAAGTGAATAGTTAACCATTTTTTACAGATCAGGCTGCTTAGGGGAAGAGCAAGAATGAAACGTGAGAGATTTGACTGAGGTGTAGAATTTGAGAGCTCCTTGAAGTTGTTTTCAGTTCTACTTCACTATCAGTGTTTTGATACATTTCCTGACTTTCTTTTTCTTTGTAGGTTTGGAGATTTAAAAAAAAATTTTAATCATCATCAAACCATAAATACAATTTTGTTTTCTGCATTTTAAGTTAACATTTGATTGTAAGCATTTTATGTCACTGTATTCTCTTTAAAAGCACATTTTTAATGATTGTTATCCCACTAATGAATATTCCACGTTTTGTTTAATCATTAACTTATAGGTGAATATTTAGGTTTCTTCCAAATCTTTGCTCTTATATAAAATACTTGAATGAGGTATATCTGTGTGTATAATTAAATGTTTTGGAGTTTGAGAGATAAATTCCTGAAATAGTACTGGATCAAAAACTTATAAACATTTTTAGGATTTAAATACATCTATATATACATACATGCATACATAGGCACATACTCATAATATCTACATGTTTGTGTGTCTGTGTCAAGTTATTTTGCAAAGGGTTTCCATACTTTCACTCCTAAAATTGATTTGTAAGCAATTTTAATGCCTCCTTGCCAACATTGCATTTTTTCTATCTTTGCTAATTTAAAGAGAAAACTGATTAGCTCATTGCAATGCACATTCCTTTTATTACCAATATAAACATAATCCTTATATTTGGTGATTTATTTTCATTCTACTTAAAGCATCCTCAGTGGGACTTGTGATGATGTTCATAAACTGATCAAGAATTATTTCCCAGGTACTGAGGAGGCCGGCCCAATGCTGGCTCTCAAGAGTTCACATATGCATCAAAGAGCTCAAGTGAGACAGCCCTAGTAAGCATTCCTCTGAACCCCTTGGTTTTGAGGGATGGATTGTCTCTTGGTCCTTCACCCTGACGCAACCAAACGCATCATCCTAAAGAAGGGGTAAGATCTGAGTGAGTATACCATGACCCCCAGACTTGCATAACAGGCCTCTAAACCTGGAATATCAAGAGTGAAGGATGAGCAATGTTTACAGAAACTTTTTTTTAAAAAAAAAAATACATGTTTATAAACACATTCACATCCCTCAGAACTAGCCTTCTATGGAATGCATTCTAAGAAATGTACTCTGTGTAACAACAATCAACTAAAGCATTTGTGGTGTTAAAGCAATGTGAGTAAAGGAAAAAAAATCAACTGCAGCTATCAAGTCATGAGCATGCTAAATTGATTTGAAATTATAAAGCAAGAGTAGATTTCAGTTCTTTAAACTAGACCATTTTGGAAAATGGATAGCGAGGTCAGGTTTTTATTGTAGCGAGGATGTGAAAAACACTTTGTCTCAGAATGATGGATGTTTTTGTTGCTTTCTTTGAATGTCTTAAGTACTTAAGTGCTTTGGTTATGTCTTGGCAGGCAGACTTAAGTGGCCATAGGCAAATAGGAGAGACATCAGGGGCCTCAGCCTCTCGCCTCCCTCTTCTTTTCTGTCTCTGATTGGCTCCATGGTCATTCTGCAGTGTCTCTCTAATGTGGACTGGATAATGTGAATTTTTCCAGAAAAGCCGCAAGCCCTATCTAAATGGCTGGCAGCATGGTTGCTATTCACAATAATAACACAATGTAATAAGATGTAAACCACACGAGGGCAAGGGATTTTGTTTATTTTATTCTCTGCTACATCCCCAGGAACTAGAGCAACACCAAGATCAATAAAAAGTTGTTAAAGATGTTTAACAGAACTGTTTACTTCTTAGCAGTAGGAGATGAGAGCCCCTAGAGCCATCATTTGTTGATGATTCTCCTATCACTGGGGGTCCTTTCTCCTTATAAGTTAGGTAACCTTGGGGAGCACACCTTTGATTTGACCACTTTGCAAACTATCCTACTTTTAATTAATGTACTGAGTGGGCCCCAATTCTGGGACTGAACTTTCTCAAAATTAAAACCTGAGGGAAGTTACATTGTACATTTACCTCTGCCATGGTTTAGTAACAAAGAAGATGGAGTGAGCTTGAGATTTTTTTTCTGATTTTTAAAATCTGATTTAATTTTGTGTGCCAAAATTAATTAAAAACATAGTTCTCGAAATACTGGCAATCCCTATGGAGAGACTTTGATATAACCAATGTTGTATAAAGTAAAAGGCCATTTAGAAGGATTCCATGCCAACTAAGAAATTCAATGCTTGCTCCTTCCCATGAGTTCCAGGGAAGAGAGGAAGCAAGTGTATGTAAGTGTGGGAGGGTGTGACAGGAATCATTATTAGCTTTCAGATACTGCATGGTTCTAGGTTCTGGGTGAGGAGTTTCACATACTAAAGTTATTATTTTTGTGCTTCCTGGAATTAGAGAAGTGCTAAAGTTCATTTGGAAGATGAGCATCAAAATTATGGGGCCATATAGTCATGTCAGATGGTCCTAAAACGCCAGTTTCTCCTTTTTTGTTACTGTCAGACCAGTTTCAGAAAGCTTTTTGGTTTACAAAAAAATTATCAAGGGGGGGAAATTATTTCTAAGCAAGGGGTAAAATGAAATCCATCCAAAAAAAATTAATGTTGCCTAGTTGTAACAACTACTTTGCAAGGAAATCTGCAGTTACGTTTTAGGCTATAATTGTTTCATATGGGATGACTGTGATTTGTTTTCATCATTCATGGCATGAATGTTCTGTGTTTTTCAGTCTTCTCTGTGACGGCTAGTTTAGACATATCTGTGGACCATCTTTAAAGTTGTATCAGTCCCTTTTTTTTTAAATTCATGTTTCCTGTTCCATATCCAGGGCAGTAAAATGAGCACCAAATTAGTAGTCTTACTGGGAGCAAGGCTCAGCCTCTCAGAGGATCCCTTTTCCTCAAACTCCCTTCACCTGGCTAACTGGTTTGCAGCCTCCACATCTCAGTGCACACAGCACTGAGGATTGTTCATGTCTTCACTTTAGTGCTGATTGCGCTGTGTGCTTGTTGTGTCACCATTCAAGCAGTGAGCTCTGTGAAGAAAGACAGGTTCATGTCCACCTTGTTCCCTGGGGTATACTTAGTACTTAGGGCAGTTCCAGGCACACAGCAGTTCGATGTAGATGTAGATGTAGATGGATGTAGATATATGTAGCTATAGATATTAGTGTAGCTATAGATACAGATGTGGGTGTGGATATAGAGATAGAGATGTAGATATAGTTGTAGATACTTGATATACAATTGACCCTTGAACAATGTGGAAGTTAGAGGCACTGACCCTCATGCAGTAGAAAATTTGTTATACCTTTTGACACCCTCAAAACTTAAATACTAATTGCTTACTGTTGACTGAAAGCCTTACCAGTAACATAAACAGTCAATTAACACGTTTTGCATGTTATATGTATTATATATTGTATTCTTACAAAAAAGTAAGCTAGAAAAAAGAAAATGTTATTAAAATCATAAGGAAGGAAAAATATATTTACTATTCATTAAGTGGAAGTAGATTATCATAAAGGTCTTCATCCTCAACATCTTCACATTGAGTGGCTGAGGAGGAGGAAGAAGAGAAGGGGTTGGTCTGGCTGTCTCAGGGGTGCCAGAGGCAGAAGAAAATTCATATATAAGTGGACCCTCACAGTTCAAACCCATGTTGTTCAAGGGTCAACTTTATTCCAAATATTTATGCTATAACATTACACTTTAATAGAAAGAGGTGATGTTAGGCATCAAATGAAGAGGGCATTTGCTCTTCATTTGTGCCTGACCATGTGGTTCTCCTGGGTATTCCTTAGATATAGCAATCTTGTCCCACATCAGTTTCTCAGGTTTTCACTTAAAAGGTATTTGGCCAAATAGCCTTAAAACAAACTCAATGCAAATATTTGCACTTGTTTCTGATTCCCCAGACAGGGGAAAGTGACGCAGGCATACTACTTATATCCCATTGGTTAATAAACCCATTTTCTTAAGAGGGCTACATAGCCTTCCCCTTCCCCCCATATTGAGGTTAGATGAAGTCCATATAAAATAATTAGTAACATTAACCTTCAATGAGATTTTTAGAAAGTAAGTCGAACCATCTGCTTCTTCATAATTGTCATATTTAATTTACTGGGATGGCTTTTTGATTAGAAAATGGGCAACCACTGTCTTCTTTTGGGCAGTCTGCCTAAAGCAGAGAGAAAACACCAACTGGCAGAGTGCTAAGCCTACAATTACGGGAGGAGTATTCATTTCAATGGCTCCCCCTCTTGGATGTCATCACATGTTTGAATGTAGCAAGCGCCATGTCATATGTGATTCAAGGTCACTTGGTTTATAGGAAAATCACATTAACAATCATCATTTCACAACTATAAAGTGTGATTTTGAAAATATTACTTTCTTGTACTTTTTACCCCTACTCTTGAGATTTTTTACTGCCCTTTTCGACCTAGGATGGATGCCAAGCTGCCACTTTAATTTATATGACATTTATGCTCATTCAATTTGATGTCTAGCTTGGCTTTCAAACAGGTTCAGGCCAAATATCAAGTTCACAAAAGAGTTTCATTTCATTTAATTAGAGTTTGTTTTATTACTGTTTCTGTTTGATAGTTTAAGGTCATGAAAGAATTTGTGATGACACTGATTTGAAGACAACACTTGGAGCTGATGTTGTGACCAACAGTTAAACAAACTACACAAAATCCTGAAACTCAAAATCTCAAAACTCCATTTTTAGCAAGTCTCATAAAAAGGGTTCTCGTGTTTCGTTGGAGAATGTAATAAGAACATAGTAACTAAATTGCATGCCCCTTAACTTAAGCCAGATCTTAGCTGAAGAAAATCTGTGATTAGAAGCAAGTCCAATGTCCAAGTCACATATTCATTTAACCTTTTTAAGAGAAAATGGCCAACTTAAATGTATTTGAAATTAATTCATCAGTTATGTTATTATTGAGGGAAAAAGTGTTCTAGGAAGAGGGGACAGAAGCTCAAAGACCCTGAATTATTCCTACCTCAGGGTGAATAATTCATCAGTTATGTTATTATGTCCTTCAATCTTGATGAGACTTAAGAAGTGAGTTAAGTATACTCTCTCCCTCTCTCTCTTCCTTTCTCTCCCCTTCCCTCCTTTCTCCTTCCTTCTTTCCCTCCATCTCCTCCTTTTCCCCCCTCCTTCCTTCCCTGTCTCCTCCCCTCTCTCATAGTTGGAGAATATCATTCTCCATGCAGATGCTGGTTTATTTTGGCAGCTCTTGGAAGGTTGAGTGAGGACAGTCTGAGGACAGTTGCTTCTAATAGTTTTTGGCTTGTGTTGCTCCCCATTTCTGGTCTTCGTCATGTTCCAGATTTTCCTTGTTATTCTTATCTCCCAACACTCTCCCTGTCTTTGGGAGGACCAAATGTGCCAGAGATAAATGTGGAAATAAGAAAAGAGGAATAAATATCTAACATAAGTTGAATCTGTTAAATTGGGATGATGATTAAAGATATCGGTTTTATAAAGAGAGTCAGTTGGCCTTAGATATGTTATCCTATGAATATTTCAGAGACATAATAATAATTTACATGATACCATAATAAATCTGAGGGCTAATGGCTCCAATATTCACAGATTCATCCAGTGCACAAATAGTCCATTTACAAAGTTGTATTTGTTTATGTATTTACAAAGTAGTGTACTAGATACTGTAGGAGCTATTGTTCTCAAGTGGCTCAAAAGCATGTCCAGAGTTGACTACAGAGTTAAAGTTTGTACCAGAAGGTCAAGTCATGCTTTGAGAAGACACAGCCTTGGAGGATGAGTTTTTTGGGGGATAGTGGGGTGGAGGCCCTGACCACTCTGAAAGTAGCCAGCTGTGTGCTTGGAGTTAAATCCCATGGTTTCCTGGCCTGTGCTAGGGAAGTGAGAGTTCAGACTTCCAAGGTGGCCTACAAGGAGAATAAGAGGTTGAGGAGAAGGAGGAAGAGACTGGCTGGACTAAGTACAGCTAGCAGCTTTGGCAAGAATGGCCTCAATGCCACCTCTGCAGTCTTTTGTAACCCTGGCTTTCTCTATCAAAACTAGTTATAACCTTCTGCGCCACCCCCCCCACAAAAGCAGACAGAGTGATCAGGGAAGAAGTCTCTGTGCAAGTGACATTTCAGACTAGACCTGACTAATAAGATTTGAGGGAAGAAACGTTCCACAAGAGGTCCAAAGCCCCTGAGGTGGGAATACGCTCCATGAGTTTCAGAACAAAATACCCTGCTTATAAGACCAAGAGGACTTCCCTACCTCAGTAAGTTGCACCATCTCAGTTACTCAAGTCAAACCCCAAGGATTCCTTCTTGTCTCCTTTCTCTCCCTCATCACTTCCTAAAATCTCATCCATTAATAAGATTCTGGAATTGGCCCGTTTTATTTGATCAATACCATCAGCAATCAAGGTCCACCACTGCTATTGTCTGAATGTTTCCTAAAATTCAAATGTTGAAACTTAATCCCCATTATGGTAGTATTAAGAAGTGGAGCCTCTAGAAAAGTGATTAAGTCATGAGGGCTCTGCCCTCAGGAATAAACTAGTGCCTTATGAAAGGGCTGGAGGGAACCAGTTTAGGCCTTCCTTTATTGCCCTTCTCTGCCTTATGCCATGTGAGGACACAGCATTGGTCCACTCCAGAGGATGAAGTAACAAGGCACCATCTTGGAAGCAGAGATCAGCCCTTACCAAACAAGTGAACCTGCTAGCACCTTGGTCTTGGACTTCCTAGCCCCCAGAACTGTGAGAAATAAATGTTTGTTTTTATGAATTACCCAGTCACAGATATTTTGTTACAGCAGCACAAACAGACTAAGATGACCACCATGTTTCTTCTGGATTACTGTAGATGCCTCTTTACTGCTCTTTGGGCTTCAGTGCTTCCCCCTTAGAATCCATTTATTAAGCACCAGCCAGAAAGGTCTTTTACAAAGGCAACTCAAATCGTGTCATGCCACTACTTATAAAATGCACCAGTGTCTCCCCACTGCACTAAGAATCTACTCTCAAATCCTCAACATGGTCTACATGGCTGAACTAATCTGGACTCTGCCTGCCTTTCCTGCCTCCTTGGGGATCACTCCCCTGCTCCACTTTTGGCACATGGTCTTTATTTTGCAACCCATTAAGCTTATTCCTACCTCAGGGTCTTTGAGCTTCTGTCCCCTCTTCCTAGAACACTTTTTTCCCCTCAAATCTCATTATTCAGGTCTTGGAAAATTCCAGTGTCCTGGCCACTCCATCTAAAGTAGCACCCCTCTTTCTACTCCACTAACTCCATCCCATCACCCTCATTTGGTTTTCTGATGGTTTTTAGCACCATAGACATTCTCATTTATTGGCTTGCTTACCACCCACTCCTCTCCCTGCCCGCCGCCCACCACAAACCCACTGCTCCTAAGGATGTAATCTCCCTGAAAACCCTGTATATCCTTTTGATCACTGTCGGCCCAGCACCTAACACAGGACCTGGTTCTCAGTAAATACCTGTTGAATATAAGAGTAACACAGGTTCCTTCAGAATTGACCAGCAGCACCATGATCACACTGCTGCTCTGCTGAATAGATGCTTTCTGCTCTCCCCTGGCTGTTCTTCTGCCTTAACCTTCTGAGAGCTTCAAGCTCCTCCTGTTTCTGTCTTGATGTATGACCCCCCTCAGTTGGTTCATGACTTTGGCCCATTCTTGGCTGTGTTTCCCTGCTGAGTTCTACATTAGTGACTCAGATAGTGTGTACCAGCCTCTGACCTCAGCCTAATACTGTTTGTGCTGCTTGTGTGGCCAAGTGTAAACTTTTTTAGAGCTTTCATTATGAATATTTTCAAACATACAAAAAGCCAAGGAAATCATATAAAGATACATAACTATATACCCATTCCATGTACCTCAATCTAGATTTAACAGTCATTAAGGTTTCACCATATCTGTACTGTATTTTGAGGAAGTATCCTAAATTACAAGAATGTTGAGTATATATCCAAAATATTTTAGGCTGCACCTTCAGACTTTCTTTTTTACATATACACAATATCATTCTCACACCTACCTAAATTAACAATGCCTTCAAATCACGTAGTACCCAGTCCATATTCAAACTTTCCCAATTGTCCCCAAAATATCTTTAAAAAGCTAGGATCCCAAAATGGCCCACATTTCCATTGGTTATTATGTTTTTTGGGGTCTTTTAAATCAAGAATACCTGCCTGCCTTTTATTTAATACCAATGACATGTTGAAGAAGTCATGTCTTGTAGAATATCTCAACTTCTAGATTTGTCTAATTGCTTTGTTGTAGTCTTGTTAAATATTTTCTTTCATCACCTCTAACTTCTGTCACTGGAAGTTAGAATTAAAAGTCTGGGTAAAGTCCAAATAACCCTTTTGGGAAAGTTTTTCTCAGGCGTGATGTTGGGTATCACATCTTATCTCACATCTGGATGAACATAATTTCTCTTTGTTCCGCCATTGGGTTCAGGTGATGAAAGCTTGATCCTTCTGTTGTACTCTATGTGTTTCTTCTTACAACCAGCAAATAATCTATGGGGTAAATATACTTTTTTTAAAAAAGCTATTTTTGCTGTCAGCCTCAGTGGTTTAAAGTAGGAGTCAGCAAACTTTCTGTATGGAACCAAATAGAAAATAGATTCAGCTTTGCCAGCCAGCCAGTCCCTCTTATAACTACTTGATGCTGCCATTGTACCTTGAATGCAGCCACAGATTATATATAAACAAATGAGTGTACCTGTGTTCCAATAAAACTTTATTTATGAAGATACACAGGTGGCTACTGGATTTGGCTTGCAAACTGTAGAATGCTGAGGCCTGGTTTAAATTAGCATCCCTTGGGGATTTAAAAAAAATACTGATGCTCAGGCCCCACCCTAAACCAATTAAATCATAATGTCTGGAGATGAGACCCTGGCATTGGTATTTTTAAAAGCTCTCCAAGTGATTCTAACATGGCTACTGATGAGAATCACTGGTTTAAAGGGAGTTATCTGCTCTGGAGGCAAAGAGTTCATAAGGTAAGGTAGATAGGCATGTGAACAATTAAATCTAATACAAGAGAAGGGAAAATAATTGTAGAAAAACAAAGGAGAACTCATAGAAAGAAGGATGGGGGTTGGGGCACAGTCAGAAAAGTTTCTCCAGCGACCAACATTGGAGCCATTCCTTAAATTCTGAACTTTTTTTTTTAATTTTTAATTTTTATGAGTACATAGTAGGTGTATATATTCATGGAGTACATGAGATGTTTTGATACAGGCATTCCATGCATAACAATCACATCATGGGGAATGTGGTATCCATCCCCTCAAGCATTTATCCTTTGTGAATTCTGAACATTTTTTGATTGGTGCAGAGGGTGTGGAACCAGCAGGCACAATCCATCTCTGGCCAAATTTCTGCCAAGTTCTGTCTCCCTCATTAATGTGAAATCAGGAACATAATGAAGACTTCGAACCTGTACCCAGGAGCCTTTGATTCTTTGCACCTTGTCATTATCTTACTTTTCTGGAATTAATATATTAGTGACTAAAGGCAAATGAATCATTAAGTTTTATTTACTTAAATGTCAGCTTTTTTAAGGAACTGAAGATAAAAATCTGAGAACTAAGGAACAACTCAGGGACAATGGGGCAGGTTCTATACACTTGCCTAGAATCTACTCTCTCGATATTATTTCCCCAACACCACTGGTTCTTTCATTTATTTATTTTAGATGGTTGGGGGTGGGATTCTGGGAAGTGATGAGGAGATTAGAAATACATAGCATCATGATGGAAGCAAACTAAAAAATAAGGTTTATCTCCGATTATGCTAGAGGTCCTCAACCAGGGCGCTCTTGCCCCCACCCCAGACTCTTCTAGAGGACATTTGGCAGTGTCTACAGACATTTTTAGCTGTCACAACTTAGGCAAGGGAGTTCTACAGGCATCTAGTAGGTAGAGGCCAGGGACATGTTGAACATCCTATAACGCACAGGACAGCTCCACCACGCAAAAGACTTATCTGGCCCCAAATGTCAATAGCACTGAGGTTAAGAAACCCTGGATTATGCTGATACATTCAAACACGCACAGATTTTCAGGAAATTTTCTGTCTTGTATTTCAAGAAGTATTTATAATTATCCCCATAGGTCAAGTTTTTAGTAATCTCTGAAGTCACAAAGATATCTTTTAACCAAGTAGAGGGTGGTGGCATTATGTATCTGGAAATCTAAAAATTGGCTTTTCGATGTTAGAGGGAAAAAATCAAATTAGAGGAAGCCCTATTATTATTTAAAAAATATCCTCACCACAGTCTCTTGCCCTTGGGGCAATGCAGCCCTCTCTCCCTCCAACCACTCTGGGTAGGTTAGTATTTGCCTTCGGGGAAGATATGCTGAACCCAGTGTAACTGATATGGGCAATCCATATCAGAAGTCCTCTTCTCAGGTTTACAGGTAGTTACTTAGCTCAGAGGCTATTTCTCAACTTTAGTCCCATCTAACTCTGCATTGTAGCACTCAGTGAAGCTCCAACCAACCATGAGCTTGGATTGGAATAAGCCCCTTTGTTGCTGCAATTCTATGTGTACTCAAGTGTGGTGCAAATAAGTAAAATATGGCTTATGTGTTAATTTCCTATGGCTGCTGTAACAAATTACCACAAATGTACTGGCTTAAAATGACAGGAATTTATTGTCTTACATTTCTGGAGGTCAGAAGCCCAAAGTGGATTTCACTGGGCTAAAAGCAAGGTGTCAGGAGGGCCAGTTCCTTCTGGAGGCTCTAGGGGAGAATACATTTTCTCACCTTTTCCAGCGCCTAGAGGCTACCAATGTTCTTTGCCTCATAGCTCCAAATCACTCAGACCTCTGCTTCGATCATCACATCTCCTTCTCTAACTCTCACTCTCTTGCCTCCCTCCTTGACTTATCAGGATCTGGTGATGGCACTGAGCCCACCTGTATACTCTGGGATCATCTCCCCATCTCAAGATTCTTAGTTACATATGCAAAGTCCCTTTTGCCTTGCAATGTACCATATTTACAAGTTTAAAGGTTAAAATGCAGACATCTTTGGGGGCTCTTATTCTGCCTATCACAGCTTGAAAGCGACCAAATATGACATCAATTGTGCTTGATGCTGGAACTGGTCACATACTTTATTCTATTACTAGCCGTGGAACATGCCACAGAGCTTGCGCACCAGAGTCAAAGGACCTGAGTTTCAGTTCTGGCTCCACCATCTACAAGCTGTGTGGACATGGGAAAGTCACTTCGCCTTGCCTCAGATTCCTCTATCTGCAAAATAGGCATTCCAATAACACCTCCCTAGTAGGGTGACTGTTGAGGGCTATAAATGAAATAAGGTACTTAAGGCAGTAAACCTAACACCTGACATATAATAATTGTTTAAGATACACTAGCTATTGATGTTGTCACTCATGGAGCTGTTACAAGAATTAAACAGGGCAATTCATAGGTCAGTAGACTTTTTCTGTAAAGGGCCACATAATACATATTTTTAGCTTTGCAAATCATGTAAGCCGTCACAGCTACTTAACTTTGCTCTTATAGAACAAAAGTAGCTATAGACAATATGTACATGAGTGAGTGTGGCTGCATTCCAATAAAACTTTTTTTGTAAATATGAGCAGCAGGACAGATTTTGTGTGCACAGACCATAGTTTGCCAATCCTTAATCTAGAATATTGTGATTCGGGCCTGACTATATATTGTTGTCGACAGCAAAGCTTTTAAAAAATGATAATAGTATATCTTCGTTGGTAGGCAGGTCTATGCAAACCTACCCCCAAAGTTTGAGGTAGCAGAGAGACAAAAGAAAGAGGCTAACATATCCAGTTTCTTAGAAAGAGACATTTAATAGGCACTCACAAACGGAAGCCATGTCTGTGTCTCGAGTGGTGGCTAGACAAGATGGTGGATCCCTATGCCATTATCTCCAGACCCAGGGCTTATATACCATAGGGAAAGGGTGATTCGGAAGGGATATGTAGGACCATCGAAGTATAATAACATCAAGGTTGTTTGACCTAAGGGTAGGACTTACATACTAGATGTGTTTTCTGTTAAGAAGCAATTTTTACTTGCTTTGGTTCCATCCAAGATGGAGCTGCTTTAGCCTTTACAATATCACATCTAATTCTCAGTTTTCTTTTAATTAAAAATATAATTACTCTTAGTTTTCATTTCTGATTTCAGATTAAATGCCAAAAGACACTGCTTTGTACATATTAAGTTTTCAATTGCACTTTGTTGACAAATAAAACAATACCTGGCTTCACCTCAGCCCCAGTGAATCAAAATTCCTGGGGGCAAGGCCTAGCTAGGCATTTGTTTTTGTTTGCTTCTCAGAACAAGAGGAGGGGCTGCCACATACTGGGCACTTGATCAGTATCTACTGAGTATGAGTAAGGAAATGTGCAACACGCCATCAGCACAGCACCCAGCCCATACTGAAGCTCAGTAAATGGTGCCCAATCATTTGGGGTCTTTTGATTGCAAAGAACAAAAACCCAAACTGGCTAATTTGGCCAAAATAGGAAATTATTAGAAAGATATGCAGGCACTCAAACAATTCAAGGAACAGATGTATCAGCAAGGACAAGAACAAGGGCAGTTTGCAAGGGCTGACCTTGTTCAGCAACTCAGGAAGGCTTTGCAAGGATTCTTCAGGAGGATAATGACATCAGCCTTTTTCTATCTTTCTTTTCTTCCATTAGAGAGAGAATATCCCCCCCTTGGCTAGTAGAGAGTGGAACACCCTGACTGGCAAACCTCACCTTCACATGACTAACAGGGAAGAGTTTGTATCCAAGGCAAAAAATTGAGAGGTCTTACTAGAAGAAGGGGATAGAGGCAGTGCACTCAGCCATTGATAACTGGTTGTTGTTTTTGTTAAGACAGCTTGTAATGAGGTAACATAAAAAAGTACTTCCCACAACAGAAGGCATGTAATGGATGCTCAAGCCATTGCTCTCTGGTGGATTTCAATACAGCACCTTTTTCAAAAATATAGCAGCGGTTCTCAATCGGGTGATTTTACCATCTTTGTGGAGACCTTGTTGGGGGCAGGTCACTACTGGCATCTAGTGACTAGATGCCGAAGATGCTGCTGAACACCATATAGTAAAGTATATGAGCATTTGTTATGGTGCTGCAGTTTTCATTTATTCTAGCTAAAAGGGTTGTGCTTTCTCCAGCTGCTAATCTATTTATCTGTGTGCCCCGCACTCTTACTTTAGAGATCAAGTTTGATGGAAAGGAGGCACATTTGACTGTGTTCCTTTAATTGAAGACAATAGAACTTTGGGGAGATTCTGGAGTTGAAATTAGAAGAGAATAAAGCAAAGATGTAAGAACCTAAGGACACATTTCTGAAATTTACCCCTATGAGATTACTTCAGAATTTAACTTGCTAAAAATAGATGAGCAGAAGAAATGAAATTTGAGAACATTCTTGTTAATGAAATGCAGAAGAATAGTTTAATGGTCAAATAGAAATGATTTCAAAATAAATCCAGTTAAAACTAATGAGTTTTATGTTTTTCAGTTTTACTGAAGGAATTAGTCCATAAAATGAAAACCATCATTAGCAAAAATCATTTGGTATAATGACATTTCCGTTACTGTTCGTGGGGGTAGGGGCAAAAAGGTACCAAGTAATATCACCTTTGAATTCTGGTTTTTATTCTAAATTTTATTAATTCTAAAAGGTGCTCATTAAACATTTTTCTTCCCTTTTTTCTCAAGTATTCAATAGTCCTACAATATGTGAATATCACCCCTTTTTTCTTTCCTGAATTTTAGGAAAACAGGGTTTTAAAGTATCTTAGTGAAGCTTTATGTCAGTGCTGATTTGAACTTCCAATTTAAACTGCAACCTTTTTTGTGAGTGGGGAGAGCATCAGTCAGATTAATTGTTTTATCAGTTTCTGACACTTTATCATCACTGATTATTGAAGACTTCCTGATGTGGCTGAGTAACTCATTCATTCCCCTTTATCCCCCTATGCCACTCCCATTTACACGCCCAGGTAATTTTTCTACTGAGTTTAGTGTGAATATTTCTGTGTGCATTCGTTTTTGCAAGGGTGTATTATTGTTTTACACACATTCATTTCAATTTGCATAAATCTTTTTGTGCTATATGTTTCATTGTGTGTTTTTTCTGAGCCTGGGGATGTTAAGATCCGTCTGTGTTGCTCTGTGTATTTCTAATCTGTTTTTTTTCCAACTGCCACCTCATGCTCCATGGTGTGCTGCAAACTTGGTTTCTGAGAGATAACCACTTTGCACCAGTAACTTGCAGTTCTGCTTTTGCTCCTTTTATTATGGAGTCATAAAAGCGTAATGAAAGAAAGAGCTCCTAGCTGTGAGTAGCAGCTAAAATGCCAATTTCAGGTCTGTCAAAATTGATCCTGCCCACAGTCCTCTAAAATGCTCTTACTTTTAACCCTGCTGAAAGAAAAATCTCTTTTCTTAACCCCCAACTCTTCCTAAGGCTATTTAGCTTCTAATTTTGCTGACGCGGTTACTTCCACCAAGTACCACTTAAATATTAAAGTATAAGTAGTTGCCGTTCCTTCCTTATTACCTTTATCAGACCCTCTTCATCTTATCACGGACTTAAAGAAATGGTTTTTGAATTGTCCTCTCTGTCCTCATTGTCTCTTCTAGACTTAGAGTTCTTTTAGACTTAGAGATATGTAAAAATCATGTATTACTCGTGACCATATGTAAAAACGGATATATAAGCAAAATAGAATTGTTAAGGTATTCCTAAAACTTCATCGCATTCAGAACCCCTTCTGAGTGCCTTTTTGACTCAGAATCACTGATGTCCACTTTTGTTCACATAGCAGTTGTTCATACAACTGTTCAAACAACTGTGCCATCAAAAACATTGGTGATGCAGCATTCTTAGGAGCTCTAGGAGTTCCCACTATTGTCTCTGAGATTTTCTTCCAAACTCCCAACACCCACTCTTCAAGTTTTGACTCTGGGACTTTTCTTGCTTAGCCTGAGATAAGCCACGCTTTTGTAAGTATCTTAGTAGCACATGGCTACTATTTTCCTGTCTTAGGTCCCGAAAGCATTTGTCCCTTTGCTAGCAGATATGAAAATGTGTTCACTTCTTCAGCAATGAATATTTGCTTTGCTGATATGCAATTCACACCCCACTGCTCTGTTTCCACGCTTTTCTGTGTACCAGTAACTTTCCATTTCAATATTGAATCATGATGTAATCTTTTGGAAGACAATTTAAATGGGATTTAAGCTAAGCATTTGTAGTATCAGCACTAGACGTAATTCAGTTGAGGTGAGGACCATATAAATAGCAATGAGTACATTGTTCACACTTGTGCAGGACAAACTGTTGCTTTGTGCAGAGCAATTTAAAACACCATTGATTATAAGACATCCTGTTGTTAAAGATGCTAAAGCGTGGGAAATGTGCATCTTGTAAAAGACGAATGCAGAGGTAGGTACTCAGGATGCAATATGGTGGCTCCATAGTCCATCCGAGACCTGAGCTATTTCTGCCCTCTGTTATTGCATCCTTAGCACATGGCTTCCATCGTCAGTGTCACTGCATGGTCCAAGATGACCTAGTAAGCTCCTGACATCATATCTAGGCAGAAATGAAGGAAGTCAAAAAGGGCAAAAAGGCCAAGGGTCTACAACTCACTGGATACCACTGACTTGAAGGGAGGCTGCCTGGTAACTACAGTCTTTTACTTGGGCAAGTTTGTCCCCTAGGAAAAAACCTGGAAGAAGGAGAGAATGTCTGCTGCGTAATCAACTAGGAGTCTCTTCATCATATCCTTTTGAAAGCCTCAATTCCTGTGCAGCCTGATTCACAGGCCACTTCAGCCTAATCATGTGATGATTCAATGCATAATGGTTTGTGACAAATTTTAGCATTTTGCTCTTACCATTATGTGTGATTCAAAAGTAAGCACAAATCTATAATAATTGGTATTTAATGTGACTAATTCACTTTTCCCTAGTGAGTCTACAGATTCCTTGAGCAGATCTGTCTTCTAAACCTTAGTTACTTCTCCCACACAACCACCTACCCCATTGCCCATTGTCTGAATTATCTTACACAAAACAAATGCTCCATACATGGATTTGACGTCATCTTGCTTCTGTGGCCTCAATAAGTGATTGCTGCTTCCAGATGATCAGTATCTGAGGTTCCCCCTTGGTAGCCAATGAGGAATTTCATAAAAGCAGCAGCTTGAGAAGAGGACATTTTTAGAGTTTGCTTATCTCCTTTGGGAAACTCTTAATCCATATTCTGGCAAGCATCAGGATACTTTTAGGAGTGATGTCTAGTACTTCTTAACTGACTTCCTAAGATAATCACTTCTGGATAAAACACCTCTATAGCATGCAGATTAAATAAACTCAGCCACAGCCTGTTGTGAGATTCTTAGGGCCATGCCTGATAATGGCAGCAAAGGTAGAGGCATGGATTTTTCTGAGAGTAAAGACTCAGTGGTTCCTGGGAGAGGAATTTGTGTTTGTGGTTGGTGGTGGTTTGCACTTCATCTCATAGGCACATAGTGTACAAAAGCAAATAACTGCTGATTTCTCAGTCTGAGCCTTTCTGGTTGAATCTGAATCATCTTGAGTATGAGCATCAAATGTTATAGAACAGCTTTTGTATCGGGAACATCAACAAGGGTCCTGGTAGCAGGACATAGACATAAATATCTAATAGCATTGGCCAATGCCTCCATGGGTAGTAAAAATAATAATACTGATAGTCATAGTAAAAAAAAAAAACACACATTTATGGCACTGTATGTGCCATGCACTTTATGGACATTAATTTGTGCAGCCCTGGCCACATTTCTAGGGCTACACCACATCATTGTATGCTAGATGACTTCCAGCAGCCAGTCTCTGCATCTCGGAGGGATTTTTCTGAAACTGTTTAAAGCCGGTATGCTTTTGTCTGGGAGCACTTTAAAAATGATTGACATGAGTCGGTATATAGATATCCCAGTTCCTTTGCTCCTCAGATGGGATATTTCAGACATGTGAGTTTTATACTATTCCCAGAATTTCCTGGCAGGATTAAGCTCCAGTCACCCAGTATGGTAGCTGGCTGGATAATCCATTCTTTATTGACTGTTTGTTTTCTCTTCCCAGCATAGTTTCCTTACCCTTGCACAGGAATCTTTGTATTGGGGTCTCCTTCTAGGGAAATCCAAACTAAGACAAATATTAACATCAACCCCGTGAGTTAGATATGATCATTACATTTATTTTTGCAGACAAGGAAATTGAAACATGCAAAGGCAAAGGAAGAGGCAGAAGTGTTCAAACCCACGTTGTGAGTCTGGTTTGAGAGCCTGCATTCTAGCTACACCAAGTAAATGCTACAGGAGCTAAGTGAAGGAGTGCACTCTGATGGAGAACAGCTGGCCCAGTGGTCTATAGATTCAGTTACTTTTCTAAAACAAGAATGTCAGGTCCAATGTACAAAGAGAACGTGTTATACTGACTATTGCATTCATGACTAGGTTCCTGGAACATTGTGGGGCAGCCTTTAAATGTGCAAATTCTTGTGTTTGAGGACCTGGTGTGCCTACCAATTAAACCACTTGGAAGGTTGTTTTAAAATCTGGTGCCAATTTGGGGATGTTCAGCCCTTCCAGCCAACAACCCTCCAGAATTGTCAGCAATCTAAAAGGCAATATTTCAGTCTTCTATTTCTTTCAAATTCATTTAGTGTCTAGGTGATAATTTTTTTCAATTAAAGCCCATAGGGCTATGGATTTACTGTTATGAGATGGTGGCCTTCCCTGTTAAACCAGTGTTGGTCTGTGTGACTATAAATAGGGATTTCCACAGTTTTATATATCTTGGCTAAATGAAAGGAATTTAAATGTTATTGCTACAAAGCATTCTTTCAGAAGCACTTAGTGATCATTTAATATGCATTGCTTCTACCTTTCACATTAATATCCTCATGCAGTAAATCAGATAGGTCCTCACTAATCCTATCCACACAACACACTATGGTTCATTAACAGATTCCTATCAGTGTAACTTTGATCTGCCCATTTTCAATTTTTGAGTTGTCTACTTTCTGGCAGATTACAGTTCAAAAGGTCTATCATTGATTCAACATGAAATTTCATTATATTTGAATCAAAGACTCATTGGAGTGACTTAAAAAGCTTTTTATGAAGTGAAAAAGTTGTTTCTTAGCCTCAGTTAATTTATTTTGTTATGTTATTTGATCCCAAAGTTCACACAAAACTAATTAAGTCTCAATTCAACAATGATATCATCCTGAAAATGCTTTGTGTCAGTATGCAGATGCTTGAGACGTATTTTTATATTCTTCTATTACGGACAGGACTAAGGAATTCTGGAACCCAAGGTTCTGCTTATCTTAGGTTTCGGAGAGCCATTAGTATATACAGGCCTTGAAAGCCTTCATCATGGGTTGGGATTTTAGAGAAGAGGGAGCCCAAAAATAATGAAAGAGCAACTTCAGTAGAAGAGAGAGGACCTGACATTTATTGAGAACTCATTATGTTCTGAACCTTATGGTGGTGCTTTACATATCACTACATCTTTCCCCCAACTACAGAGAGAGATTAAGTCATTTTCCCAAGTTGGTTACAAGAGAGACTTTTTCAAACACAATTCTGTCTGACTCCATAGTTCTACTTTTACACGTGATCACTACACTGCATTGAAAGCTTCAATACTAAGTGGTAGAGTTTTTCTTTTGTGGAAGGATGGGAGCTGATCATCTTTTTGGTGGTCCTTTAGATAACACCATGAAGGAAATTGTCTAGAGTTCAGGCTGCTGCTGACATTTTATCTAGGTGGTGAGCACTACCAAGATAAGGAGGGTGTTGAGGGAATTGCATTTGGGTCCTGGTGTTCCATGTAAGCCATTCTAGATGACATATGTAACTCTTGGCTTACCCAAGATTAATTTAACATTATTGATTCTTAGTTGATTTGTCTCCCTTTGGAATCATCGTGGAGGCACATAAATCCTGAGACTAAGAGGGTCTTCGTTGTAAGTACAGCCCTACTGAGCATCTCTGGAGGTGGCCAAAGTTGCATCAGAAAAGCAGTATTGCTGGGCAATATATGTTGTTTTCAAAAAGATAGTCCTGAGCCCTGCAACCCTTACCTCCTCCATCCATCCTCTCCTCCCCAGTTGGAAAAAAAATCTCATTTCTTTAGTTCTTAGTGTGAGGAAAGCAATCTGATTGATATATTTGAAAAAATATGATTAAAGGATTTTGCACCAGAATTCATCTTCCAACACCCCCTTAGGTTTTTCTATCTCCTTTACTGTTTTAGTTTTGACAACAATAATAGGGGGGATGAGATTGATTCACAAGGCTCTCACCAATACTAAAATTGTATGACTAACACCCAATTGCTATTTAAATATGATTATTAATATTATTAAAGACTTGGGATTATTTCCTGTGTTGTGTTTGATTATAATGCCCAGCATTATACATGATATATCCAGAGTCTTCCTGGTTTATTGCTCATGTAGCAAAATGCTGCCTCCATTGATCAGGATTTGGAAGAATGTTGGTGATTATCTCCTGAGAATAGTGTATTCTTTCACTTTGAAATATGTTTCTAACACTGCTGTTTACGGTGATTCTGATTATTTCAAGGCCATGGTATATTTGTATTATTTGCGATTATCAGCTGATGCTGAACTTTCAGAAAATTTGCTAATTATCAAGAATTCTTCATGACAATATGAGACCTTTGGGCAGCACATAAGATAATTTTAAAGTGAAAGAACTAGTCCGTCTCCTGCAAAATGATGCAATGCCAAAAGCAGGCTGTTAAGGAAATGCTAACATTTAGTGAGCATCTATTTTGCTCTGAATGTTTCCTTTCCTTCCCTCCCTCCCTCTTTCCTTCCTTCTCTTTCTCTATTTTATGTTTCTTTTTCTCCTCCCTTTCTACCTCTTCCGCCCTTCCTCCTCCTTTCTTCCCTTTCTCCTTCCTTCTTTTTTCTTTCTTTCTTTTTTTGGATATAAATAGTGATTGAGCAAGGACCACAAAGCAGCTTTCTCTCCTCCTTAAATTCCTTAAAGGAAAGTTTGTTCTTAGAGGGGCATGGCAGATTTCCTAATGAGCATGCCCTCACCTGGGCTTCCTGGCCATCAGTTTCTACTTCCACAGCAGTTGTGGGAATCCATTGTTACTTTGTTAATTAACAACTTGTATGGTGTAGCCTTTGAAGGCAGGGAGCTACTTCTTAAACACAGTTCTATTACTCTCTAATTTGTGGCATTAATAATCCGTTCTTTTTCGATTTATGTAAGATCTTTTCCTCTTAATAGTTGTGGCATTTTCTCTGAGATAAATTTTCATAAGACTCAATTCCAAGTTGTGATTTTCAAAAACAGGAGTCGTGTGGTCGAAGGATATTTCAACTTGTGTCTTATGACTGTCCTTCATTTAGCCTTTTGCCTCTTTAGAGATGGGACATATGATGAGAGCTGATTTGTTTCCCTTGTGGGCAAGGAAAAACATTTTTGAAGGTATCTAGCATGTTAAAAATCAAAAAATGCTTCCTCTGTGTCTTTGTCTGGTTGTACCTTTCCTTTAGCCACTTTACAAAGGAAGTCACACCATACATTTTGTCTGTCTTTCTTTAAAATCCTTTATTTTGGGAACACCAGAAAAAAAATTTTAGAAGGTATTCTCTCATCTTTGCTTAATCTCTTTCCTTAGTCATCCAGAGACTATTCCTACTTAATTGAAAAAATTCAATTTAATTTATAGATAAGGATAATACCTTTGAGATTTAAAGGCTCGGCTCAGACCTCTTCCGGGAGGGCGTGTCTGACTCTTATGTGTTCTATAGCATGAGTGCATACTCTAATATTTCTTCAGTCGATTCATTTATCTCTTTATACATCTGCCATCCCATCAGCCTATAAGCTACTTTTTGCATTGCCATCAGATACCACCATACTGGACACAGTTACACTAGTATCACTTCAAAATGTTGCTAGATATTTCTATTTAATATATTAACCAAGGAAGCACACATATTTCTATATAATAAATTTAGTTTTGGCCCGGTGCGGTAGCTCACGCCTGTAATCCCAGCACTTTGGGAGGCTGAGGGGAGTGGATCACCTGCGGTCAGGAGTTCTAGACCAGCCTGGCCAACATGGTGAAACCCCATCTCTACTAAAAGTACAAAAATTAGCCGGGTATGGTGGCAGGCACCTGTAATCCCAGCTACTTGGGGGGCCAAGGCAGGAGAATCACTTGAACCCAGGAGGTGGAGGTTGCAGTGAGCCAAGATTGCGCCATCATACTCCAACCTGGGGGACAAGAGCAAGACTTCATCTCAAAAAAAAAAAAAAAAAATTAGTTTAAAAATTTGATAACTTTATTATCAGTTTTTTTTATTATCTTGATGATCTATTATCAGTGTAATTCATTTCCTTTGTAATTCTATGTGCTTTTATTCATTTTATTCATTTAAAAACATTGTTCTGGCCAGGCACGGTGGCTCAAGCCTGTAATCCCAGCACTTTGGGAGGCCGAGGCGGGCGGATCACGAGGTCAGGAGATCGAGACCATCCTGGCTAACACGGTGAAACCCCGTCTCTACTTAGCCGGGCGTGGTGGTGGGCGCCTGTAGTCCCAGCTACTCAGGAGGCTGAGGCAGGAGAATGGCATGAACCCAGGAGGCAGAGCTTGCAGTGAGCCAAGTTCGTGCCACTGCACTCCAGCCTGGGCGACAGAGCAAGACTCTGTCTCAAAAAAAAAAAAAAAAAAACAAACAACAACAACAACAAAAACATTGTTCTGAGAAGGGGTCTACAGGCTTCACCAGACTCATGGGGCTCGTGACACCGAAAAGGTTCAGAACCCTTGCTGGAATAACGTGTTCTAAAATTCAGAAACACTTCAAAAAAGTTTGAGAGGATGATTTTACAGCCCCTCAGTATGGCTGTATGGCTGTCCACTTACATTGACTATAATTCCCTTGCCATCACCATAGAGACAGCTTGTGGACTGGCTAGTGCATGAAAGAGCAGAAATTGGGTGACACTGAGCTATATTCTAGGCCCAGCCGATGACTCAGGGATTTGAGCATCCATCAGTGTTTCTTTCTTTTTTTTTTTTTTTTTTCTTTTTTTGAGATAGAGTCTCGCTCTGTTGCCCAGGCTGGAGTGCAGTGGTGCAATCTTGGCTCACTGCAACCTCCACCTCCTGGGTTCAAGCAGTTCTCCTGCCTCAGCCTCCTGAGTAGCTGGGATTACAGGCGCGTGCCACCAATGCCTGGCTAATTTTTGTATTTTTAGTAGAGATGGGGTTTCACCATGTTGGTCAGGCTGGTCTCGAACTCCCGACCTCGTGATCCGTCCGCCTCAGCCTCCCAAAGTACTGGGATTACAGTCGTGAGTCACCGCACCTGGCCACATCCATCAGTATTTCTAAGTGTAAATAAAATTTGTTTCTATGTGACAAGGTTGAGATAAGCATAGAAGAAAACTGCTGCTGAACCCAGAACCCAGACATAATCATGTAACTGAACTTTCTTGCTGCATCCTATGATAATTCCCTTGTTGCTAGCTTATAAATAGCGGAAAACAGCCACCATTTCTTCAGCTTTTCTCCAGAAGGGCCAAAGATGTTACATTTATTTTTGTTTCTTCTTCTTAAATAATTCTTCATGAATTTCAGTTTCCCAGAAGGCCTCACAATTTTCTAACACCCCAGATACCTTTCTTGGTATTTCATGTCATGGGTTATGTTTATCCAAGGAGACTTTATTCATTGGATTTCTTAATAAGAAAGAATGACTTGATTATTTATGCTCTAATATTCCCTATGCTTTTAAAATTGCTGACCCCTCCCTCCTCCTGTATCATGATACTATCTTGCAGGGAAAGTAGAATCTACTGGATGAAAAGTCCCTCAACCTCCTGCCCCCAAACCTATTGATTTACTCATATCCACATACTACATCACCTCCTCCCCCTTGTGAGGGTGGAAGATAAGTTGTTTTTCCTGTCTCGGACAAAGCATCCTGTCTCCTATAGTACTGCAACAGATTGAATCCAGAAGCCGATAGAAAAAACCCACTGTCATCTGTCGAGCAATGTATTAAAGAGATCTATCTGCAAAATTGTAAAAAGATGCTGTTCTTCTCACCAAATGTTTTTGTTTTGGAAAATATGGTTATGTTTTATAAAAAGATATGACTTATGAAATAGAATTGTTGTTTTTAAATACATAAAAAATATTTCAATAATTTATCAGTTTTACTTTCTAGTATATTAGATATCGGTAGATGTAAGCAACATGCACAAAAACTCTTCGGGGGTCCTCAAAAATGTTTCAGAGTGGAAAGGAGTCCTGAGGGTGAAATGGTTGAGAAGTGCTGGTCTAAAACTCCCCAACCCAGTCAAATCTGGCTTCTGCCCATATCAGTTCACTGAACCTATTTGCTCCAAGGACACCAAATTCAAGGGCAAGTCCTTACTAGACTTCTGGGAATCATTCACACTGTTCTTGACCGTTCTTCTGGAAATGCTTTTCCTCTGACTTACAGGAGTCCAGAGAGGAACACCATGTACACTACTGGTGTTCTTCCTACCTCCCTGGCTCCTCCTCCTTTATCTCCTTCATGGGCTTTTCTTCCTCTGCCTAACCTTAAAGGTTAACGACCTGTGGGGCCCTCACCTCCTCCCACACTCCATGCTTCTTTGTTTTCCGTTACCGTCTTTAGGCTGGTGACAGCTGTGTTCAGCCCAGATCTTTCTGCCAATCTTCATACCTAAATACTGAGCAGCTTGCTGGGACACCTCTACCTGCCTATTCCACCAGCACCTATAATTTAACACGCCCTGAACTTATCATGTCACCATCACGCCTGCTCCTTCATCTCTATTCTCATGGCCCACACTCTGTCTAGTTGCCCATACCAGAAGTTTGGAAACCATTCTTGACTCTTTCCTTTGTCTTAAACCCTCACTGTCTTTCACAATATCCAAGCAATCTCCAAGCTCTGTGTCATCAGTGTCCTGAATCCTCAAAACAATCTGCTGTTCTCTAACTTCTAACACTGTCCCACCCGGGCCTCCATTGTCTCTACTAATGGCAGTAGTCTCCTAACTGGCTCTTTTCTAGCCTGTTTTCCACTGTGCCACCAGGGTCATCCTTCCAAGGCACAGAGCTCATCAATTCACTATTTCTTCAAGGCCCTGAAACACTTGTCCCCTCCACCTCTCACCTCACTTGCTGCATCTCTCATCACCTGCCCTCCCTCGGCATTCTGTGCTGGCTCCAAGGGCTTCCATGCTGCCATGGGCTCTCCCCTTCAGCCCCTCACACATGCTGATCCTTCATCCTTCATCCTGGGCCACCATCCCTGCCCCATCCCCATTTACACCTTCTTACCCTGAACACAGGCAGTGCTGACTAACTCAACACCGGTCGTTGATATTCAAGTTTAGATTTCTGACACACATCTAGCCTTCTGTAACACCCTATGTGTGCTCTGTGATGGCGTTTGTCAATCCACACATGTAACCGCATGTTTGATGTGACCTTCAGAAGGGCAGCAGCCTTGTCTCTCTTACATGTCATAGAATCCTCACAGCATCCTTTTCCAGCTCCATCACTTAACCACAATCTCTCCGTACCTATTTGTCGAATGAGGAAATTCGTATTTCTTTTCAATTTATCTTTCACTTTAAAGGTGAGCAGATTTACTGATTTTCCTTTGTCAAACAATCACAGGTGGCTTGAGCACAGAAAGGCAGTGATTTCAGTGCTTACAAAAATATAGCATTTATAGGTGTTCGAAGACATGGATATAATTTCACCTACTGCCTGCATGAAAGACTATCTGCGTCCTGATTGGCAATGGGAGTTGGCAACACATTGACCAGGTTAAGTCTTCTATCTATATATGAGGAGGGTGGGGTGTGAGGAATTGACATCTGATCAAAAGTTATTGTCCTAAGAAGTATGTCACCAAAAGTAATTCCATTTTTTTATGTCAAATGTGACCTTTACTTATAAAAACCCTAATGACAAAATAATCCTTTTTAGAAAACTGTTTTGTCACATCTGTGAGACAATGTAACTACAGAAGTTACCACAACACATATGTTCTAATCAAATAATATTGGTAGGTTAGGCTTCCATGCTCACGTCTCAAAAACTAAAATATTTGCAATGGAGGTAAAAGGCTTTTTCTATCTTTTTCATAAAAAGGCTTAATTTAAGGCCTGATGTGGAGGTTTAAGCCTGTAATCCCAGCACTTTGGGAGGTCAAGGCAGGAGGATCGCTTGAGTCCAGGAGTTTGAGACCAGACTGGACAACAAAGGAAGACCCCGTCTCTACACAAAGTATAAAAAATTAGCTGAGCATGGTGGTGTGTGCCTGTGGTCCCAGCTACCCCAGGAGGCTGAGGTGGGAGGATTGCTTGAGCCTCTGGGAGTTCCAAGCTGCAGTGAGCTATGACTGGGCCACTATACTTCAGCCTGGGTGACAGACAGAGACCCTATCTCAAAGAAAAAAAAAAAAAAAAAAAAGCTGGGGGGGCAGGGGCTGAATTTCTAGTTGATCACATAAGGAGACCAGTGAGATGTAAACCTAGGCAGTGTCCCAAAGCTGTTCCGGTTCTTGCCTTGGATATCTTCTTGCTGTCCATTCTTACTCCCTTTATTATGTTCTTCCCTCTTGCCCTTCTCTCACCAGACCTTCATTTCCACAAACACTTAGGAAGTAAAAAAGTCTAACATGTTTGAATCCTTGAAAACAGGGTGTAAAACATTTTGGTATGTAAAACATTTTTGGTATGTAAAACATTTCCTTTCCGGTATTATCATTTAATGTGTTTAATCATGAATTATAAGTGAGTATGGCTTTGGGGCGTGCTTCTTTTGAAAAGAAAAGGGCACATGATCACCACCTCCTGTGTCTCTTATCTGGTACATTTCCCTTGAAGGACTCAGCTCATTATCTGGCAAAGACGACCATGGTCTACAAGTCAGTTGGGTTCAACAAATGCTTATTAGCCATCTTCTAGAAACAGATATCGTGTAGGACGCTAGAGACAGGCTGTAGGCTTTGATATTTGGGGTTTGAAACCTGAATAGGGAGCGTCTTCCTCTTATTACATTCACTTTATTCAATCCTATTCATCTGAAAAATGGGGAACATAGGTATTATTTCAAATAGCTGTTCAAACAATCCTAGTTTATTCATCTGAAAAATTGGGGAAATTTTCAGATGAATAAACTAGGATCGTTTGAAAGGCTGTTTGAAGAATTCAATGAGATAATGCAAATAAGGTACCCAGCTCGGTGCCTGGTACCCAGGAGAAACTGGATAAGTAATGGCTTTCAGAATGATTACAGAGGATGAGGAAAGCTCTCCAGGATTCCACAGTGAGCTAGAAAGCGGTCTTCATTTTTGTAAGAAGTGAAACATATAGGAGAAACAAATGTGAAAATACATTTTTATAAAAGTGGGAAATAGTTAGTCAATTCCACTCTGAAAGTAACCCTCTTGCTTTTTGGTTTAATCTGTTATAGATGAAGGGGATTAACTGCCAAGAGACTTGAACAACACACAGGTTTTTTTTGGTTCTTCATGCTTGCACCTGTTAAAAGGCAGAAGAGGTCCAAAAATGGGAAAGATGTGACTTTTTTGTGGAGGCTCATGTTTACTAGAGGGAGAGAAGGGCAGTAGACCGCATATGTCATGTTTGTTCAAACTGAGCTGAGAATTTGAGGGGAAAGGGTTTTCTTGACAGCTGGGTATTTCATATCCTGCCTGTGGAAACTCAGTAGGTTTCCAAGAGCAAAGTCTAGAGGCTATAACCTTGTGCTCCTGATGTCCTTGTGTGAAAGGATTATTTTCTGGCTTTGGAAGAGCAAAACACCTCTTAAAAATTCCGGCTCCTGAAGTGTTGTTGCAGTGAGCCGAACCAAGATCGCGCCACTACACGCCAGCCTGGGTGAGAGAGTGAGACGCCGTCTAAAATAAATAAATAAATAAATAAAAAATAAAAAACAAAAATTTCCCACTCCCGAAATCTGTTGGTACATGATTTCATTCTGAATAAGGTCATGGGGTCCAGTTGGCAGTAATCAAACATTGTTCAAAACTTGACCCTAAATCGTAGTTCCTCCCAAAGGTCTTGGAAAAATAGGAGATTAGGTTTTAAAGGGAAGGAAAACAAATGAGTGCTTCTCCTTAATTATGCTTTTGGCTGCCACTGTGGGGATTATGAGCTTTAAGCTTCTAAGCTTCCACCTTTTTGATATATTTCCTGTTACTGTATTATTGTTGCCCAAGTGAGGGTGGGGGTGCAGAAAGGTTTGCAAGGGAAAAATAACCTCATCAATGTAACTGAAATTCCTTTCTCTGCAATTCAGTGGCTGACTTTATTGTTATTGTACTTTTGAAAGATTTGTACAGTTGTCTTTCAATTGCATAACATTGTTTTTCATTTATGGAGCTAATTGCCTGCTAGTTACTGATGCTCTTTAACCTTATGCATTGAACTTTTACTCATTTTGAAATTAGATAAACTTCATGCAATGATGTTAGCATGTGGGGACTGCTGACAAAGCCCAATAAAGCTTTCTGTGCCCAATAATCTCAAATCACACACTACTGGATGGCTTAGGCTTGTCAGCAGATACTAACAAATACCACCATGTTGTCTTATACTGTTAAGTATAAAACAAGAAAAGAAAAAAGGAACAAAAAAAACAGAAAAGAACAAGAAGCTTTCAAAATAAAACATATCATGCCCTTTTGAGTTTAAGGGGCCATCTCGGGTTTTTAATTACTTGTTACTAGTAGCATGGCATTTTGTACATTTGCACAAAAGGACCGAAACTTGTCATTGTGAAGAAATGATGGGCAGTATCTATCTTGGGTATGGTTACCGGTCATAGAGTAGTTCTACTTTGAGCTTGCCATACGACCCTTGTCATTTCTTTTCAGATTGATTTTTCCTGCCCCATGTTAACTATCCAGCTAAAGACACCCTTCCTTTGAAGAACATCTGCAATGAAGGCTTTACTTAGTCACTGTAATTCTAGTTCTATTGATTTCATTTTCTGTTGTCACTTTTTGTATATAATATGCTATTCCTTGAATAGTAGGACTTCATTTTAAGACTTTTTTCATATTTCTCAAGAAGCTCTAGAAAGAACTTTTTCAAAAAATATTTCTCTTGGCACAAAAGAGTCTATAAAATATGATCTTAAATGGTAAAACTGAAATCTCTAGAGCAGTGCTTATCAAACTTTAATGAGCATAATTGTGACCTGGGGATCTTGTTAAAATACAGACTCTGATCAGATAGATCGAGGGTGGGACCCGGGCTTCTGCTTTCTGTTGGTCAAGGGACCACATTCTGATTAGCGAGGTTCAAGGCCTATCTGAAGTTCAGACTTCAACTTAGACTTACTGCCTATGCAACCACTGACCGTGTATCTCCCAAATGCTCCGGTCTCTCCATTTGGGAAATAATTATGCCATTTACCACATCATGAAAATATATGACAGCTTTCAACATTTTTTAATAATCTGAAAGTTTTCTGAGCATCCCTGTTCACCAGTGGCACATGAATTACAAATAAAGATTATAATTTCAGAATCTTGTGTACTGGGGCAAAGGCAATGCTACTTCTATAATGCGTTTGCTTTGTCAAAGACGAGCCTTACTCTAAATCCCTCAGTAATTCAGTTTTTTTTCCCCCAAGGGATATTTTCTGTAGGTTGAATATGAAAAACCCTTCTTTAAAAAATATTCCTAAACAGCTTTAATTATTTGTACCGAATTAGTCACTTTTCCTGACATGATTCAGGAAGACAAAATAAGTAAGTAGAGTGTTGCCTTCTTCACAAGACAGACATACCTACTGAGCTTATACTCGTGCTTAATTTTTTTTCTGTGCCTTTATTTTGTTAGGCCACATTTCTCAAAGAAGTGCCACCTTCCTCCTGTTTAGTCTTTTTGCTTTGTGTTCCATCATGTTCTTCTATCTGCTTGTCAGAACAATTTTGAAAGTTATCAGAAATTGCCAGCCAACCAGAGTTGTATTTCTTGTTCCCTTCTCTTCATTGTCAGTGGAAACAAAACAAAAATTATGTGTAAAAGGGTGCTGTCTCTTGTTTTTCCTAGAGCTCTGGGCCTACTAAACCTTGTTCCCTGTCACTATTGAGGGAATCTGCAAGCATTACATTATAGATACAAAGTAAACTTGTTTTATAGAGATTAACATTGGAATCTAAGAGAATTCCCTGATAAGATAACAGCTGGTATATTTCTTATGTCTCATGCATTGGTTCTCAACCGGGGGTATTTTGAGACACTTGGCAATGTCTGGAGACATTTTGGTTGTCACAGCTGAGGGTGGGTAGGGGCTACTGACATCCTGTGGGTTGAGGCCAGAGATGTTGCTAAACATCCTACAATGCATGCGGCAACTCCCCGCAAGAAAGAATGATCCAGTCCTAAATTTCTAGAGTGAGAAGGTCTTGAGAAACCTTGATGTGCTGTTACTCAATACAGTCTTGATTGCTTAGTGTGGTTGTTTTACTCTGTCTTTACTATTCTTAAATTCTACTGGACTTTATTTTGTTTTGATGCATGAGGGTGTTAGCCACGTAATTCCCATTAGAGTGATGAGAATTGTGTATGTAAATACTCTTCGGCAATGCAGTTGGACTCTCATGAGGATTTGATGATATCTTTTGTATAGGTAATTTTGTATGCTTTCAACAGCAGGTGATTTTCCATATATACTAAACCATTAAAAATTCTAGAAAGTTATTTTTCAAATCATGAATGTCTTATGACTGTTACTTGAGCAAATTTATTTTAAAATACATTTTGACAATAACTATCTCTTGAGGAAGACTGGGATTCCCAGACTAGAGGGATTGATCCCTCTTTCTGGAAGAAATATGGAGTAGTTTTCAGTCAGAGTATTTTAATGTGGCTTCAGGAGAGACACATTATAGAAACAAGATAGTAACCCCTCTTGAATTGCACTGATCCTGATTGCCTGTGAAGAAGATGGTTGATCTCTGCACCATCTTAGTACAGAGATCAGTGGCCCTCAAATCTTCTACTTTCAGGGCTAAGAGGGGCCTGAGGGATGGTTGAGAGCAGTCCCCTAACCTTAGAGATGAGTATTCGCAGTTGGAAACTGATTATTCATGGAATGGGAAAGAGATTATACAAAGAAAAGACTGGGTCCTGAAATCAGTGACCCAGTTTGAGCTAATGTAGACAATCTTGTTTTGCATAAGGCCTTGTTATTCTTTCTCATCAGGGCTGCTAACCTGAAGAAGGAAGTCTGCATGCCGCCCACCTTTCTCTACCCTTAATAGACCTTAAGCCACCCCCAAACAAAACAAACAAAAACACCACAGAACAGGGAAAATGGAAGGAGTAATAAAGTAACCTGATCTGCCCTTCCATAATCACAGAAGGATGCTTGCTCATGAAGAACACTCCTATCAGTCCGATGGTTAATTTCACCTCCTCCAGAAGCCATCTCTTAGCTTCTACTCTTCTAGCATGCACTCAAATCTTGACTTGGAAATAAAACGCCCTCCATCTGATCTCTATTTTTTGAGGCTTCTAGCTGTAGTTTTTTTTTGTTTTTTTTTAACTGGATTAGAATCCTGGCTCTATTACTAGCTGTGTGACCTCAGGGAAATTACATAAATTCTCTGTACCTAATCTCTGAAAACGAGTATCATAGGAGTCCTTACACTGTAGATAGGATGGTGAGAATTAGCTAAATTGATATATGTGAAGTGCTTAGGACAAGGTTTGGTACATTGTAAGCATAATGTAAAACATTAGTTATCGTTATGATGTATATACATACTCACTTATATTTGAACACCTTAGAACTTAATTTTGTTTCGATGCAAAGGATAATTAATTGGTTGCTGAAATCCCTCCTCCAGTACTTTATCACCGCATATTTAAGAATGTTCTGTCTCTTTAGTACAAAATTTTACATTCATAATGAGTTCTTTTTCTCCCCCAGTTCCATCCTCATCTCACTCTCTCAGGGAAAAAAACAGTCTACCAATCAGAATTGGGCTAGCTGAAATCAACACACAGGCCAGTGCATACATGTTCTCCTTGGGTAGACAAGTACTATGCAAACACCTCAAGCTAAGGGTACTAGATGAGTAGGCAAGTGATGATGAAAACAGAGGGATGGAGACAAGCTAGGAGAACAGGACAATGCAAGAATAAAAGGAATGAAGCTAAAGGTTGGTGTCTTTGGGGCTCTGAGGGGGAAGACACAATGGAGAAGGCACTAGTCTTCTGGGATGATGTGAGCCTTTGTCTGGAACAAGATGCTATTTAATTTTGTTTTACTTTTAATCAAAAATGTAATTGCAAATAGTTTTAAAAGGCTGATGGTACTAAAGGGCTTATGACCTCAAACCAAAAATCTGTTACCTCCTCCTTTCCCCTGCCTTGCCCTGCTCCCCAGACACAAATATATTTAACTCTCATACCTTATTTATTCTAGAAGTATATTCTTGAAAATAACGCATAAGTCACTTTTTTGATTCATCCGATTTTAGACAGTATCGTTGACTTTTTATTATGACAGATAAGGATGTTAATCATTTTCCTTTTTTCTCTTTTTTTTTTTTTTTTTTTTTTTTTTTTTTGAGACGGAGTCTCACTGTGTCTCCCACACTGGAGTGCAGTGGCGCGATCTCGGCTCACTGCAAGCTCCGCCTCCCGGGTTCACACCATTCTCCTGCCTCAGCCTCCCCAGTAGCTGGGACTACAGGCGCCCGCCACCATGCCCAGCTAATTTTTTTTGCATTTATAGTAGAGACGGGGTTTCACCGTGTTAGCCAGGATGGTCTCGATCTCCTGACCTCGTGATCTGCCCACCTCGGCCTCCCCATTTTTCCATTTTAATCACATTTTAACTTTAAAAAAAATCCACAGTGTTTTATTGTTTTGATGATGTAAATGTTATTCTCTGCCTAGCCAAGTATCACAGTATGATTATATTTCCTTTCTTAAAGAACTGTTTTGGTTTTATAATTGCTTTTTGTGTTTATTTGTTTCTTAACCATCTGGAAAAGTCTATATAAAACCCTAACAATTCCTTAAAATACCTCTCAACACAATTTTCACCAGGGTCTAACATGCCAGAAAATTGATCAGTTTATAGTTTTTTCCTGGATTTCTCGAACCTCTTATTTCAATCTTGGGTATTTTTTTCTTTAGGCTCACTTGGAAGCTCTCAAGTGAAGACAGCCATCATCCAACAAATTTCCTTTGTTTCTTTCACTGGTGCTGGATTCTGTTTCTCCTAAATTCCATTTCATCTTCTGCTTAGGTTTACTCCCTCTGTTTGCTGGAACATATCTTCCAGTACTTTATTAAGAAGGAGTGCATGGCTGTAATATCTTCGCTTCTTTCTCAGCAGATTTAATTATAGTATCTTTGAAGTTATTTTCTGTTCCTTTGTCCCTGTTTCATCTGATTTCCTCTGATTTCTTTCATTTTTTTTCTTAATTTTCATCATTTGTTTTCTCTGTGTGTGTTTGGTTGATTTCCATATTTCAATTTGTAGTTCTTCCCCCAATGTCATGTGGTCCTTGACTGTCTGCTCATATTGAAAATGAAACAGGAAAAAAACTAGTTGCATGCTCCATGTATAAGATTAGGGCTTGTGGATTGATAGACTTCACTGTGGGATAACTGGGCAGACAGCCAACCATTTCTTTGGAAGACCCCAAATATTACTACTAGCAGCTCTTTTCTTGGAAGCATTTCTATTTTTCTGGGGAATGACCCCCCAATCTGCTGCCTGTGTCAGGGGAAGGGAGCTGATAACAAGCCTGGGTGACAGTCTTCTCCAGCTGGAGAAGGGGAAGACACTGGGAACTCGCCATTCAGTATGCTGACTTCCACATGAGCCTCCCATTTTCAATGCTCTGTGGCTTCTCTGTCCAAGGTGACTGCAGCCTCTCTGCTTACATTTCAGTTTCTTCTACGGCATCTCCACTGATTGTGGAAGGATGGTTGTTTGACTGCAATCAGTAGGGGGTGCAGGCCCACCTTAATAAAGCTCTTTCTCCTGATTATCAATCAAGGTCCTCTTTTCAGCCTCTTGCCTCACTCTTTCTCCCACTGTAACTGTGCCTCTGACTGCTAAAACCTTCTGGAGTTCTGCAGAGGTAGAATGCTTGCTTCTCCCATTAGCACCCCACCTCTTCCACCAAAGCACCTAGCTTCCACCTTTCTCCTCCGTGCTAACTTTATTTGGCTTTCTTTCCATTCTTTCTGTAGTTGGGGGTATAGTTGTCATGAAGTTGATGGAGATTGTCCTGTTTCTTATTATTGTTTTTACATAGTTTTCAAAGGTAGAGGGTGTAATGTCTTTCCCCTGCCATTTTGAAAGCGTGACTCTGATGCCCTTTTTGTGTCCTGCAACTCTAAATTGATGTTATGGTTTGAATATGTCCCTTCCAAAATTCAGGTGTTGGCAATGCGATAGGATTAAGAAGTGGGGCCTTTAAGAGGTGATTAGGCTGTGAGGGTTCCTCCCTCATGAATGAGATTAAGGCCCTTATAAAAGAGGCTTCAGGGAGTGTTTGTCTAACTTGCTAGCTTGCTCTTCTGCCATGTGTGGACATAGCATTTCTCCTTTCTGGAGGACACGGGATTCGAGATGCTGTCTTAGAAGCAGAGACACCAGGCCCCAACTTGCCAGGGCCTTTATCTTGGGCTTTCTGGCCTCTGGAACTGTGAGAAAATAATTTCTTTTATAAATTACCCAGTCTCAGTTATTGTGTTACAGCAACAAAAAACAGACTAAGATAGTTGGTAATAGTTTTCTTTTACCTGACTCATAGGGACAAATTACTGGAGTAGACTGAAGTGCAAAAAAGCTAAGGGTTGTTCTTATATGATCTTGTTTACCATAATTCCATCCTAATTAATTTGGTAGTCTTTCCAGATGAAATCATTTGCCATTCCCCAAGCTTGACATGCACTTTCATAACTCCATGAAAACCCTTACTGAATGTGACTTTCAGGAAAAGACACACATCTGCCAAGTTTCCTGTCCTGAGTGGAGTTTCCTCTTGGCAGGTAGCCCTGCCTTCTCTTCAGTGCCATTGTTGATTTATTTACCCATCAGTCTCCCAAACCAGATAGGAAAGCTTTGAGGGAAAGACATCATCTTATTTATTATGAATCTTTGATAGCAGAGTTCCTTGCTTATAGTAGGTGCTCAATTAATATGATCAATAAATGGATGAATGATACTTATTTTGGATGATAGTTCTCAAAAAGACAAAGACAGGGTTCATCTTAACGCCTGGTTTTGCCTCTTTTCCTGGTGCCAAGGCCAGTTTCACTAGCAGCTGGACATTGATGGCCCTCAATGACAAGGTGAAGGATAAGTTGTTGCTGAACACTCGTTCTGATTAATGAATTACCCTTTTGAGTTTCACATCTTTATTTTATGGCCACTGCATTTATACTCAGTCTTTCTGATTCATGTTAAAATTTGTTAAACATTATTTTCTAACATATTTCACAGATATGTAATTTTGTCTCTAGGTAAAATGACATCATTGAAGTATTTTTGGGGTGAAAAATATTCTCGGAAGCATCTGACTCTGGCTGCTAGTTTTCCAGACCAAAATTCCAATAACATTCAGGCTTCAGAGGAGTATTTGTATTCAAATTACAGAGAGAAATTCAGTCTTCTCCTTTAATTACAAACCAAATTGCACATTAAACATATTTCAGAGAGATGCAGCTTTCTATTTTGGCTTTTAGGAACGTATCTTCAACCATTTACTCATTCATTTATGCAAAAATTCAGTGAAAACCCACTATGCGTCAAGCAATTTGGGGGGCTTTAGGAATGCATATATGAATAAGATATGTTTTCTGCTCTCAAGGAATCAAGGAGAGAGGAAAACATAGAGAAATCATTATAATCAAAATGCAATGCATCCCCTATGAATATCTATGGATCGTGAGACCAGTGTCAAAGGGTATGAGCATGACATCTGACAGCAGAGTTTCTATAAAGGAAATAGGTGGTTATGTTCTTCTCACCATATTTTTGAATAACAGTATGAATGTAATCTGTTCAAGCAAGATTTAGATTCTAACCCATGAGACATTTACTGACTACCTACTATATGCCAGGTGAGGTGCCCAATACTTAACACATATCTCATAAAAGTAGCAAGATGAACTTCAGTTGCATTAATATTTAATTAAAGCAGAACAGAATAAACCCAGTAGGTAAATAGAAACAGTTGAGAATTTTCCATCCATGTCCATTCCCATGAGATTTGGGGGTTCTCTCAAAGGCCCGCAGAGTCATTGGAGTATTCACGCCCTTTTCTCCTCACTCAGTGCTTCCTGTGTTTTAGGGTGTTTAAGAATTACTATATAAGATTATTAGACACAAAATCATCTATAATAAAATTCATGGTTGATAATTTTGTTTACACAATATGTTTGCCTTATATACTAAATGTGTTTTCTGTTAAGAAGCAATTTTTACTTGCTTTGGTTCACATCAGTTCATTTTAAACACGAAAAAAGCAATACCTTTAAGAATGTGTCATTTCTGCCTTATCTGGACTACCACATTCTCTTTATTGAGGACTCAAATTCTGCCAAGGAGAAACTATTTATTTGAAACTAAACAAAGAGAAAACAGGCCTACGGTCTACTTACAGAGAGAACCAGAGCCCCTCCCTGCCTGCCTTAACTCAGGGCTCTACATCTGTTTTAGACAACTTTTGGGCAGCATTGAACATTATGAGCCCATGTCTGCCTTGGGCCTTTGCACTTGCTATTCACCTTTCTTGGAACATAGTTCCTCCAGATATTAGCACAGCCTATGCCCACATTCCCTATCCTCAAGTATCATCTTCTCAGAGAGGCCTTCACTGACCACTGTAAAAACTAGAAGCCCCCACTTCCCCTCCAGCACCTGCTAAACTCCTTATCCTCCTGAACTTTTTCTGCATAGTACTTAACATCCAAAATAGCATGTCTTAGTTATCCATTGTCATGTAACAAATTACTTGAAAACCTAGCAACCTAAAACAACATTTATCACTGCACAGTTTCTGCAGGTCAGAAATCTGAGCACAGCTTATCTTGGTTCTGAGGCTTAGGACCTCACATAGGTTACAATAAAGGTGTCAACCAGAGCCACAGTCATCTCAGGGTTAAACTGGAGCAGGATCTGCTTCCAAAATCACCCAAATGGCTGATGGCGGGATTGAATTCCTTGAAGGTTGTTGGACTGAGGGGCTCAGTTCCTCTCTGGCTGTGGGCCAGAGGCTGTCTTCGGTTCCTTGCTATATCAGTCTCTCAGTAGGGACGCCTAGAACATGGCAGCTGACTTCATCAAAGTGAGGAAGCAAGATACAGGGAGAGAATGCCAGCAAGATGGAAGCTATAATCTTTCAATCATAATCTCAGAAGTGAAAGCCCATCATTCTTGTTGTGTTCTATCATTAGTAGAGAGGAGGTGTTACTATGTTGCCCAGGCTGGTCTCAAATTCCTAGACTCAAGCAATCCTCCAGCCTTGGCCTCCCAAAGTGCTGGGATTACAGGCATGAACCACCATAACCAACCTTTTAACTACAGTCTTTTATGTAGAAAATGAAGTGTATTTCTCTGCTATGGAATGCAAAAAGTAGCCATAGAGGTTAGTGAAAACAATATTCCAAAAAGGGGAATTTCAAAGTAAGCAGCTGAGTTATGAATATACTTCAGTATCCTAAATAGTCCTTTAACATTTTATGAGTTAATTTTGAGCTACCTTAGTTGTCAGTTTGAAAATCACGGTTGAGCATTCTATCTAAGCTTTCAGGAGCAGAGAAGTGGTTTATTATCTTGGAGCCTGTTTTTGTAAACAAAGTCATGGGCAGACCAGAAAAGTGCAGAGCAAAAGGCAATCTATTTCTGCTGACATGGAAAGGAGATGAATAGGATTAAGCTATAAATACAGCCTGGAGATTGTCATCTCTTTTCCTCCATGGACGCAACAGTGCCTCACATTACAAATGATTTCCAAGGACCTGAAAACGTGGAAACTGAATTGGCCTCTTGCTGGTAAGGAGAAATTACTCTCCAGAGGTTGGCCAAAATTCACAGTTCCATCTTCTGAGTTAACTGATCAAAGGGGAGTGAGCAGGTGGTACAATTTGAAAACAAGTTAAAGGTAGCCAAGAGTGGAATCAGGGGTGAAGATACTAACAGCAAGAAAAATCTGCTCAGAATGCAGATGATTCAAAAAGCACGATCCAGAAATCCAATTCAATCAACACTGTTTTCTGACAACTTATTATGTTCAAGGTATGAGGGCCCGTACAGGTACACCTTACTTCCTGCCCCCAGATAACTTACAGTCTATTTGGAAAGAAGATAAATATTTGAGAAATTCAGCAGCAATGAAAGATTTCAGCAAAAGCAGAAGAGCAACCAGCTGACAATACATTTTCAGTTGCCAACTAAGTGATATCAGCCTTAAATAGGAGTTCAGAGAAAGGAAATAGGTTAGTTAGCCTGAAAAAAAATCAGGGAAATATTTGTAAGCAGGGCGAAATCTCAGCTGGGTTTTCAATATGAGTATGACTTTATAGGTGGAGAGAAGAAGGGGTAGGGGTCTTCCCGGTCAGTAAAACTTTGTAAGTTTATTTAAAAGCTTGGAGGTGATAAAATACGTATTGTGTTCGGGAGTAGAAGCTTCAAGCGTGGAGAAGAGAGAGCCTGTAGGAGACTAGTGGAAGGACATGACTAGTGGAAAAGTCTCGAAGCTGATGGTAGATCTCAGCTCTAATGCTCTACATGATATGACTTTTTTCACACATGGTTGTGTTCCTTCAATGCTTGTGCTTTAATTTGCATAAATCAAATAATGTTTTAAAGATCCTGTGAGAAGTTGCTGTTTAGGGAACCTCTGTGATGAATATTTAACTCTCAGTGTACCAATGAGGATAACTTTGTCAAATTACAAGTTTCCTAAGTTAATGTAAAGGGTTGTGGAGTTGGTTTAATTCATGGGTTAAGCCTACGCCTTCTTCTCTCCACCTATAAAGATTTTTACTGTTTCCCTGTGATGGTCTTGGCTCTGCTCTCCTCTCAGTGTAGGCATCATCCTCACTCTGTTTTCAAGATGGAGGTCCTCCTGTCTGTGCCAGAAAACATCAAAGGAAGGAAATGCATCTCTGCCTTAAACTCTCCAGGAAGTGAGATTCTTCTAGAAGCTCCCAGGAAACTTCCACTCGAGGCTCCTTGGCCTTAGTTACATCACATGCCCTTTCTTCAACCAGCCTCTGTAAGCTTTGAATGCCATACCCCTGTTTAGCTCAGACCTGGCTTCTAAAACCACTTGCAGGCAGGAATGATGGGAGGGACTTAGCTGGTTTAGACCAATCAGGGCCCACTCCTGGTGCTGGGGTGAATACCCAAAGCCAAAAGCACAGGGCAGCTACACAGTGCAGGAGGCACAGAATGGGTGTTGGGGGAAAGCCACAAGGTTCAGGCATTCATGTTTTAGTTTGGGTGCAAATATAGAACTTTATATACAGTTTGCTTTTTAAAAAACTACTGTTGCTATTCTTGCATTTACTCAGCCATGTTAATTGTAGGATCTTTTAGCCAATGCCAGCAAAAATCTTGTTTCAGATTTTGAATGGGATTTTAGCAAAAATAACTTTGAGAAGTGATCCCTTCACAGAGTTGAACTTTTTCATCCTTGAACATAGTATGTTACTAGTTATTCAGGCCTTTTATTTCCGTTAATATTTTATACTTTTTTAATGTGTGGTTCTTCATCTGTGTTTTCTTCATAACAATTTTTATTAGATTCATGCTTACTTTATAGTTTTTCTTACTATTATAAATGGAGTCCATTCTTCTATTACGTACTCTAACTGGTTAAAATGTGGCATTTAGAGTCTTAATGATTGTTATATGCTAATCTAACCTGCAAATATTAAAAATATTATTTCTTCCTTTACAATCCTAAAACATTTTTAAATCACTCTGTTAACTGGAATCTCTAGCACAATATTGAATATCTATTGTATATTCAATATATACTGTATATTCAGTATATGCTGTATATACAGTATATTCAGTATATGCTGACAGCAGATACTTTTAGTTATTTCTGGATTTTCACTGGAATGCATCTTAAACACATCTAAGTAGGTTGTTTTCTGTACATTTTTAGTAGGTAGCCTTTTAATGACTTAAGAGGTTTCCCTCTTTTCTAGCTTACTATAACATTTTTTTTTATCATGAATAGAGGTTTGATGGTAGTAAATGCTTTCTTTGCTGTGATTATGATTATTTGTACATCTGAATTCATAAATAAGTTTGGCCTTATTTTCCTATTTGTCTTCGATTTTGTTTTTGTGGTTATGCTAGTCTCTAGAAACAAGTTTACAGGCTGGACTTCTTTTGTGAGTATAAAATAGTTATTGTAAGATAGGAATCATTTTACTAGAAGTTTACTTGAAATCTCCAGTAAAATCACTAGACCTAGTGGGAGTTTTTGTAGGAACTTGGATTACTGGCCCAATTGCTTTTGATCTCTTCAGGTTTATTGGTCTATTCAGATTTTCGGTTATTTCTTTGTAAAATTTCCCAGATTTTAAATTTATTACCTTAAAATTATGTCTAGTTTTCTCTTAATTCTGAAATCACTACAGCATCTGTGGTTATGTCCCTCTTTTATTTTCTTTTTTTGAGACAGAGTCTTGCTCTGTCGCCCAAGCTGGAGTACAGGGGTGCAATCTGCGCTCACTGCAACCTCCGCCTCCCGGGTTCAAGCAATTCTCGTGCGTCAGCCTCCAGAGTAGCTGGGATTACAGGAGCCCGCCATCACATCTGGCTAATTTTTGTATTTTTAGTGGACACGGGTTTCATCATGTTGGCCTGAGCGGTCTCAAACTCCTGGCCTCAAGTGATCCACCCACCTCAGCCTCCCAGAATGCTGGGATTACAGGCGTGAGTCACCATGCCTGGCCTGTCCTTCATTTTTAGTATTATTTATTTTTGCCCTCTCTCTCTTTTTTCCTCTTTCTAGAGGTTTATTTCATTAGACTTTAACAGAGTGGATATTAGCTTTATTGAGTAACTCTGGTGGGGAGGGTTGTTTGGTTGGTTTTCCAAACAAGTTGGTTTAACTTCTTTTACATTTCATTTTCTTCTTCTTGCTTCATTTGGCATTTTCCAGCTTTTAAAGCTAATCAATTAATTTATTTTTAGCTCATTTTTATTTTCTGAAATAAAACATATTTCAGTAAATTCATCCCACTAACTTTGATATGGACTAGCTTTAATAAAAATATTATTTTATAGTATTTTTCTCTCTTCTTTAACCAAGAATTATTTACACATAATTTAGTTTTCAAATATTTGATATTTGAAGTCCTTTTGCTTTTTTTCTTTACTGATACATAACAGATGCATATATTTTGGAGTACCTGTAATAATATATTCATATAAAGAACAAATCAGTGTAATTGGCATATTCATCACCTTAAATATTTGTCATTTCTTCATCGGTTTACTTATCTTTGCTATTATTACCTTGTGATGTTTGATTATAGTGGGTATGAAATTAGATCTTTAAAATTAAGAGAGAATTATTTTGTCCTAATACCTAGATGATTTCTAAAAAGCTGAAAATCTTTTAGTACATGAGTTTAACTGATTTATATTTGTTAGGGCTATTGAAATATTTGCAGTAATTTCTTATATCTTCTCTTTTTAATTTTTAGGTTTTTTATTTTCTAATTTCTGTAGAGTGGATTGAATTTTGTGCCTTTTTATTGCTTGGAAGTTATGCATTTCATTTGTATTATTTTTGCTTCCCTTTCTTATTAACAAGCTTGCTATAATATTTTTCTGGCAAAATCTAAAGTTAATTAGTAGTTGCCCTCCCAAACAAGACACTTTAGCTTCCCTACAATAGTCCCAGCAGGGAACCTATCTATCCCCAACTCCCAAGGTGGTATTACTAGGAATCTGGAATTTTAATTCCAATTTATTACACACACACACAAACACACACACACTTTTTCCAGGTAGTATTTATTTAGATCTAGCAATATATTCTTTTTTCTTTCTTTCTTTCTTTCTTCTACCTGCCTGTCTTACCCATTTTTTTTCCTTCTTTTTTTCCTTTCAGTTAGGCTGGGATAGTCCTAACTCCTGCTGTGCCCAGCTGTGGTCTTTCAGTGGCAAACCGTCTGAGTTCTAAGCTTCATTTCATTCTTACTCTTGAATGATGGTTTTGGATTCTAGTTGTTTTCCCCTCAGAACTTTTTCAGTTTTACTCAGCCCTTTAAAGGTGTTACTCCATTGTCTTCTGGAATTTACTGCTGTGATAAGAAATCTGAATTAATCTCTTTCCATCTGTGTCTCATAGGTAATCTGCCTTCGTCTCTTTTCCTTTCACGATGCTCCCATTACACTTGATCTCTGAGGTTTTGCTATGAAGTAGCTGAGACTCAAGTGAACCTTTCCTATGAGTTTATAAACGTTAGTCTATTCTAAGGCTTTACTGAGAAATTAGTCATACTATTCATTCAGTTTCTTGGTTAGTTGTAATTTCAAATAGAATAAAATTTTGTTTTGTGAGTTCTGCATAGGATCAAGGATCAAAATTTACTGCTAAACAATATGTGGATACCTCCATCTGTTTTTTACCTAAACCTAGAAAATAAGGCAGAGAAATGGATAAATCATACTGCTTCTGGCCTTTAGAAATTTATTATTTTGTGATTTTGCAGCCCTAAAAAGAATTAGAAGCTATTTGGATTATATCCAACTATATTATTTAACAACTGAGTATGTCAGCAAACCAACTCACAAAAGGTTTTCAGGTGACGTTATAAGGGAAACTATTTCCACAATTTTAGTAAAGTTCTAAAAAGTCAGTTTAAGCAGACACAACACACAAAGGCTTTATGAAATTAGAAATCCAAGAGCAGCATATCAATGAAGTGACCTTAATTTGCCTATCATCCTTTATGCAACTTGGGATTGGATATAAAATTGTTCTACCTCCTTGGTCATTAAATATGCTAGTCCATTAATGCAATTTGGGCAATACTAGATTCATAGTGTTATATACCAGACTCTTACTGAAAAGACAGTGTTGGGGGAAAATTGAATGTGTATATTACTTTATAATTCCAAAAGTGGTTTCTCATTCATTATCTCATCATTCCTAGTAATGATATGGAGAAAGTATTAGTATTCTTATTTTAGAGAGAAGGAAGCTTCAGAGATATTCAGGATGTCTCCCAAGCAAGAGAACTTAGATTAAGTCAGACAGTCTGGGATTAATTCAGTGCATCACATGTCACCTTGTAGGTGGTAGGTGCTCAATACATATTTGCTTAATGAAGGGGTGACAAAAACCCCGATTCTGATGCCATACCCAAGGCACTTTCTACTTTCACGGCTGCCTTTAAGTCACATGGAATTACACAACTGCTGTGGAGGTGGCAAGAAATAGAAGTAGTAAGAATAAAGGAATTTTTCTAAACTGAAGGTGAAGAGGAACACTGTGAGGTAGAAACTATGATTTCCATTTTATGGATGAGGAAACCAAAACTTAGCACCAGGAGACAGTTCTCTGTGCGTCGCTCACCTTTCCACGTGTCTTCCGAGCAGAGGTACTAACTGCCTTTCTTCCACACTATCCTTATAAGGATATGTTTGTATAGTGAACAAGTTTAGATGACAGAGGTAGTGACTCCATCCAGAGCAAAGGCAGAGTTGTTCATTGTCCAGTATAATAAAGATAATGTCTCCCTCCAGGACAAAGTTCAGGTGGGCTTATGAAATCCATTATGAAAGATTCAGGTTTTCTACGTTCAGGATTCCTGTCCAGTAACCCAGTGTATGCAGCCGTTGCCTCACTCTCTTTGTGTCTTCCAATGGGAATTGGGGTTCTGGAAGTGGCACAAATGCTAATACTCTGGCTACGGCTATTGCTCTGAGTAATAAATCCCTTTCTCTGTGACCTAGGGGTCTCTTGTCTTCTGCAAACATCCGTGAAATGATGGCAGACTAACACGTTAGCTTGCAAATAGGGTCAAATCTCAGGCTTTTCATTGTTCTTGACGCTTAGCAAGACTCAAAAGCATCTAGCTCCTAAGTACGGGATTCGAACCTAGGTGTGATGGACCTCAAAACCAGAGCTCCTAACCTCCACTCTTTACTATTTCCCATGGAAACAGGCATGAATCATCTCAGCAAGAGCCCGTGGTGTTGTGCTGTCATGGTGTAACCGAAACTGTTTTATTATTACATTCTGAACTGACAAAGTCCAGAGCTCATTTCGTTTTGTTTTCTTTTATAACCCTTGAAATTATATCCAGCCTTATTCAAAGGCAAGGGAAATGGGTGACTTAGATTGTATGAGGGGCAGGAGAAGGTCACCTGCCAGCAGATGTGATGTTTCCATTGTGAGCAATTCACATTTTCCTATTGAGGCATTGTTTGTTAAAATGCCGTATTTTGACTTGGTTCAACATACCAAATGGTTGTTAACCGTTGGAACCTTAGTTTGCATTAGTTTGATGACTTGACCTTTCCAAAAATGGGGGGTTGAAAACTAGAGTTCTATAAAATGAGACAAAACAAAAGAACAAAGCAGACAGTTAAAAGGTCTCAAATGTGAGTTGCAAAACTGCCAGCTCCCGTATGACGTTTAAAAAGTCACTAGATTTCTCCAAGCTTTAGTTTTTTTAAAAATCTATAAAATGGAAGTAATTATCTCAATGGATTGCTTTGAGGGTCTGATATATAAGGTTATCAAATTTAGAAAATAAAAATACAGGATGCCAAGTTATAGTTGAATTTCAAATATGCAACAGATAATGATGTAGTATAAGTATATCCCAAATATTGCATACAACCTACTAAATAATCTGTTTTGCATCTGAAATTCAAGTTTAACTGGGTATTCTATATTTTATTTGCAACCCTCCAGATAAATAATATACTGTAAAGCAACCTTGATTTGAGGATTTGTATTTAAATAATTTACTAAGAAACTACTCCCAGGGGTGACTGTGACCTGTAAGGGAGTAGGAAGAGGAGAACAGGGAGGGGAGGAGAAAGCCAAGCAAATGCAAAACTTCAGGGAATTCCTACAGAGCAGAGCTTCAGCCTGATCCTGCAGGGAGCTCTGGGATGTGAGTGACCTGGCAGATATGTCTCA